>NC_000023.11:152960454-153263484 GCF_000001405.40 Homo sapiens
GGAACAGCCAGGTACTAGGGAACAGACAACACCAGATGCTTGTGCTTTTCTGTGAGCAGCTCAGGTCTCCCAAAGTGGTAGTTTCCTGGCTTCTGGCCTTTGTAGATCAGTGTGGATCCACACCCAATTGTGATGTTTGTGGTAGCTGTAAGAACTTTCCCAATTTTGAAATCCTAGGTGACTTGTAGCATATTTTTTCACATTTGAAAATAATTGAGTTTTGAAAATGTTTTTACAGGCAATCTAGTATCAGATTTTATATCATCCTGAAACATTCTGTCAATTGTCATTTCCAAAAATCCATGGAAAACTGGAGTTGTTGAACTGGAAACAGTGTGGTCTCAGGAAGTGCTTCACAGCCATTGCAACATGGGCAGGGCCTAGAGGGCAGGAGAGAATGCCATGATTTGATGACATTTTACCCATTCCTGCCAGGTGAACTTCATCTCCCTCTCTGTGACAGAATTTTCTGGCTCTCACATCCAGCTTTGGTCACTGGGAACCCACCTATTGGCTCTTGCACTGGCAGGACATGTGGTAGAGGCTTCCAGTTCGAGGCAGGACTGGCTGCATTTTCAAGATGTCCTTATTTCTGGTATTTTGTGGCGATCGTCCTGTCCACTTAACTGATTTTGACCCATTGCCTTGCTGTGATCTCTGTGCTCTCTCTGTCTCCCAGTTCCAGGTCATTCCCTTGACCAGCTTCCAGTCTTTCCTCATCTTGTCCCTGCCAATGAAGTATTCTGGCTCTGCCTTCACTCTCCTGCCATGATCCATTGCTTTGATAGGGTGGCTTCAGGAACAGGGTGAGGAGAGGGCTGTGCTAGCTTTATCTTGCCAAGGAACTCAGCAAAGAAAATTTTTGCTGACCTCTTGCATTCCTCAGCCTGGCTCTGGTCTCTCAAACCTAACACATGGGATGCATGCCAGCAGCCAGCCTCAGTTTCCCTCTGGTCCTTTTCTGTGTGAGGCCAGAGGTCCTTGCTTTATCACTGCCTGGAGCTGCAGTTGATGATGGTGAAAGAAGGTGCACGTGTCTTTTGAGAGCTCCCTTTGTTCCCCAGAGATTTTTTTTTCCCAAAGTGGCCATGAGTTTGGGAATAACCAGGAGCCATGGGCCGCCGGCTAGAGATGCTGCATACTAAGAGCCTCCTGTGAGCAGCCATGTACACAGTGAACACGATGGCTAAGGCCCCATCCAGCCGCCCTCAAAGAGCACATAGTCCACTAAGGAATAAGCATGATCGTAATAACCATTAGCACCTGCTGTGTGCTGAGAATGTGCAGGCACTGTTCTGCATGCCTTATGTGGACTCACTCATTTAATTCTCACACCAACTCAAGGAGGTGCTTTTATTATGGAGAAACTGAGGCAGATGGAGGTTAAGTAATTTGCTGGCAGTTTTGCAGCCAGGAAGTGGCCTAACCGAGATTAGAATCCAGACAGAGATCAGAGCCTGTACTGTTCATCGCTGTGGCATCCATACTGCCCCTCCATTTGTGATAAGCCCAGGAAGGAAAGAAACCAGGTGCTCTGATGGAGAGGGGTTAGAGCAAGGATGGTTAGGGAAAGCTTTTCTATCGAGGAGGAGACAGTTCGGCTGAGACCTGAAACATCTGGAGGAGCCTGCCTTCCAAAGAACCTGGGGAGAGGCATTGTGGACAAAGAAGATAGGGAGGAGGGCCTGAACAATGAGCCCTGTGCTTGGAGGGTACGGGGTGAGGTGAGCAGGGGGCAGGAGCTGGGCCCTGTAGGGTCTTGTAGGTGAGGGAGAGGAGGCTATTGGGAGGGCTCCTATTGCTCACATTGCAGTCCTGGGGGGATGCCCAGGGCATTTTTTCTTTTTTTTAAGAGGCGGTGTTTCACTGTGTTACCCAGGTTGTTTTTGAATTCCTGGCCTCAAGTGATCTTCCTGCCTCAGCTTCCCAAGTAGCTCCAGGGAATTTCTGTTTTACCTTGCCTCTTCAGTTGCGCCGTCCCCTTCAGTATTCTGCTGACATGGATCACAGGATACCAGACACCTGGTAGTTGTTCAGTCAGTAGGAGGTCTTCCTTCCTTCCTCTTAGAATCAATCCTTTTCTCACTTGTTGGCTCTGCATTTTATCCCCCGTGTATCTTTTCAGATTTTTGTGGGGCCTCCTCTCCCATCCAGTCCACCTTCTCCAGTCTCTATGGTATATTTCTTTGTCATAGGGTGAAGCAGGAACAGGTACAGGATGATTGGGTACACTGAGGTGAGGTAGGAGGGCAGGCCCTCAGGAAGGGCTTCCCAGAGGAGGTGATATTGTCTGCAAAGGCATATGAGAGCCTGGAAGTCCAGGGGAACTGCAGGCTGGTCTGTACGGCTTGAGTGGCACGTGATACAGTTTGAGACTATGAGGCGAGAGAGCTAGGCAGATGCTAGACCATGATTGTTCTTCCCTTTCCCCACTCTTCAACTAGTTGTAATCTTAGGCATTGGATTCTCTGGCAAGGGGACAATACCCAGTAGCCTGGGCCAGATGGAGGCAGCCATATCTGGAGTATGATCTGAGCCACAGCATGTTGGAGAAAAGCCAGAATCAGCCCAGGGCAGTGTGCACCCATAGTGCTGGCCTCAGGCCTTTGGAGGGTGAGCAGACTTAAGTTGGAAGGTGCAAACAAGTGGTCAGTGGTGCTGCCCAACATCGTGCCCTGAACTGCAGTTGACAGCTACGGCAGCTTTGGTAATGAGGCTCATAGCCTGGGGGCAGGCAGAGTGAGAGCCGATATTGGCTTGGCCAGAGAAAAGCCCTTTTGGGCTGCCGAGGAGGTTGGATTCCAGGCCAAGGGCCATATCTGGCAGCTGAAGTGTGGAGGTTCAGAAAAACTTCGACACCGGTCAGTTTCCCGCCTCTGCTGGGAATGAGGTGCATCTGACTTTCCTCCTCAATGATGCCTAATTTCATTTGGTCCTCTGCCCCTTGGCCTTGTGTTCTCTAGAGAGTTCCCTGCAGGGTGGCAGAAGGAGCTGATCCTAGTAAGGGACCGTCCCATCCAGTGAGGAGGTGAGCTGGGCTGTGTCTTCCCCTTCTGCACCCTCCTGACTGTCACATCCCCGGGAGCCCCATGATTCCACTCTAACTGAGTGAATCACAGAGGCCAAGGCCCTTGGCTGCAGTCAGGAGTACTGAGTGGACACTGGAAGATTGGGGTCTTGCTACTGACTCACGATGTGACCTGGGACATGTCTCAACTCACCTAGCCTGGGTTTGCTTATCTGTAAAGTGAGAAGTTCCATTTGTTGGTCTTGGAGGAAGCTTCAAGAGCAGTGCTCAAGGGTTAGGCTCAGAAAAGCCTGTTTGACCCTGGAAGGTGTCAGCTCCCAGGTTGACGTGCCCACCCCTCCCTTTATTTCTTTCAGGGTGAGGAGCCCCTCGAGCTGCATGGTCACTGTTACTGTCACTGCCACATCTGAGCAGCCTCACATTTATATTCCAGCCCCCGCAAGTGAATTGGACTCCAGCTCTACCACGTAAGAAGGGCTATCTAGCAACCTGGGAGATGTTCCTCCGCCACTTCCTCCTTGGCGGTAAAGGACTTGGCTTTTGTTCCATGTTGCTTCCCATTTAGTGCCTTCCCCAGTTTCTAGCAGGCCATTAGCCAAGGGGCCACACAGGACAGTGTTAGTCCCCTAATATAAACTCCCATCTACCGGGCCTAGACATTCCCACACCTCCTTTTTCCTATCTCTGTAAGAGGCTGCAGTGGTACTTCCTAGTGCACTAGTGGATGTGGCTCTGCCATTCATGGGTCCATGCCTGGGAAGCCAGCTCCAGTCCGTGAAGGCCGGGCCTGTGAGGGCATTCCTGTGTTACTGTAAAGGAATACCTGAGGCTGGGACATTTATAAAGGAAAGAGGTTTAATTGGCTCACAGTTTGGCAGGCTGCACAAGCATGGCACCAGCAGCTGCTTGGCTTCTGGCAAAGGCCTCGGGAAGCTTATAATCATGGTGGAAGCCGAAGTGGGAGCAGGACCATCACATGGCACGAGCAGGAACAAGAGTGAGGAAGGGGAGGGCCCGGACTTTGAAACAACCAGATCTTGTGTGAACTAACTGAATGAGAACTCACTTTTCACTAAGGGGATGGTGCTAGCTGTTCATGAGGGATCCCCCCATGATCCCGTCACCTCCCTCCAAGCCCCACCTCCAACACTGGGAATCACATTTCAACATGAGGTTTGTCTGTCTCTGTCACATGCCCACTGCTTCACCTGCATTCCTGGCCACCTGTCAGGGTGCAGGAAGGGATGTCACTGCAGGAAGGCTGCTCAGTGAGGTGTGTGTGTTGGGGGCGGGAGGGGGGCATATCCAAGGGGGCCTCTGCAGACATCAGGTCAGCAGGCTGGAGTGTGCAGCATGGAAATGGGGGAAAATTTGGGGCCATCCTGAGCCCAGCATGATGCAGACCTTGTTTCCAGTCCTGCAGAGGCCAGTCCAGGATGAGGCAACCTCTAGGCCTCTGGACTCTAGGAGTGAGAATGGAGAGGTTAGATGTGAGGTGGAGATTGCACAGTAGCTGAGTACCTTCTGGGAAGTGCTGAGTGGTAAAGACTGACAGTGTAGGATTAAGGCTTGGAGGATATCTTGGTTGTGGGTAGAGGGGAAAGACGACGCAGCCCTAAAGTAGGGGTGGAAAGCCCACAGGACTGAAGTGTAGAAGTATAGAAGCCTGGGGAGAAGATGGGGTCACCGAGGTCTGCATGGAGGAGGACAGCACATTGTCATTGGTTGCAGGAAGCCCCTTTCTGGGGCCCTCAGTCCAAACACAACAAGAGACGCTCATGGCCTGGGATTGTAGTCTGAGTCCACAGCAGTGCCAGTGCCTTTATCCTGGGCCTTCCCATGAGCTCTTTCACTTCCTTCAAACCAGGCTGGGTCTCCCCAGCCCTGAACCACTCCTGTGGGCCAGGCCTGGTTCCCTGGAATCTTCTGGTGTACCTCTGATTTCTTCTGTGCTCCTTCTACAGCAAAGGGATTCTCTTCGTGAAGGAGTACGTGAATGCTAGTGAAGTGTCTTCTGGGAAGCCAGTATCTGCACGCTATAGCAAGTAAGAGCGGGTCCCAAACCCTTCCATGTCGGCCTTCTCCTGCCGGCTCCCATATTCTCATCCCTGCATTTCCAGTTCCTTGTCCAGGACTTGGCTCAGAGTAGCTTCGGGGTAATTGTCGAGTGGATGAGTGATGTAGTTGCCCTCTGATGGGATTGATGCATTTTCTACTGAACTGGGCACCTTTGGGTTCTCCCTTCCGGTGAATTCATCCTGCACACCATTTTCACTGCCATTCTGTTCTGCTTGTCTTTGTTATTTTATTTTGTAAAATGCTGAGAACACCCCTCTTGACAGAGCTGGCAGAGCCCTAGGGACCAACTAGCTCATCCTATTTCTTTTCAGATCACAGAGCTCTTCTCTTCTGCCCTCATGTTCTTTTCTGTCATGCCAGGCTGCCTCATTTGAACACACATGTGACTGCAGTTCCTGATACATGTGTGGCTTTGCTTTTTAATTTTAATTAATTAGTTAATTAATTTTAATTAATTTTTTTTTGAGATGGAGTCTTGCTCTGTTGCCCAGGCTGGAGTGCAGTGGCGCCATCTCAGCTCACCACAACCTCTGCCTCCTGGGTTCAGGCAATTCTCCTGCCTTAGCCTCCCTAGTAGCTGGGATTACAGGCGCCCACCACCATGCCCAGCTAGTTTTTGTATTTTAGTAGAGATGAAGTTTCACCATGTTGGCCAGGCTGGTCTCGAATTCCTGACCTCAAGCAATCCACCTGCCTCGGCCTCCCCTTTTCATTGATCATCTCTTCATTTTCTTGCTTTGTGATGCCATGTGGAGGGGTACTTCCATGTCACCTCGGTGTATTGCTACCTACCACACTGAGGTGAGGTCCCTTAGAATGTTTCTTATGACATGTCATCTCACTGGAGGATTTTAGCAACAGAGAGGAGCATCCTGGCCTTATTTCAGGATTGGGCCTCTGGGGCTTCTGGACTGGCTTTTATTGGTGCTGTGGAATGATGAGCATGGCTGTGGGGGTCAAGTTCAAGCCCCAGCTCAGGCCCCCCTGTTAGGATCACTTCGGACAAGATGTTCAACCTCTCTGAGCTTTGCTTTCACATCTGTAGGCCCTTAGGGTGGTTTTTCTCAACAGCTTATTGAGTTATAATTCACCCTTTAAAGTGTACAGTCCCGAGGTTTTGGTACATTCACAGAGTTATGCAAACATCATTATCCAATTCTGGAACACCTTTGTCTCCCCAAAAAGAAACTCCAAACCCGTCTGCACCCCCTAATTCTACCCCATAACTCAAGCACAGGTATTATACCAGAATGATCCCTTCTTTCTTCTCATTCCCAGTATCTGATTTCTGCTGAGTGGGCTCCTGGTGACTGTCACATTATATCATAGGTGGGGAGGAAAGCTCTGCTGTTTTCCCACTGGTCAGTGGGGTCCCCTTGGCATATACAACCTCAGGAATCCTAGCCACCCAGCCCCGATCATCTCCCTCATTGTGAAAGGTCTCCTTTGCCCCCCCATAGAAGGGCCCTGTGGCACCAAGTCATGAATGACGACTGGCATCGTAGTTATGTCTCAGCTTGTGGCCAAAGGTTAATTAGAAAATTAACTATGATAGTGATTTGGCTCTCATCTCTGCCCTCCTCTCCCCTATCAAACTCCCTGCAGCGTCAGCAGCATTGAGGACTCATTCGCCATGGAGAAGAAGCCTCCATGTGGCAGCACTCCATACTCTGAGAGGTATGTTGACTTTCTTAGCACGGAGCTTGCACTTCTACAGAGGAGAATCAGGGAAGGGAGAGTTCCTGCTGAGTCTGTTTGCTTTTGTCTTCTGCTTTGCAGCCTCCAATCCATTTGCAGAAAGGTGAAGGACACTACCGTAGGGTGGTGCTTCCCTTGTTGGGATATCACACTTGTGACAACTAAAGCCTTTGAATTGAGCTAAGACTAGAGGGTAGATACCAGCGGTGACTGAGAAGGGAAGTGGTGGCATCTGACAACCCAGAGGACTCGTGTCAGCAGGAGGGGCCCTTCAGATTAGAACCTAATCAATCACTTCATTAACTTGCAAATCTAACCAGAAGTAAAAATAAAATGACTACAAAAGAGAGGAGTGGGCAGAGAAGGAAGAAAAATGGGCTGCTGGCATCAAGAAGCCAGAAAGACACACAAAGCCAAGAATGCCCAGTGCTGTGGAGCCACCAAATTGAAAGCAGGGGCAGAGAACACCTCGTTCAGCAGTTTTGAAAGCTGTCACTAGATGATGGCACAGTCACTAGAGAGTCTTAATGACAAAGAAATCTTATGTTCAGATTCTTGGAATGGGGAGAAGAGAGTCTCAGAGATTGAGTTCACTCAGGCTTCTGTGAAGAAAATGGAATAAATAGCCTTCAGTCCACAGTAAGCAAATACGGCAGACCCAGGACTAAACCCCAGGGCCCTGACTACTCCCAGGTTAGGGATGTTTCTACTCTGCCATCTTGCTTCTCATTGATGGGCAGATCTTAATTCATGTGGATGACATTCAGAGACCAAAGCTACATTGGGGAGGAAAAGGAAGGAAGTAAGAGGGTTAAGATAAAGAGAATCCTACCGGGCCCCAGAGGCAAACATATAGGAGCAGACAAGCATATGGGGCCAGGGAATCTCCTCCACTATAGCTGAAGAAGCAGGTGGTTCTGAGTAACTACAGATTACTTGGTGAGGCACATCAGCAGATGAAGTCTTAGCAGAGAAGGGCAGGTTGGTCAGAAACCTGAGAGTTAACCACTTACATAGGAGCAAATGGAATGAGGCTTCCAATTCTAGTGGAGTGACAAACCAGATACTCTAGGGACCCCCCTTTCCATTGCACAACTACTAAATCCAGAATCAGTCATTACTGATCCATTGCTAGGCTTGGAGGAAGGAAGGGGACTCTCTAGGGACAATCTCAGTCACTTGCACACATGCATATGCACAGACACACATGCACGCACACAAAGAACAGCTGTGAGCTGGTGCTGCTGGTGGTGAAAGAAGCAGGAGGAGCAGGGCTGCGCTGAGGGCAAGGATTTCAAGCAGCACTGCTGTCCAGAGTGAACCCTGGGCCAGCAGCAGGATGGTGGGCCACACCCAAGCTGCCCGTGACACTTCTGGGTCCTCCGACAGAGCTAACGTGGATCTAGATTGTTAATGTCCCCCCGCCCCTTGGGCTTCTGTCAGAAGCAGACCCAAATCTCTGGAAGAAAGTACCCTGAATTTTGGCTTGTAGGATCAGATCAAGCAGTTACTTTGAGGAAGTGCAGTCTGAGGAAGAAAAGCAGAGGTGACTCTCAGAAACAGGCATCCTGGAACTGGAAAGATGCTCAACCCAGGAGTCAGTATCTAGAACTTCAGTGTCGGATCTGAGTAGGCTCTACAGACAGAGCATGAAGGGTGGGTCCAGGAGTATAGGCAGGGGCAGAGCTCAGTTGGCCCAGGCGTGAGGAGAAGGGCCATCAAGACGGGGCCAGGCAGGGCACACAATGACATGTCTCCTGTAGGAGAAGGCATTGGTCTTCCTGCTCTAGAGGGTAGCAGGCCCCAGCGGATAATCTAAGCAGAAGGTCAGGGGGAGGCAAACTGTCTGGAATAAGTATCATATCAGGACATCTACAGGAGACATGTCATTGTGAGCTGGAAAAAGATGCATGACTAGTTTTTGGAAATAATGCAGAGGTCTACAGCAGGCTGAGAACTGATCTGGCCCAGGGCTGTGCTGCACACCACAGAAAACAGTGGCATCCTGGGGATCCTGACAGCAAACCTGGGCCTGGCTGCACCAAATTGGAAGGTCTGGCTGTGTCACATCAGAGGTCTGTACACCAGCCTGACCACCGGGTTATTGTTCTTCATCTCACAGGACAACTGGAGGGATCTGTACTTACTGCAACCGTGAGATCCGAGACTGTCCAAAGATTACCCTAGAACATCTTGGTATCTGCTGCCATGAATATTGCTTTAAGGTAAAAAAGAGGTGGAAGACACCTTGAGCTAGGCGGTAACTCCTGATCACGTGCTGCTAAGAACGTTTTGTAGAGTGCGGGAGTCTTACGGGTTCAGAGACTGTGGAGGAGGCTTGATCTCCATATACAATTGCACATAGTCGCAGAGGCTTTGCACAACTGGGAGCTGAATGAGCTTCCAAGTCTAAGACAGTAGATGAGTGTTGGTGGTTCTGCATGCTTAGTACTGTAGGGAAGACAAAAGAGGTCTTTTCAGGAAAGACTATTTCTGGCAGAGGGCCAGCAAGTGCAAAAGCCCTGGGGCAGAAGCACTAGAGTGTTCTAGCTTGCGTGGGAGAATGCCAGGAGTGACAGAGTGGGCTAGATCATGTAGGCCTTGGCGGGCACAGAGTTTGGATTTTATTCTAAGTGACATTGGGGTCCCCATTCTCCACAGTGTGTGGCACTTTGTAACCCCAGGTTGTTGGTTCCAATCCATTTAGGGTGTCACCTCTGGGTGCACTGAGAAAAACAACCCTCCCCTTTGCCTTGACAGAATGTTAGGCAGGCTTCTGTCCTCCCCACAGGGCCTGAACTTTGCTTGCTCCTGGTTAAGTAAGTGCTGCAATGCAGAACATGCCCCACTTAGCAGCTTCTCCTGAGAACCGGCTGACCACAGGGAAACACATTTCTGGTCAAATCATGCCAAACAGGTTCCCCTTTGCTTGCCCACTGGCCCTTGAAAGTAGCTGAGCTGCTAGCTGTGCTTACTACTCCCTACTGAAAAAAAAGGCTTTTTTTTGTATTATTTTGTGATGTTTTTTGTATTATTTTGTGATGTTTGCAAGTCCTGAGGTCCAGGATGTGCCACGGGCTCACAGCATCTGCTCGCCCACCTTGTTCAGGCATCCCCTTCCCACTCCACTCATTCCTCTTGCTTTGCTTTGTGTGTTGACCTCCAGCTTGCTTTTCTTTTCAGTGTGGGATTTGCAGTAAACCGATGGGCGATCTCCTGGATCAGATCTTCATTCACCGTGACACCATTCACTGTGGGAAATGCTATGAGAAGCTCTTCTAGGTGGGTGCTGGCACTGCAAAGGACAAGTGGCCAAGAGACTCATTAAGGAGTAGAGATGCACCCTGGTCTCTCCTGGAGTCTCAGCCCCAGACACAGCTATCTTTCTTGGCTCTTCCTTATGTTCAGGGGGCCTTGTGTCCTCATGTCCCTATGCCTTGTGATACTTTGAGATCTTAGGTGGCATGGACAAAGGCCCTCAATGAGGACACTTCCAAATCACACCTTCCGTCCAGCACCTGAGCCGAGCCCTCTAGCTACCCTGGGATACTCGCTCGGCCGCTGTTGTTAGCCCCATTTTGCAACAAGGAAATAAAGATATAGAAAGGGAGGGGACCTGGAGAAACCCAGGTAGAATCAGGACCTCACCCCAGGTCTTTGGATTCTTGTCCAGGGCTCTCTGTTCACTGTCACTCGCATAGCTTCAGATCAGGACTGCATAGCCATGGTGCTCAGTGAAACAAGCCTCTGGGCCACATTATGAGAACTGCCTGAAGATGTGTGTTTGCATGCTCATAGCCAGTGGAATTTATCACGGTGTCTGAGCACAGAGCAGAATATATCCCTTGAAGGCAGTAGCAACCAGGCTTTCCACTAGCTCCATGCTGATGGTCTTCTCTCCAGAAGACACACCTTGAGCTAGGTGGTAACTCCTGATGACTGGAGCAGTCACCCACCCTGAGGGCCTCTAGCTGATGTGTTTCCAGTCTCATGGCTACTTCTGTTTTCTTTTAGCGACCCCCCACCGCCAGGCTGATCAGAAGCTGATGACTCGTGGACAAATTTGGCTGTCCCCAGTTTTGCCCCAAGTTGCTGTCTCCCCTTCCCTCACCTCCTCCCTCCCTGTTTGATTTCTTCATGCTTTTGCCCTTCTCAAGTTGAAGTTGCATACATCCAATATCGTATCTTAATGATGCTATGATAATTGCTTGTGTGTGTAGCTTCTTGTAGCTTAGAAAGCGCTTTATGCCCATGATGTCATTTCAGGCTCAACCAAAGAGGATCAAACAGGAATTCCATCTTGGCTTCCCTAAGACAGATTGGCTTTCTAATGAGTTTAAGTGGGCAGAAGTGTAGGGTTCAGTGTGTCCTGACTCCCTTGAGGCTTATAATGGGCCAAGTTGAAGACTGTTGATGATCCCTGGTGGGTAAATTGCAGACATCAAATGCTAGGGATTGGCATAGGCTAGTGTTTAGCTTGTCTATTTGCCATATCTATTTTTTTTAAATTTCCATACACTTGTAAAAGTAGTTAGTTGCTTTTGATTGAGTTATATAGCAGTTTTTCATTTGGTCTTCCACTCACCTTTCACTATATTTGAGTGTTCCCTTACAGGTATGTTGGCATGTGTTGGAAAATTTACACAATTAGGTTTAAATTCAGTAGGATGTGATTTTAGGATGCTACTGATCAAAGTGATATCTGTGTCTGTTGGAATCTTGATAGCTGATTAATTTGCCCTCAATTCTGCTCCCTGAACTTCACACATAAATCTTCCCAAGTGGGTTTTAGGGTGTATAGATCCCAGCAGGATTAAGGAGGTGGAAAAGCAGCTAACATTTCTTGAGGCTCTACCACATAGCAGGCACTGTCACAGAGTAATGGCATTAATCCCCATAATAATCCTGTGAAGGTGATATTCTCATCCCATCTTAGACATGAGGATATTGGAACTCAGAGAGGTGGCTATTGCATTGCGCAGAACGCTACAGAGCCCATGCTCTTCCCAGAGCAGCACCCACAAAAGCAAGCATTGATTTTGTGCTCAGTGTGTGCCAAGCACTGTGCAGAGGGTACACAGTTCCTGCCAGGTTAACACCCTCCCTTCAGGCCTCCCAAAGGCATAGGCTTGCAAAGAGCAGAAGGTGTGAAATCACACTCTTCCTCTGGGCATCCTGGATCCCTGAATTATCCCCCCCCCCATGAAGTACTTCAAGGGCCAAGCTGCCCCTTTCCCTCCTCTCCGCCCATGAAAATGCCTCCAAACTGAGATGCTTTCAGCTGAGAACAGATTTGACTCACAGACATTACCAAAGAGGAGCTTGTGAATCCAGGAAAAGCTCCAGGGGGCTAGCTGATCTGAGCAGAGAGCTTTCAGTGACCCATTTTCCTGTCTAGACTCTGCCTTAAGCTAGTGGCAACTGCTGGGGCCCCAGGTACTTGGGACATGGAAACTCGTTGGATGGCTGGGCAGATGTAAGCCTGTCCATGCAGTCAGCCGATCCTCTGCTCAGGTTCAGCTGGACTCTGCCATCTGTGGGCCCAGCATCACTCTGTAAGTTCCTTGAAAGGAAGAACAACCTTAGAGTATTTCTGATACAAAATGAGGGCCTCTGCTCTTGATTTAATTATAAAATGTCTACGTCTTTCTCCAGTTTCTGAGCCCTATGCACATTGGCTTGTGGGCTTGTTCTTCCTGCCAAATGATCAGAGAGGAACATTCCATTTATTTGTAGTGGATTTCCTCTGGAGGGCATGTACCCACACTAAATACCAACTGCTCTTCCTCAGCTGTAGTCCCCAACATCAGACTTGGCACGTGGTGGACACTAACACACAGGCACTCAATGAATGAGTGAAGGAAATAAAAGTCACCCCGTTGGTGAGAGGTGCTATCCCTGAGTCTCAGTGCAGGACCAGTGGATGAAAGGCAAGGTAAAGAGGCCCAAGATAGGCTGGCTTCCCCCGTTCAAGGTATAGTCTGCCTTTAAGGGAGTTTTAGAACCAACATGCAAGACATTGAAAGAAATCTTGCAAGAGCCATTATTGACTTAGATCCAAAACAGCCTCTCTCATGTCTAAAAAGGCACAGAATTTTGCAGATCTGAGGAAGAGGGATGCATTACCTTTTTGCTTCTTTTCAATTGCTTAGTGTTTCTAATCATACTTAATCCACACTAATGTGCGCAATTATAATAAATGGTAAGATATCACATGTGTCAGTGTTAAAGTTTTCTTTTGAAGTGTAATAACTTGGTGTATTCAGCTGTGTGATTTCTTTATTCCTATTGCCTGAAGCCATTCTCTGTACAAAAGTAAACAAGTACTTAATAGCAAGCTCTAGACACTGGGCATGCACAGGAACTGTGGAATTCTAGACACATCAAATCTTAATGAAGAATATTGTATTGTGGCGGCAGAGAGCGGGGGCGGTCCATCCTTCTCATGATTACCACTGCAGACAGACAGCCACCTAGTCATTAGTGCCCACTTCCAGTGACCAGGAGCTCAGTTCCTTACAAGCCCCTGCTGTCTGTGGTTTTAGAAGATGCATTCTTCAGTTGAGTTAAAGTCCATTTCTGTATGTCACCCACTGGTGGTCTTTAATCCCTCCGCTAGATGCCAGCTCTTAAAATAGATGAAAATACTTCTCAGATTCTGTCTTGGTCAACTCTTCTCACATTTAAACACCCCTGGTCCCTCTAACTCTTCCTTGACAGTAATTCTGAATACACATCTCTCAAAGGCCCTCCTCAAAGGTGACCCCAACACATACTCCAACTCATTCCTCTAGATGTGTACCAGTGTAATCTGCATGCGATCCAAGTCTTGATTCAACCCAGGGACAGGAAAGGGTGATCAGGAAGTCCAAAGATAGACATAATACTCCGAGAACTCCTTCTGCCACTGAGTAGGGGCCTCAGGGCCATTGGACTAGTGTCCCTCTAGCTATTTTCTCACCCCAACTTTGGCCTTCATCTTGTTACAATGGGAAGGAAGGAAGAGCTTTTACTAATTCAAATGACAAGGACTGCAACAGTAGCTCCTAACTAGGTATTTGTAGGACTTTTAATTGGTGACAGTGTGACACAAAGACCTAAAGGAAAAATAGGGGAGGGTCATTCTGAAACAGCAAGTCGATCCTATTGTTGGGCCTCCTCCATTACCATGACTCCTCCTTTCTATCCCAGGTTTGTATCTGTGACGGTCTCCTACCCATGCATCTCTATGTCCTCTGGGGACTGCTCCTTGCTTAGGATTGTGTTTGGCCTGTGGATTTTCCTCCCCAGAATGTATTCCTCTTGTGAAACTTCTCTGTACAGTATCCTCTGCCTGTGAAGGTCCCAAACCTGCTTCTGAATGCCTTCTTCCCACTGTCCTCTGCCTCCTAATGCCTTCTGCTCCTGGCTCCTTGCACAGTGCCTTCTACCTGCAGATGCCTTCTGCTCTCTGATCTCTGCTGCTGAGTTTGTTCATCACCTAGGGCCCAGCCAATGAGGCCTATCTGCACAAGGGCTTCTGCCTGTAATTGCCCTTGCCATAGTGTGCTTTGCTTAGTTAGTCTTACTTAAGGTCTGTTGATTTTCTTGTTTGTAAAGAACCACATCATTGACTTTTTTAAAAAAAAATCATTTTATTGATTTTTTTCTATTATTTTCTGCTCTCTGTTTCATTAATGTCACCTTTAATCTTTGTCATTTCTTCCCTTCTACTTGCTTTGGATTTACTTTGCTCTTCTTTTTCTAGTTCCTTTAAGTTGTAAAGTTAGGTTATTGATTGGAGATCCTTCTTTCTTTTTTTTTTTTTTTTTTTTTTTTGAGACAGGGTGTTACCCTGTTCCCAGGCTGGTGTGCAGTGGCACAGTCATGGCTCACTGTAGCCTTGACCTCCTGGGCACAGGCAATCCTGCCACTTAAACCTCCTGAGTAGCTGGGACTACAGGCACGTGCCACCATGCCTGGCTAATTTTTTCCTTTGAATTTTTTTGTAGAGGTGGGGTTTGGCCATGTTGCCCAGGCTGGTCTAGAACTCCTGGGCTCAATGAGTCTTCCCACCTTGACCTCCCAAAGTGCTAGGATTACAAGTGTGAGCCACCATGCCCGGCCAATATCTTTCTTCTTGAATGTATGCATGTACAGCTGGAAATTGTTCTGTGAGCACTTCTCTAGCTGCATGTTGTGTTTTCCTTTTCATTCATCTCAAAGGTTTTCTAATTCCCCTTATCACTTCTTATTTGATCCACTGGTTATTTTGGAGTTTGTTGTTTAATGTGGGTTCCCCAAATTTCCTTCAGTTATCAGTTTCTAATTTCATTCCATTATGGTAGGTTAACACACTTTGCATAACTTCAACATTTTAAAATTTGTGCAGGCTTGTTTTATAGCCCTGTGCTTTGCTGTGAATGTGTTCTTCATGGGGTTCTCCCTGCACAGCTGCGGTCACTGCCTGTGACCACTGTCCACTCTGCCCTCTGCCTTCACAGCCTCTCTGAATAATGCACCCTGCTTGAGAACTGCCTCTCCCTCTCTCTGAAAGTCTGCTGCACATTGCTCTTCATTTCTGAGGCCCACTGTACACTGTGCTCCGCATTGTGCTAGCTGTCCAGTTGTGAGCTTGCTGCAACGTGGCATGCATAATGCTTGGCTGCCAGATCACCTCCTTATCATGTCCTCTGCCTGTAGTGCCCTTGGCAGATCCCCCTGCTTCAGTATCTCCTCCCACAAATGTCTTCTGCCCATCGATGCCTTCTTTTGATCAGCACCTTGATGTTCCAGTTGGTCACTTAATCACTCAACAAGCATTGATTGGATGTCTACCCATGTGCCAGACGTGGGGGCCCCAGTAAAGTAGACACAGTTTGTATTTCTGTGGAGCTCACAGTGTAAGAGGAGAGGAGTAAATCAAACATCCCACAACAAAATACTGTTGTGATAAGTGCTCTGAACAAAACATACAGGGTATGTTTTGGAGACAGGGTCAAGGCCCTCACTGCAGCCTTGACCTATATGCTATAATATAGTGACCTACTCTGGGCTGCTTGGTTATCGGGGGAACCCGCCCCCAATATTTCAACGTAAGTTCTTTCTGTTTTCCATAAATGTCAGCCAGCTGAGAAATAGAAAGAGTACAAAGAGAGGAATTTTATAGCTGGGCCTCCGGGGGTGACATCACATATTGGTAGGACTGTGATGCCCACCTGAGCCACAAAACTAGTAAGTTTTTACTAAGGATTTCAAAAGGGGAGGGGGTGTACAAATGGGGAGTAGGTCACATGCTTTAAGGGGCAAAAAGCAGAACAAAGATCACATGCTTCTGAGGAAACAGAGCAAGGACAAAATCAGAACTCCTGATAGGGGTCTATGTTCAGCTGTGCATGTATTGTCTTGATAAACATCTTAACAGAAAACAGGGTTCAAGAGCAGAGAACCAGTCTGACCTCAAATTTACCAGGGCTGGGGGTTTCCCAATCCTAGTAAGCCTGAGGGTACTGCAGGAGACCAGGGCGTATTTCTATCCTTATCTCAACCTCATAAGACAGACACTCCCAGAGCGGCCGTTTATAGACCTCCCCCCCCAGGAATGCATTCCTTTCCCAGGGTCTTAATTATTAATATTCCTTGCTAGGAAGAGAATTTAGTGATATCTTCCCTACTTGCACACGTCTGTTTATAGGCTCTCTGCAAGAAGAAAAATATGGCTCTATTCTGCCCGACCCCACAGGCAGTCAGACCTTATGGTTGTCTTCCCTTGTTCCCTAAAAATCGCTGTTACTCTGTTCTTTTTCAAGGTGCACTGATTTCATATTGTTCAAACACACATGTTTTACAATCAGTTTGTACAGTTAACACAATAGTGGTTCTGAGTGGACCTGATGTATATTCTCAGCTTACGAAGATAACAGGATTAAGAGATTAAAGTAAAGACCGGCATAAGAAATTATAAAAGCATTAATTTTGGGAGCTGATAAATGTCCATACTAAAATGAAATCTTCACAATTTATGTTCCTCTGCTGTGGCTCCAGCCAGTCCCTCCGTTCAGGGTCTCTGACTTCCCGCAACATCTCTCCCTTTCTTTTTGAACATAACAGGATTAAGAGATTAAAGACAGGCATAAGAAATTATGAAAGTACTAATTTTGGGAACTGATAAATGTCCATGTTAAAATGAAATCTTCACAATTTGTGTTCCTCTGCCACGGCTCCAGCTGGTCTCTCCGTTCGGGGTCCCTGACTTCCCACAACACTTAGTCAGGGAAGCTTTTTTACATTTTTGTTTTTAGAGACAGATTTTTACTCTGTCACCCAGGCTGGAGAGCAGTGGCATGGTCGTAGCTCACTGCAACCTCAAACTCCTGGGCTCAAGCAGTTATCCAGGCTCAGCCACCTGAGTTGCTGAGACTACAGATGCACATACCACCACATCTAACAGAGAAGCTTTTCACAAGGACATGATATTTGGCTTTAGTATGAGTTTGCTATACAAAAGGAGGCTATCTTCCAGGCCCTCTTTAATGTTCCCCTGCACTCAGCTCCACCCCTCAAGGCTACTCACTTTCCTTGTACAGTGCATCAAGCCTTCTGTGGGGCACTGGGGATACATCAATGAGCAAGACAGACAATCTGTGAATTTGTGGAGTGACCATCTCATGGGGAGAAAGACAAAGCAACAATCCTATTTCAGTCGCAATAGCTAAAGGAGCACAGAGGTGTGTCACCTGGATTTCTGGGGCTAAGGATGGTATTCTGGGGGAGGTGACCTCTGAACTGAAACCTGAAGGATGAGAAAGAATCATTCATTCATTCATCCATTTAATAATTTAAATATTTCCTGAGCACCCACTGTGGGCCACACACTATAGTAGGCACTGAGGACACACCAGTGACAAATCAAAGACCCTGTCCTTCTGGTCAATGATAGGAAGCAGGTGCTAAATAAACATGAAAGTCTTTACTCTTTTTTCATTTTCTTTTGAACCCACTTCTTTGAGGCTCTCACCTCCACCATGGTACTAAAAATGCTAGTGCTAAGGTCCCCAATGACCACCACATTGCTAGACCCCATGCACACTTCTCAGGCCTCATTGACTGAGCAGCAGCGTTTGGTCCAGTGGACATGTATTAGTTTGTTTTCACACTGCTATAAAGAAATACCTGAGACTGGGTAATTTATAAAGGAAAGAGGTTTAATCGACTCACAGTTCCACATGGCTGGGAGGCCTCAGGAAACTTACAATCATGGCAGAAGGTGATGGGGATGCAGGCACCTTCTTCACAAGGCTGCAGGAGAGAGAAGTACAAGCAGGGGAAATGCCAACGCTTATAAAGCCATCACATCTCTGAGAAGTCACTATCACGAGAACAGCATGGGGGGAACTGCCCCCATTATCCAGTCACCTCCCTCTCTCAACATGTGGGAATTATGGCTCCCTCCCTTGACGTGTGGGGATTACAATTCGTGATTAGATTTGGATGGGGACACAGAGCCAAACCATATCAGGTCCATTCCCTTTGCTAGGCCTCTAGGCCCATTCTGCCTTTCCTTCCACCTCACTGGTCACTCCTTTTCTATCTCCATTGCTGGTTCTTTCTCATCATCCCATTCTCTCAACTTTGGAGTACTCTAGGACTTTGTTCTTAGACCCCTTCGCTTTTCTATCTGCACTCACTGCGTTGTATCACTGGGGTCCAGGCTTCAACAGATACAGTATACACTGCCTCCTTCTGGAATTGCAGCTGCTCCAGCCCACATCATCTTCCTGAACTTCAGACTTGTGTTTCAACTTCCCACAGCTCATTTCCACCTGGGGAGTCTAATTGTCATTTCATACTCAACCATGGAAGCCATGCTCTATGCATTGCCATCCACAGCTCCGTAAATGGCAGTCCCATTCTTCAGCTTGCATAGACCAAAACCTACACATCACCTGCTGATCTCCCACTGCACTTCCAGCCCATCAGCCTAGCCTGTTAACTCTCCCTGCCAAACAGATCCAGAGGCAAACCATTTCTCCCCACCTTCACCATAAACATATTGTCCCCTAATCCCCCATGTGGATGATTACAATAACCTAAGCAATCATCTTTCCTTCCTTCCCACCCTGAAGTGTACCCCAGCATGGCTGCAAGAGTGAAGAGTTTCAATCCGATCACATCCCTCTTCTGCTCCATACCTTCCCCAGGCCTCATTTTACTTGGACTAAAAGCCAGAGTCCTCAAGGTGGCTGGCCAAGCAGGTGCTGCTTTATCCAGCCCCCACCACCTTTCCTTCTTACTCATACCATTCCAGGCATTCTCTGGCCTTGAGCTGTGTGCTGGTTGTCTCTTCTGCCTGGAATGCTCATCTCCCAGATGCCCACGTGGCCATCTCCCTTGCGTCCTTCACATCTCTGCTCAGATGCTACCTTCTTCCTGATCACCTTCATGGACCATCCAATTTAAAATTCTGTGCACACCCATAACACTCCTTATACCTGCTTCCTTGCTTTTTCTCTGTAGCACTTATCACAATCTAACATACTACATGTTTTCTTCTTATTTTATTGTTTGTATTTCCTTACTTAAATGAAATCTCCATGAGAGATTTTTGTCCTTTTGCTCCACTGCTGAATTCCCAGTGCCTATAATAGTGCCCTGCACATAGTAGGTGCTCAGTAAATGTTGACTAAATGAATGCATAAAATAGATGATTTCAGACAAGTTCTGTAAAATTATAAAGCAGAACGAGCTAGAGCTCTGGTCTCCACATGCTAAATATGGTCTCCACATCCCACGTTAGGCTACTTGTGTTTAAATAGAAATCAACTAAAATACATTTTTAAAATCCAGTTTCTCAGTCACACTAGCTCCATTTCAAGTGCCTAGTAACCACACATGGCTAGAGACTACCCTGTTGGGCAGCACAGGCCTAGAATATTTCCATTCCCACAAGTTTTCCAGGTAGAGGGGCCAGTAAGGGCAGAGGCCCTGAGATAAGATTAAGAGCCAGGTGTGTTTGAGGGACTAGCCAGCGGGGCTAGAGGGTGGTAAACACACAGCAGAGTGGGGGCCAGATCATGTAGGGTTTGCAGGCCATGGTTAGAAGTTTGAGTTTTAGTCTAAGTGATATGGGAAGCCATCCATGGCTTCTGAGCAAAGAAATGATGTCATTTGATTTCTGATTTTTAAAAATCACTATGAGTTATATTTGGAGAATGGACTATAGAGGAGCAAGAGGAGAGAGAGAGGAGGCTATTGCACTGCAAGTATCAGTGACGGTGGCCTGGACAATGATGGCAGTGGTAGAGATAGAAGTGGATGGAGTTTACATGTATTTGGAAGTAGAACTGCAGTACTTGCTGATAATGGAATATGAATCTATGAGGGAAAGAGAAGAAGACAAACTGAGTCTAGTTTTGGAATCAGAGCAATTGGGTAGATGGTGATGCCAGTATCTTGGGTGAGCTTATGAGCAGTTTGGCACTGATTGAATGGTGTGGCTTGGGAGCCAGAGTTTTGTGTTAGGAAAATTGGTATTGAGATGTTCTGTTGCCCAAGTGGAGATGTGGGTTAGGCACTTTGACATATAAGCCTAGAGCTTAAGAGGGAACTGGGCTTAGAAGCAGCCTGCCAATGATAATGAAAGCATGGACAGGCTGAGATCACCAAGGAAGTGAATGTAGATAGTAAAGAGAAGAGGACCCAGGGCACTGAGTCCTGCGGAGAATCAAGCAGAGAAGGAGGAATCAGAAAACTCTATCAGGAGAGGCCAGTGAAGTAGGAGGAAACCCGAAGCATGTGGTATCCCAGGAGCCAAGGGGAAAAAGTGCTTCATGAGGGAAGAATAGTCACCTGGGTCAAAATCTACTGAGATGTTGGTGTAAATAAGATGAGGACAGAGAATTGACCTTTGGATTCATCAAGATTGAGGTTGTTTGGTCACTTTGTTGAGTCCTTTCAGTAGCAGAATGGGTGAAACCAGTGTTTCAGAGAATCAAGGAGAGCATGGGAGCTGAGAAAGTGTGGGTGGTAGGCATAGACAAGTCTGAGCTTTGCCATGAAGTGGAACAGAAGAACAGAGTGAGAGGTAGAGGGATGTGCTAGTTAATTGTATGTGTCAACTTGACTGGGATAAGGGATGCTCAGATAGCTGGTAAAAACATTATTTCTGGGTGTGTCTGTGAGGGTGTTTCCAGGAGAGATAGCATTTCTATCAGTACAATGAATAAAGATCACCCTCACCAGTGTAGGAAGGCATCATCCAGTTGTTTGAGGGGCCAAATAGAACAAAAAGATGGAGGGAGAGCAAATTCTTTCTCTCGCTCTCTCTCTCTCTCTCGCTCGCTCATTCTCTCTTTCTCTCTCTTCTTGAGCTGAAACATCTATCTTCTCCTGTCCTCAGACATCAGAGCTCCTGGATCTAAGGCTTTCAGACTCCAAGGTGTACACCAATGGGCCGCGCTCCCCACTCCTTTAGCTTTGGATTAGAAGTAACACCATAAACTCCCCTGGATCTCAGGCCTTTGAACTTGGACTGAATTATTCCACCATCTTTCTCTATTCTACAGCTTGCAGATGGCATATCATAGAATTTGTTGGCCTCCATAATCATGTGTGCCAATTCCCAAAATAATATATCTATCAGCTCCTACTGGTTTTGCTTTTCTGGAGTGCTCTGATTAATGCAAATGGGAATTTGGAGGGTTTGTGTCTGTCCGTGTCATAGGTAAACAAGGAGAGCATTCCTGAGTCCTAACTAAGTCTTATGGGGAAGGGGTATTGTGTTAGTTTCCCAGGCCTGTCATAACAAAGTACTACAAAACGAAAGTCTTAAACAACAGAAATTTATTCTCTCACAGTTTTGGATGCCAGGAGTCCAAGACCAAGGTGTCAACAGGCTTGGTTCCTTCTGAGGGCTGTGAGGGAAGAATCTGTTCCAAGCCTCTCTTTTTTGCTTGTAGGTGGCCATCTTCTTCCTGTTTTACTTCACATTATCTTCCTTGTCTGTGTGTCCAAATTTCTTCTTCCTATAGGGACACCTGTCATATTGTAATGGGGCCCACCATAATGCCTTCATTTAACTTTAATTACCTTTTTAAAGACTATCTCTAAACAAGGCCACATTCTGAGGTACTGGAGTTAGGACTTCAGCATATGGATTTTGGGGGGAAATAAAATTCAGCCCACCCATAACAGTGTTTTTGTTGTTTTGTTTGTTTTTTTGTTTGCAATAAGTCATTTTCTGGAACACTGAGGGATGGGGGGATTTTGTAACCATTGCTGTTTTCAAGGATCACAGGGCTTGAGTAACGTTCAACATTGTCAGCAGGCACCTGGGGCCAGGAGCAGGGCAGCCAGAGGTGCTAGAGGCCAAAGTGCTCAGAGGACTGACTACTGTGTGCAGGACTGCAGGCGTGGGAGGCAGGCCCTGCTCTGGGCTCCATGAGGAGGGGATAGGGTCTGGAGGAAGATAGTAGCCTTGAGAGAGGCTGCCCCCAAATGCTGGGTGTCTTTGGATGGGGAAAAGCTCAGAGGGCAGAGTGTAAGCCCAGGCCCAGAGCCAGCCGAGCCTCTGGGGCCCATGGCTCAGGGGACCACAGCAGCAGGGGACCAGAGTCTGCCCTGCAGGCCCAGGGAAGCAGCCAGCAGGTGCCTCTGCTTTGGCCTTTGCACAACCCACTGTGGGTGAAGGAGTCGGGGCCTGGGTGGTGGTGCCATTTGAACAGGCAAAGAGAAAGGGGAGAGAGAAAAGGTCACATTCGGCTCTTTCCAAATTATCTTGCCCAGTGGGAGAGGACTTGTTCCCTGACCAAACTGAGGGTCGGGCTGCTATTTCTTGTGGCCCAATAATGAGATGCAGATGAACTGGGGAGGAAGAGAGTTTTTATTTCTATAACTGGTTACAGAGAGAAAACCTGGAAAATATCGCCAGACCAACTCAAAATTACAAAGTTTTCCAGAGCTTATATCCCTTCTAAGCTATATGTCTACATGTAAGTGTGCATTCATCTAAAAAGACATAAGTGATTAACTTGTTTTAATCTAGAACTAAGATCTGAGTCCGGAAGGCCTCCCTCTGGAGCCTCAGTAAATTGACTTAATCTAAATGGGTCCAGGTGCTGGGGTGATGACCCTTATTTTGTCTCCTGCTAAATCATGGAGGTGTGGAGAGTTCCTTTAATCTCCAATAAAGCTTGTTTGTGGAGGCCTGGTGAGTTTCTTCAGACCTTCAATAAAATGTGTTGAATCCTAAATGGGTCCTGTGAAAAATTCCTTCATTACTTTGTCATGTTTCAAGGCCCAGGAAAGGTCTAGGCAAAACTCTTGGTGGGCTTTTCTTACATTCAAGCCTTTGTATAAGGGTGCTGGCTCTTTCAGCTTTTAATATTTAACTTTACCACTCGGTCAGTGCTGAAGCAGTTGTTGTGGAGGCCTGTGTTAGTGATACCTGACCTGCCACAGACTGAGGGCTGGGAAAAGGGTGGCCCCCAGGGGTCTCACTCTTCTGTGCCAGGCCCTGTTCCTGTGTCTGGCAGCCAGAGGGCCCATTCCCAGAGCCCATCTAGAGCCAGACTGCCCAGGGCGTGACCTTCCTCCTGGCACCCTGCCATGGGAGTGGCTGGGAAAGTGACTGCTCTGTGGCGTCTTCATCTTCAGAAAAATGAAGCTGCCACACAGCTCACCAAGAGGAGGTGATCCCAGGCCAGGAACAGGTGGACGTCGGGAGTCCAGAAAGGCCACAGAGGGTGCTGGATCCTGTGGGAGAAGCAGCAGGGGGTCCCGGCCATGCCCCTAGGTTGGACTTGTCATTCCCAACCAACTGCAATGGGACATAGACTTACCTTACAAGGTAGTGAATCGACAGGTTCTCAGATGAGCCTAAAATTAAGTACAAAATATGCTGGCCCGCCACAGACCCCGGGGTGCTATCCATAGAAGGACAGGGCACAGGCCTGAGGACGGCACCCCTGTCAGTCCTCTCTGCTCAGGGGCAGACCCGAGGATGGGACCCCTGTTAGTTCATTCTGCTCAGGTGAAAGGCCCGAGGATGGCACTTCTCTCAATCCACTGTGCTGAGGAAACAGACCTGAAGACAGGACCTAACTCAGTCCCCACTGCTAAGGGAAAGAGCTAAGGCCACGACTCTCCCAGTCTTCTCTGATCAAAGCCAATGAGGGAGCAGGAGTTTTCTCAGTCCTCTCTGCTCAGGGGACAGATCTTAGGACATGACCTCACTCAGTACTCTCTACTCAGGAGCAATTCATAAAGGGACACCTCTCCACATACATGTCACTCAGCAAACAGGAGAACAGGAACTCTGTTGGTCCTCTCAGCTCAGGGGACAGGCCTGAGGATGGGACCCCTGTTGGGCCATCTTCTAAGGGGATAGATAAGAGAACAGGACCTCTCTCAGTCCCATCAACTCAGGGGACAGGCCTGAGGGTGGGACCCACCTCGGCCCATCTTCTAAGAGGATAGATATGAGGACAGGACCTCGCTCGGTCCCCTCAGCCCAGGGGACAGGCCTGAGGGTGGGACCCCTGTCGGTCCATCTTCTGATGGGATAAATATGAGGACAGGACCTCTCTCCATCCCCTCAGCTCAGGGGACAGGCCTGAGGGTGGGACTGCTGTCAGTCCATCTTCTAAGGGGATACATGTGAGGACAGGACCTCTCTCAGTCCTCTCTGCTCAAGGGACAGGACTGAGAATGTGACCCGAATCGTTTTATCTTCTAAGAGGATTGATGTGAGGTCCAGACCTCTCTCAGTCCTCTCTGCTCAAGGGACGGACCTGAGGATGGGACCCCTCTCTGTCCATCTTCTAAGTGGATACGTATGAGGACAGGACATCTCTCAGTCCTCTCTGCTCTAGACACAGACCTGAGTTTGGGACCTCTGTCGGTCCATCATCTGAGGGGATAGGTGTGAGGAGAGGAACCCTCTCAGCCCCCTCAGCTCAGGGGACAGGCCTGAAGATGCGACCCCCGTCGGTCCATCTTCTTAGGGGATAGATATGAGGACAGGACCTCTCTCAGTCCTCTCTGCTCAAAGGACAGGCCTGAGGACAGGACCCCTCTAAGTCCTCTTTTCTCTACGATAGATATGGGAATGGGACCTCTCTCAGTCGACTGTGCTCAGAAGACAGGCCACAGCACAGGACCTCTCTCTGCCCACTAAGCCTCAGGTACCTGAAGACAGCATCTCTCTCAGTCTTCTCTGCCCGGGGACACCTCTCCCACTGCTTTCTACTCAGGGTCAGGCCTGAGGACAGGACCGCTGTCAGTCTTCTCTGCTAAGGGGACAGACCTTAGGATGGGATCCCTCTCTGACCTCTTACACAGAGGATGGGCCTGTGGACAGGACCTCTCTTATGACTCTCTGCCCAGGGATGGGTCTGAGGACAGGACTCCTCTCAGTCTTCCTGCTCAGGGGACGCCTGAGGATGAGACCTCTCAGTTTTGTTTGCTCAGGGGACAGACTAGAAGATGGGACCTCTCTCAGTCCTCTCTGATCAGAAAGAGACCTGCGGGTTGTACTCTGTCAGACATTTCTGTTGTTCTGCACAGGGGACACCTGAGTATGGGACCTCTTTCAGTCCTCTTTGCTCATGGAACAGGCCTGAAAATGAGACCTCTGCCATTTCTCTATGATCAGGGACAGAGCTGAGGACAGCACCTTTCCCAGTTCCCACCGCTCAGGGTTTGGAGAGAGGCCTGTCTGCTCAAGAGACCCAACTCAGTCCTCTCTCGTTAAGGAACAGGTCTTATGATGGCACCCGTCTCAGTTCATTTTCTCAGAGGTATACCTGTGGACAGGACCTCTCTCACTCCTCTCTGCTCGAGGGAAAGACCTGAGAACAAGACCTCTCTCAGACCACTTTGATCAGGCACAGGCCTGGTGACGGGACCTCTCTCAGTCCTCCCTGCTGAGGGGACAGGCCTTAGGATGGGACCCCTCTCAGTCTTGTCTACTCCGGGACAGTCCTGAGGACGGGACTTCTCTGAGTCCTCTCTGCTCAGCCTCACCCCCATGATTGGGCTCTGATCCAGCTCCCTCATCCACCGCTCAAGCCCTCTGTGAGCCCAGGAGGCTGCTGCTTATTGGATGGGCTTGGTCAGCCCTTGGGCACCCAGGAAGGCACCTTGATGGACCTTTCTGTCCCCAGGCCACACATGCCGCCCTCCTCAGGGGCACTTGTTGAGGACTGTGCAGCAAAACACAATGCATGGTAGGAGCTCTGCCAGCTGGCACGCACCAAGGGCCTGGCTGGGATGAAGGGGACAGGTGGCCCCCCGGGGGGGCCCGTCCTTCAGGCCCGACAAAGTCTCCTTGCTCTGGGCTGGTGGGGAAGCAACTGGTTTCTCCCGGTACCTCCTTCCAGACTCCCTGGCTAGATCCCTTCCGGGTTTCACAACCCAACTGTCCAGCCTGTGTGCTCACATGCCCACTGACACAGTCACACACACATTCACTCACACACTCATGTTCCAGACACACTCACATGCGCACACACATTGAGTGACAAACACACATTGAATGACGCATTCATGCCTGCTCATTGACACACCCACATTTGCAGTCAGCGCACGCACGCACAATGACTCACAAACTCACACACACACTGACACACACTGACACACTCACAGTGTCACACACATTCAGCGACATGCATGCTCACCTTCAATGGCACAGCCTCATTCCCCCACACCCTCCCACTCACACACGCTCAGTGATGCAGTCACATTCTGTCACTTGGATTCACACACATTCTCAGAAACTCATGCACATGCTCACACTGACACACACACGCACACGCTCAAACACACCCGCTCACTCACACTCACACCTGCTTGGGAATCACGGCACACACAGGTCCACTCTGAACAGGGAAAACCAAGGAGCCCTGACAGGCCCTGGCAAGGTCAGCCAAGCTCTATGCCCTCTCCTCTTGCCCTGTCCCCAAAATCTGGAGGGGCCCTTGGAAAGTGAGCAGTTGACTTGGCCCTGCTGAGACACAAGGGACGGACATGCTGGGGTTGTGCCCAGCCTGAAGAAGGCAGGGAGAACAGAGCACAGTGGGGGCCCCAGGCATGCCTGCAGGGCACCCCGATGGGACACACTACAAGGGTCCCTGAGACACCGGTTAAGCACCTTCAGGCCGGGGAGGCTGCAGGCCCAGCCCCAGAGACCTGCCGCCCCCTGCCCCTCCCCGACAGCCCCGCAAAACTACCCCTCCCATGCCTGCACTGGCCTGTGTATGCCGAGTGTCTCCCAGGGCCCCTGCCGCCCTGCAGACCTGCTGACTGCAGCTCCGCTCAAGCAGACAGGTCGCCTAGATCCAGGATTCCTCAGCCCAGGTGGGCAGCCACCCATTCCCAGCATTGGCTCTGAGGCTGCTTTGGGGGAGCCTGGCTATCATCTGAGCCATGGGGATGGCCGGAGGCTCTGTGCTCCAGAACAGCCGGAGGAAGTGTGTGGACACAGACTGAGTGAGCCCCGGGAGACCCTCGCCACGTCCAAGTCAATGATCCCGTCCCCTCCCCACACATGTGCAGGGAGGGGCCTATCACTTGTCCCAGTTCTGTCGCCCACAGACTCTGGGCTAGTTAAATGGCTGATCGAGGACTACCCTCCATTTGTGGCGAGCTCCCTGGCCTGTTGGGAGAGAGAGCCAGTCCCAGGAGGGCTCAGGAGGGCGGGTTCCAGGATCCTCAGGCCCCCACCAAGAACTGCCCCTCTGGCCACAGTGCTGAAGGAGGGGTGTCTGGATTAGCAGCGCCGTCCATCCTGAGGGAGCCCTCCTCAGGCAGCATCCAGGGCTCAGAGGGCCTCGGGGATGCAGGACAGAAAGGGGTCACTCCCCAGGGCCATCTAGGCTTCCTGCTCATGGCCCACTGCCTGCTCCCAGGACACAGGAGTAGAGCGCCTCCCAGTACACTGGGAAGGGAGCAGGACAGGACCCAGGATGAAGTGCAGCTCCCCCGCCCTTCCTCTCCCCCTCCCCAAGACATGAGCACTTGGGATCCCTTTCTCGCCCACACTCTGTCCCCTTGGCCATCACACACACACTGTCCCCAAACATCCCTCAGTGGCTAGGCCAAGGCTGGCCACCTGCGGGCTGATCTGGGAGGATGGGCACACACCAGCCCCTACCCCACCCCGAGTCCTGCACACAGCTCTTCACAGGGCCTCTGACTGCCTGTCCAGGCCCTCCTGGGGCTCTTCTCTGACCTCGGTTGCTGGCCTTGGTTGCACACGTGGCCTCTCTGACCCTTCCGGAAGCCTTGAGCCACACCCCTACAGTGCTGCCAGGGATCAGGGGCCTGGGACCCACCTGCTGCCCCTTGCCCAGCCTTCAATGTCCAAGTCACTTATTCCTGAGGACACCTGGAGTGCCTTTGGTACCCAGCCAGTCACTGCTCATGACCACCAGCATCCTGTTGCCAGGCTCCATGCAGCCCAAGGCACCCCACAGGCCCTCATAGACCCTGCCCCACACACACCTCGATGTCAGCCTGGCCACTGTGGCCCCATCCCCAGCAGACCACCTCCCACCCCAGTTTCACACAGCAGAGGCAAGACACCACTGGAACACTGAACAAAATTTACTGAAGAGAAACATGAACTGAAACTGCTGAAGAAAAGGGAATCTAACACAGAGAGAAACTGCAAACAGCCACTACAGGTCACAAGTCCCCGGCCCCTCCCTCAGTGTGGCCCCCCCCACCACATCCCTCCTTCCATAGGGCCCCAGGATCCACCTCTTGCCAGGATGGTGGGCTCTGGCAATGTGTACTCGCTTCAGGGAACCCCCTCCTGAGCCCACCCGCTGGGGCAGGGCCCTGCCCTATAGACTGCACAGGACAGTCACAGGATGCTGGAAAACATAGCAGGGAACACCCCACCAAGTTGAGGAAACTGAGTCACGAGTAACAGCAGGGGTGGAACGCCAAAGCACAAAGCTTCCTGGGGAGCCTCAGGCAGCCCTGCTCCTTCCCGTGTCTGGTTGGTCCTCCTGCAGTCGAGGTCACAGTCACAAGGTGAGCGTCTGCCATGCCTCCTTCCCACCGTCTCCTGGAACTGCGCTGGGGTACTCTGGAAAGGAGCTGCTCAGATAAAAACACACACATCCCCAAGAGAACAAGCAGCCACTGGCCGAGATCTACACCGGCAAAGCAGAGGTGGAGTTCTTGACACGGAACAGCAGTGAGCAGAGCCCGGGCCTGATGATGACGCAAACCAAAAACAACTACCCACCCCCAACACATCCTCTCTTCTCTTCTTACACTTCTTCCTCCTCCTTCCCCTCTTCCTCCTCCCCCTCTTCCTCCTTCTCCTCCCCCTCTTCCTCCTGCTCCTCCTTATTCTCCTCTTCCTCCTCCCGATCATCCTCTTCTTAATTCTCCTCCTCTTTCTCTTCCTCACTGGTGCAGGGGCTTATGAATGCTGCCTTCCTGGGGCTCCCCTCATGCAGTGTAGATGATCCTAAAGACAGGCTGGACCCTGTGGCCTCCCCTGCGGGGCTTCACTTCTGCCCCACAGCTCTTCCTCAGCAGCCCTGGCTCCTTCTGGCAGAGGCAGGCCCCAGGCAGGCTCCTCCAGGTCCCACGTGGCCTGGGTGCCAGTGGGCATGCTCAGCTCAAAGTCCACAGGGTAGATATTTGGGGGTGTCCAGAGGACCAGGCCAGAGCCCCCAGCCACACCTTCTTCAGCCCCTGCTTCGCTGGGGTCCCCATCTGAAGCCCAGGCACCCCATGTGCTAAGTGTAGTGGTTCCCCGCTTGTGTCTCCTGTACCTGTTAGGGGCTATGGGCCCGGCCCCCACTGAACCAGATGCTATTTGGTCTTGGTTGGTGAAGTCCCTTCCAGCTGGTGGAAAGTAAGGGGGCTTGATCTCGACCTGGCTTCCCTGTCCCTCTGCCCCAGTCAAGTTCCCTGTTAGTGTAAGCTGCCCCTTCCCCTTGTTCAAATGTCCCTGCTGCCTGCCAGGGGAAGGAGTGCTTCGGTCTTCTGAGCCTATGTTTCCCAGGGCTTGGGATGGCTCATGGCCCCAGCCCCTGCCTCGTTTCCCAACTCCTCTCCTGCAGCCTGTGGCCCCTCCCTGCCTGGAGTCTGGTTTTCAGCCTTGGGATACGTGGCCTGGCCATGGTCTTCTCCCCTAGTGCTTTCACTGCCTAACAGCCGCCTGCGTTTCACTAATGGGGGTAAGCCTCCCTGTATGGTCTGGGGGCTGCTGTCGCTAAAAGACCTTGCCTGCACGGTGGCCTGAGGTGCAGAGACACTGGCTTCTGCTCTTGCCTGTCTACCGGAGGCCCCCCGGCCTCTCCCTGATGGCTTCTCCTTATTCTTCATCACTGCCTCAGTGTTCTCCCACTCTTCTTCATCTCGAATGAGCTTCATTAACTCCAGAAAATTGGGAGGACACCCTCGCTGATCCAAGAGCTCCAGCTTGCCCCTGAGGGCGGGGGTCATGGCGACCCGAGCTAAGAGATGTTTCAGACGAATCATGTCTGTGCTGCGCACTGACAAGGGGCTCTTGTGCACGGCTTTCTGCAGCAGGGGCTCTAAGCGCAGCAGGAAAGTGGAGACTTTCTCTCCAATCTTCGGAGAGGTCTGCAGAAACCTAAACTGAGAGGCTCTAAAGTCCTCTTTATCCCCAAAGATCTGCTTTAGGGCGTCAAGGCACTGCTCCACAGTTATGGAGTCATTGTTGGCCTGGAGCACCCGCATGATTGACAGAGCAGGCCCACGTAAGCTCTCCAGCAAACGCCGCCTCTTCTCCACCTCAGACACTTGCCATATGGGCATTATCTCAGTGACCTGCTCTAGCCAGTCTTCAAAGGTCTCTTCGCCTGGGCTAGGGGAAGCAGTTCCCGAAAACACTTTCAGTTTCCTGTACCACATACTTTCTTTCGGAGGCTCTAAAGGTGGGGATCTAACTTGGGGCATGACCTCTGCATCCAGGCTCTCGGCAGGGAGGCTGCAACATCCCAGGGCTCTGGCCACATCTGTCATACTTCGGCCCTCATCTTTCAGGAAGTAGTTCAGTCTACTGAGAAACTCATCATCTGGGTTACGGGGTTTTACCACCACTTCCCAGGAGCCACCCTTTCCTGGTATGTGACTGGGCAGAGTAGTGTAATTGACAGTGTCAGCCAGTTCAATGAAGACTGCCTTGGCATTGTCTTCCCTCCTGAACATTCTCCCTAGGACCCTGTATGCGCACAGGGGCTGTAAGCCTGCCTTCACAGTGTCCTGAATTTCCACCTCACTACACTCCATGGGGATGCCTACAATCAGCAGGGCCTTTCTGGGGTCCATGTCCATCCCCTTGCACCAATCCTCTAGCAGTGTCAGTGCCATTGCTCCCACTTTCTATGGACTGATCTAATACTAGGGCAGCAATCAGCTCAGTTTGACAGCACTCAAATAACTCTGAGCCACTGCCACGTAGGAAGGCAGAAGTGGTCCCAGGTTTCACACAGCCTGCAAAGCAAATGGGATGAGAGCATTGTTAATGCCCACCCCAACCTACGCCCCCAAGCACCCCTCCTCTGCCCCCACCCCCAAGCAGGGATGGAGTCCTTTCTTCCCAGGGTTCCCCAAGTCATTTTGGGGAGGGTAGAGTGTGGAGGTTCTCCCCAGGCAAAGATCTCCCCATCTCACCACTCCCTGCTGACTTCCTCCTGCTGTGGGTTCTTCCTCAAAGTCCAGAGGACTCTGCTGTGTGTGCTTCGGGTGCCTGTAGTGAAAAGGCCAACGTCAGGAGGCAGGGCCTGACACCTGGGGACACTGACGAGCCCTCCAGGCAGAAGAGGGCAGGAGACAGCCTCACTGCTCACTCGGGGCTATGTGGGCTCAGGTCACCCAGCACCCTCCTTGCTGGAGTGAAGGCTGGCAGCAAGAGAGGTAGAGTGGCCCTCTTTCTCAGGAATGCCTGACGGATGAGAAAGATGGCTGAGCTCTGCGCAATGCAATGAGAGTGGTGGGTGTGGAGATTGTGTGACAAGCTGCAGTGTTGCCATGGATACAGAGAATACCATGGACCATGGGTTGCTATTGCAGGGGAGTGTCATGTGGTAAGGCCAAGGTCCTTGAAAAGCAACAGGTGATGTCATTGGCCTCCAACCAATAAAGCGTACTAGCAAAAAGGAGGGTGGGAGAGGGAAGGCGAGATGGGCATGAGGAGTGAGTGCTGAAAGGACAGGAGCTCATGGTTTCAATTGTGTGGAAGCTGAAATCAGGCAGAAAAGGGACCCAGATAAGGTCCCCACTGCCAGACTGCAGGAAACCAACAACTCTTGCCCTAGAGATGGCCCTACCCTGCAGAGTCTGTGAACCCTGGCAGGCAGTCCCCTCTCCCCACTCTTTGCCAGGGTTCCAGAGCCCCTCCCAACAGGGCCCAACTCACAGCTGCTCACCTTGCTGGGTTGGCCCTGCTGGCAGCGCGGATGCTGCAATAACACAGCCACTTCAGACTCGCTCTGCTTTTCAACTCTATCCAGTTAGGCAGTTCCTGACTCAGGCGTGATGGGTCCTGCTTCACTGGATCTGTCCAAGGCAAAGCAGAGGTATTTTGCTGTGATTCTGTCCCACACACATGTCCCTGCCCAGGCCATGCCAATTCAGACTCTGCATAGGTGTTCACTAGGACCCTGGTGCAGGGATAGAAGAAACTGCTCAACTGACAGAGGGAGCGGAGCGGGGGGAGGAGTCGGGGGACGAATGGTGAGAGGGGTGGGAGGTGAGGAGGGAGGTAGGGGGTGGGGGCAGGGGGGCTGCTGGTAGGGCAGAAGGGATCCTAAGGTAAGGTTGCTGCCCTACCCCCACTGCAAACTCCATTCCCTCCCAAGCTCCGCCCCTACAGCCATGTTGCAACCCTTCCTAAGCCCCACCTCAAAACCTGCACCCCTGCTGCCAAACTCTGCCTATAACTAAGTTGCACCTCTACCCCAAGCTTAGCCCCCCACCAAGTCTAACCCCTTCCACCACCCAAGTCTAACTCGTGCCTCAAGCCCTGCCCCCACCCACAGTCCAACTCCTACCCCAAGCCCTGCCCCCTCACCAAGTCCAACTCCTACCCCGAGGCAAGTCTAACTGATATCCCCAAATCCCCTACCTCCATTCCCCTGCTCCCCCCAATCCCCACCCGGTTATCTACATACACCCACACCACCGACATCAGTGGAAGCAGGCAGAATCTAGGAGGGGAAGGTTCGAAGCCACTTTCCCTCAAGGGCAAGGGCCAAGAGCTACTATCCTGACTGCAGTGTCTCCGGGCAGGTCAAGGGTGGAATAGGTCTCCCTGAAGTTTGTTTGTTTTTCTCTGAAACGGAGTCTGGCTTTGTCACCCAGGCTGGAGTGCAGTAGCGTATCTCGGCTCACTGCAACCTCCGCCCCCTGGGTTCAAGTGATTCTCCGGCCTCAGCCTCCTGAGTAGCTGGGATTACAGGCGTACACCACCACGCCCGGCTACTTTTTGTATTTTTAGTAGAAACGGGGTTTCCCCATGTTGGCCAGGCTGGTCTCCAACTCCTGACCTCAGGTGATCCACCCGCCTCGGCCTCCCAAAGTGCTGGGATTACAGGTGTGAGCCACCGCGCCCGGCCAGGTCTCCCTGAAGTTCTGCCTGGAAATGGCAGGGATTCCTTGGCGTGCTGGGTGTGATCTAGTGGGATCCCGCCTCCAGGGAAACCTATGGCCACCAGCCCCTAGACCCCGTGGAAAATAGCAAGAGTTACTGGGGGGTTCCCCCGTAATCTGGGTTGCTGTCCGAGCCCGGGGTCCAGCTCCGTACCTGCCGGAGGTGCCTCCAAGCCGGAGTTCCCGCGCAGCGCGACCACCACACGTCTATGGCGGCTGCCGCCTCCGTGCTGACTGCGCCACGAGGCTGTGGCGGGAAGAGGTTGTCTGGTGACGACCGCCCCCCTACCCCATGAGCGGAACTGCACACGGCCCGCTCACGGTTGCGCACTGGTGACATAAACCCTCCTACTTCCTGCAAGGTGGTTCCTCACCCCACCCACCCCCGTGCCGACGACGGTGGCAGCCAGGCTCGCCACGTGCCATTTGGCCCAGCAGCCACTGTGGCTCTTCCTCATTGGAGGGGAGCTGTGGCGTCCCAAGCCCATGGGTGAAGGGCCGGGTGCAAATCACCCAGTGCAACGTATAGGCCACGTGAGCGCCCTTATAAACGAGTCATAGCCCTCGTTTATTTTTTATTGGACTGTTCTAGGGGAGGAGGGCAAAAAATACAGCTACTGCCTGCATTTCACAAGGGCATTAGTTTTTTTTCGCTGCTCACTGAGAGCCAGATGACTGAAAATATTCCATTCTCCCATTATTCTCCTGATTTCACGACCAAACATTACGCACCTAGTACCCAAACTGCTTCCTGTCGTTTCCCAAAGCAGGTTTCTTCCACAGAGGGAAGGTCCTGCGGCTTGCAGCGGCCCGAAAGTACTGTTCCAGAAAAGGGTGTGGGTGCGGCACAGGTAGCACACTTCAAGGTGCACACAAATCCCCTGGTAATCTTAAAAAAATGCGTGAAGAGATCTGAGGCAGGGATGGTTCCACTGAAAGCTAGGTTACTTGCTGCATATCCCTGCCCAGGCTGTGTGGAGCAAGGGTCTGAAGCCTATGATTACATTTCAGGGCCAGAAGTTGTGGACCTTTAGTGACAGAATATATTTGTTTTTCTTTCTCTGTGATTAAAAAAGAAAAGGCTTTTTCTGGTACTGTTTTAATAAATATGTTAAAAGCGGACAACATTTTAAATTTATGGTCACTGAGAAAGATATTTGCAGATATCACCTTCTTCAGCCAGGTGTGGTGGCTCACACCTGTAATCCCAGCACTTTGGGAGGCCAAGGTGGGCAGATCACTTGAGATCAGCCTGGCCAACATGGCGAAACCCCGTCTCTACTAAAAATCCCAAAATCAGCTGGGTGTGTAATCTGAGTAGCTGAGTAGCTGTAATCCCAGCTACTCAGGAGGCTGAGGCACGAGAATCGCTTGTACCTGGGAAGCAGAGGTGGCAGTGAACCCAGATCACACCACTGCACTCCAGCTTGGGCAACAAAGTGAGAGCCTGTCTTTTTTTTTTTTTTTTTTTGAGAAGGAGTCTCACTCTGTCACCCAGGCTGGAGTGCAGTGGCGCGATCTCGGCTCACTGCAAGCTCCACCTCCTGGGTTCACACCATTCTCCTGCCTCAGCCTCCCGAGTAGCTGGGACTACAGGCGCCCGCCACCACGCCCGGCTAATTTTTTGTATTTTTTAGTAGAGACAGGGTTTCACTGTGTTAGCCAGGATGGTCTCGATCTCCTGACCTCGTGATCCACCCACCTCGACCTCCCAAAGTGCTGGGATTAGAGGTGTGAGCCACCGTGCCTGGCCGAGATCCTGTCTGGAAAAAAAAAAAGACAATTCAGAGCCCATTAAATCAATCTCCTTCATGTGACAAGGAGAAAATAGTGCTGAAAGCCATTGCTTAGCTGCCTGGTATCACAACATCACAGAAGGTGATGTTTTGGAAAGAGGTTCTGCCTCAGTCACCTCTGGGCTACTGGGTGCTCCCCTGGCCAGACGTATACTTCAATTCATTCTATTTCTCACTAGAAGACTAGCTTCCTCTCTCTCTCTCTTTTTTCTGTCTCAGTCTGTTTTGTGCTTCTATAATCAAATACCTGAGACTGGGTAACATATAATGAACAGGAATTTATTTAGCTCATGTTTCTGAAGGCTGAGAACTCTAAGATCAAGGGGCTGCACCTGCTGAGGGCCTGGCATGCAGGCATCAAGACGTGAAAGCATGTGTAAGAGTGAGCAAAAGAAAGAGAAGAAAGGGGCCTAAACTCATTTTTTAAAAAAAAAATCAGGAACTCACTCCCACAATAACAAATCCACTCCCGAGATAACAGCATTTGTCCATTCACACTGGCAGAGTCCTCCTCACCTAATCACCTCTTAAAGGTCCCACTTCTCAACAGTTGTATTGGGGATTAAGTTTCCAACACATGAACTCTGGGGGACACATTCAAACCATAGCACTTTTCTTTAAAAAAAGTTATTGGGGATAGTGACAATGTTGAATTTTTCCTGAGCCCTGTGATCCTGGAAAACAGTGAAGGTTAAGAAACCCTCAGCCCTTTGTGTTCCAGAAAACAGCTTCCTGCAAAGAACCCTCCTTTCCATATGACTTAGATAAGACTTAGGGGATGTCACCCGTGTTTATGTATGACAATGCCAGACACGAGACCCTCCAAATTGCCATTCTTTACTTAATAAATGATAAACTGAACTGCTCGTTCTCTTGTGGCTGGGCGCGGTGGTTCACACCTGTAATCCCAGCACTTTGGGAGGCCGAGGCGGGTGGATCACGAGGTCAAGAGATCGAGACCATCCTGGCCAACATGGTGAAACCCTGTCTCTACTAAAAATACAAAAATTACCTGGGCGTGGTGGCACGTGCCTATAGTCCCAGCTACTTGGGAGGCTGAGGCAGGAGAATCGCTTGAACCTGGGAGTGGAGGTTGCACTGAGCTGAGATGGCGCCACTGCACTCCAGCCTGGAGACAGAGCGAGATTAAAAAAAAAAATGCTTGTTAGCCAAAGTTTAGGTAGCTTCTCTTCTTTCTCCAGACTCCTGAAATTTGGCCCACCTTTAGTCTGAGCCAGCAGATAACCTTAACAGGCCCTTCTCATAGGCTGGTCCCAGGTAGAACATTCTCTGATCTAATATCTGGTCATTCCACATCCTCACACCAAGTTCTTTCTAGGCTTGTTTGCTCCTCCCCCCGACCTCTTTTTTTTTTTTTTTTTAAAGCTCCTTTTTGCCTGACCCTTGAGTTGCTTGTGGAACTGACAGTTGGACACCCGATTGAAACATCCCCTCCCCCAGTTGCAAGAAGCCTTTCAAATAAATTATCTCTCATTAAGTCCTGTGATTCTTTTCCTCCCAAACTTTATTAAGGTATGATTGACAAATAAAAATGTATATACTTAGGGCATACAATGTGATGTTTGAATATATGTATGCATTGTGAAATGATTACCACAATGAGCTAACATATCCACCATTTCACATAGTTACTTTTTTTGTATGTGTGACGAGACACATACCTTCTTACCGAACTTACACCTGCTTTCTTACCAAACTTCAAGTACAATACAGTATTATTAACTAGAGTCACCATGCTATACATTAGGTTTCCAATACTTATTCATCTTATAGCTGAAGGTATGTACCCTTTGACTAATATCTCCCCTTTTCTTCATACCCTAGCCCTTGATAACTGCCATTATACTCTCTGCTCTGTTACTGTGAGTTTCACTTTCTTTTTCATTTTCTTTTTTTTTGATGGAATCTCCCACTGTTGCCCGGGCTGGAGTGCAATGGTGCGATCTCGGCTTAATGCAACCTCTGACTCCTGGGTTCACGCGATTCTCCTGCCTCAGCCTCCTGAGTAGCCGGAATTACAGGCGCACATACACTACCACACCCGGCTAATATTTTGTATTTTTAGTAGAGACGGGGTTTCACTATGTTGGCCAGACTGGTCTCAAGCTCCTGACCTCGTGATCCGCACGCCTGGGCCTCCCAAAGTGCTGGGATTACAGGTGTGAGCCACCACGCCTGGCCTGACGTTCACTTTTTAAAGATTTCACATATGGCTGGCTGCAGTGGTTCACATCTGTAACCCCAGCACTTTTGGAGGCTGATACAAGAGGATGCCTTGAGCCTGGGAGTTCGAGACCAGCCTGGGCAACATAAGGAGACCCCTGTCTCTACAAAAAAAATTTAAAAAGTGTCTGGGTGTGATGGCACATGCCTGTGGTCCCAGCTACTCCTGAGGCTGAGGTAGGAGGATTGCTTCAGCTCGGGAGGTTGAGGCTATACTGAGCTGTGACTGCACTCCAGCCTGGCCAACAGAATGAGACCCTGTCTCAAAAAACAAACAAAAAAAGATTTCACATACAAGAGCATGCAATGTTTGGCTTCCTGTGTCTGGTTTATTTCACTTAGCATAATATCCTCAAGGTTCATTCATGTTATTGCCAAGGGCAGCATTTCCTTCTTTTTTTAAGGCTGCTTGTGAATATATATATATATATATATAAATAAAACATATATAAAACATATATATGTTATATATATAACATATATATGTTATATATATAATATGAATATATAATATATGATATGAATATATAGTATATTCATATTATATATAATATATATAATAAAGAAAATTATATATAATATATATAATATATAATACATATACTATATAATATATATAAAATATATATATAATATATATAAATAATATATATATAAATATATGTTATATATATTATATATAAAATATATATAAATATATATTATATATATTATATATAATATATATATAATATATAATATATATAATATATAAAATATATATTATATAATATATATTATATTATATATTAAATATTATATAAAAATATATATAAGACATTTATATATAATATATTATATATATTATATATAATATATATAATATAGATATATAAAAAACATTTTCTTTATCCATTCATCTGTCAGTGGTCACTTAGGTTGTTTTCTTATCTTAGCTATTGTGAATAATGCTGAAATGGACAAGAGAGTCCAGATACCACTTAGAGATAGTGATTTTATTTGCTTAGGATATCTATCCATAGTGGAATTGCTGGATCATACAGTAGCATACATGGACAATTAATTTTCAACAAAGCTGCCAAGAATACACAATGAGGAAAGTGAGATGGAGCAGGGACCCCGTCTCAGGGGTCTGCAGGCCCCCTTAAGCATATAAATAAAGGAAAATGTTGAGTTCTTTCAGGGGCAATGCCAGGCACCTAGCTAGCCCTGAGAAGTAAATAAGCAAGTTGATAAGCAAGAAGGTAATAGCTTAAAACAACAGCCAAGGAAGCTACAATCACAGGATGTTTTCTTTCCCTATAGAAACTAAAGATAACATGTTAACATATATCTCTGAGTTGTTTTTCAGAAACTTGGATCCCCACCAAACTGATCAGCTGGCATGCAGACCCCAGAAAAGGGGGAGCTGAGGACTGAACTCTGACCACCACTCTTTGTTCCAAACTTCTTCATGAGGGGCCTGGAGGAAATCACATCCATCTGTCAGAGCTAATATTCTTTTCTGCTGACCCAAAAATTTTAAACAAAGCTTCTCTTGCTTAACCAACTGCAAACCAAAAGACCTTTGAACCTACTTATGGCCTGTAAGCCCTCACTTCAAGATATCCCACCCTTTTAGGCCAAAACCAATGGGTAACCTCTGTGTAATGATTTATGAATTAGCCTGTAACTTCTGCTTTCCTGAAATTTACTCCTACCTTTAAAAGCCCTTACCTGCAAGCCATCACGGAGCTCTGGATTTGAGCGTTAGCTGCCTGATCCTCCTTGCTTAGTGCCCTGCAAATAAATGTCTTCCTTTCCACCACTGCAAACCTCAGTGTGGATATCTGATCTTACTGTGATGGGCAAGACAACTCCAGTTCAGTTCAATAACACTTGGCCACAACTCAAAAGCCCTGAGTGGGTGTCTTGCCAATAGCATATCAGCCCCTGGCTATGAGCACCCTTGGACCCTGTCCAGTAGCTGCCTGAATTATTTTATTCAGGGATGGATCTGTGTATTTGGCTGCCACCAAGGCATCACTGGCTTGTGTTGCTTTTACTTTTGCAGCATTAGAAATGAGACACTTGGCTGGGAAGACATTTTTTGGCAGGTGACAAATTTGTGGGCAATAGCCCCAAGGTATATTTTCTTCAAACACTACGTTCTGCATTGGCAGGACATCTGGCCTTGCTTTGGCAATTTACGGGACTCTGCTTCATCATAGTGTGTTTAGTAGGGAATACTCCATAAGCAACTGAAGGGATGGAGACTTTGAGAAATCACATTTTGATTTTGATTTGCTTGCTTGACAATCTGCCTAAAGCCCAGCTGAGGCATTAAGGGTTTTTCACCTAAGGTCTTGTCATCTAAAATGGAAACTACAAATTATGTTCCTCCTTGTAGCCCATTATGGTGCATTCTGCAGAATCGGGCCATTTTTAGCTTTGAGCCCATGAAAAAGAAAAATGTTTTTAATGTTGAAATTCTGCCTGACCACGGTATCCCCTAGGATCCAGGGAATGGTAGCCAGAATTTAGATATCTAAATTACATTATAATTTTTCAATTAGAATTGTTTTGTGAACAAGAAGGTAAATGGGATGAAATTCTGAATGTACAAGCTTTTATGCTTTTGTACCAAAGTGAGCTAATTCAAAGAAGGTATAATTTGCATAGAATCATGGTTGAAAGAAATGCCTCTAAGGTGAAAGAGGTAAAGGTTTTACCCGGTTCTCAAAAATCAGAAGATGACTTACTACTTCAACAAATGAATGCACCAATCCTATCTCTCCACCTTATGGGGGGCGAGATATGGAAGCCAGAGCAATGGCCCCGCCCCCCTGCTCAGGCAGGAATGGGAGCCCCTATTACCCTGGCTGGACTGGGGAATAATAGTGACGTAAACAGGCCAGGAGTGCTCTCTCCTTCACACACCTGACAGGGCACTCAATATCGTCAGGGAGCCACTCTGGTTGAGGTAGGGCAATTCCATTAGGCAAGTACCCATTGGCAGAATCAATGCCCAGGGTCAGCCAGCGGGACCTGTGTGGGTACACGTGCCATTCTCAGTCTCTGACCTATACCATTGGAAGGATAACATGCTTACCTACTGGGGTGACCCAAGGAGGATGGAAAATGTGTTCTCCATTTACACTACTCATAATCCTAACTGGGAGAATGTGCAATATTTACAAAATGCACTACTTACCTCCAAAGAGTGGAGAATAGTTTTAGAAAAAGCTAGAGAAGAAGCTGACCAGTAACATACTGAGACTGCCAGCAATCTGGTCTGGGCAGCTACTGCTGAGGCTATAGCCTAACACAAGCAGTCTTAGCTCCTCCCAGCCTCCCATTGGCCCAAGTGTCTGGGCTTTAAGATGTTCTCAATAATATTGGTGGTGTGTTTTCCTGCTCCGTGGTCAAAAAGGGCATCTTGGAGCTCACATGCTTGTTCTGGTGGCACCTCAATGTCCAATTTTCCCAGAGCAAAGGTTACTGTGGCAATTAACTTAGTTAACACGTCCTGTCCCAACGAAGGGACTGGGCATTCTGGCATGTGCAAGATCCTGATAGGATCCAAATCATGAGAGTCAAGCTCATTGCAAGCATTAAAGAGATTGAATTTTAGCAGTCCTGAGGAAAGGGGTCTCAAAGTAGTGTAGCTTTAATAAATTTCAGGAAATGTGACAGAGGCCAAATGAAAACTCATCTGAAAGTTTTTGGAGATAATTTTTGAAGCCTCCTGGCAATGTCAACTGAGATAGATCCTGAGGCCCCTGAGAACCTCAGATTAATTAACATAACTTTTATTAGTCAAAGCACTCCTGGCATTCAGAAAAAGCTATAAAAATTAGAAAGTGTTTTTGGAATGTCTATCTCTTAACTGTATAGATTGCTTTTAAGGTGTTCAAAAACTGAGATCAAGCATTGGATCATAAAGAGCAACAGAGGATGGAAAAACAGGCATCTTTGTTGGTTGCTGCTCTGTTCACAGCACTTGAAGTAAAGAAGCCCAATGAGAAGGTAGACACCCCTGGAAACAAGAAAGGCCTCCAGAAAGGCGATCCATAGATGGGGCCCAAGCATTGTGCATATTGTAAACAAGAGGACCATTGGAAAAGGACTTCCTGAGTTTAAAAAGGCAATCCCAGGGGAAAGAAGAAAAGGCTTTACTTTTGTCAGAGGTATCCAAGAGAGTGATGGGGTCTCAGGGGGTACAATAGGTGGATGAGGCTGCATCCCCATCTCCTGCCTGGAACCCTGGGTAACTCTTTGGTGGGAAAAAGACAAGTTGATTTCTTGATTGATATTGGAGCCACGTACTCCTTCCTTGACATGGTTTGGCTCTGTGTCCCCACCTAAATCTCATCTTGTAGCTCCCATATTTCCCATGTGTTGTGGGAAGGACCTGGTGGGAAATAATTGAATCATGGGGTTTTCCCTGCACAAGCTCTCTCTCTCTTTGCCTGCTGCCATCTCTTTGCCTGCTGCCATCCATGTAAGACGTGACTTGCTCCTCTTTGCCTTCTGCCATGATTGTGAGGCTTCCCCAGCCATGTGCAATAGTAAATCCATTAAACCTCTTTCTTTTGTAAATTGCCCAGTCTTGGGTATGTCTTCATCAGCAGCATGAAAACAGACTAATACAGTCCTAAATATCAAAATAACAAAATTGTCACCCAATACTATGACTATCATGGGGTGTCTGGAACACTTATGAAAAAGTCCTTTTTACAACCTATGGACTACCAAGTGGGCACAGTCAAACTAAAGCATAGTTTCTTGTACATGCCAGAATGCCCAATCCCTTCACTGGGACAGGACTTGTTAACTAAGTTAATTGCCACAGTAACCTTTGCTTTGGGAAAATTGAGGTGCCACCAGAACAAGCTTGTGCACTCCCAAATGCCCTTTATGACCACAGAGCAGAAAAACACACCATCAATATTATGGAGAACATCTTAAAGCAGATAAGCCCAGATGCTTGGGCTGATGGGAGGCTGGGAAGGGCTAAGACTGCTTGTGTTAAGGCCATTCTTGCATTGCTATAAAGAAATACCTGAGACTAGGTATTTATAAAGAAATGAGCTTTAATGGGCTCAGTGTTCTGCAGGTTGTACAGGAAGCATAGTGCTGGCATTTGCTCAGCTTCTGGGGAGGCCTCAGGGAGCTTTTACTCATGATGGAAGGCAAAGCAGGAGCAGGCACATCATATGGCAAAAGCAGGAGCAAGAGAGAGATGGAGGAGAGAGGGTGCCACACAATTTTAAACAACCAGATCTTGTGAGAACTCACTATCATGAGGACAGCACCAAGCCATGAGAGATCCACCCCCATGATCCAAACCTTTCCCATCAGGCCCAACCTTCAACATTGGGGATTGTATCTCAACATGAGATTTGGAGGGCATGTCCAAACTATGTCATTCTCCCCTGCCCCCACAAATCTCATGTCCTTCTCATACTGTGAAATACAATAATCTCATCCCAATAGTCCTCCAAAGTCTTAACACATTCCAGCATTAATGAAACTGCCTTTGCAAAATTATAACTGAAGAAATTATGACAGTGAAAGAAATCAGACCTAACCAACCCCATATTGCTTCTAACCTTTGTCCTTGTTCATTACTGGGCATAGGCCAAACTAACTTTGGGAAGGAATTCAATTTATGGTTTGACTCTGAAACAAAATTGATAACAGACATTTTCCAAAAAGACCCCATTCTTGCCTGGGGACAAGTATGCCTTTGCAGGACTAACAAATTAGATAGAAGATTAGAAATTACATTTTAGGGGACAGGTAGCCTCTGGCTACTAGAGTCTGAACCTCCCCAAATTGCTCCTGAGGATAACATCAATGCTGTAAAACCTAAGATCAGTGCTTGAGGTATTTTGCAGCCCCTGCGCTTGATGGATCAGCTGACACCACCTAGACCAGTAATCTGGCTCAATCAGTTCTTCCATCCCATCCAGGAATAGAAAACAGCAAGAAAAACTCACTTCAACTCTCCATGATTCCATGTCCATCCTGACCAATCAGCACTTCCCACTTCTCAAGCCCCTACCCACCAAATTATCTTTAAAAACTCTGATCCCCGAATAGTCGGGGAGACTTATTTGAGTAATAATAAAACTTTAGTCTCCTGCATAGCTGGCTCTGTGTGAATTACTTTCTCCATTGCAATTCCCCTGTCTTGATAAATAAGCTGTGTCTAGGCAGCAGGCAAGGTGAACCCCTTGGGCGGTTGCACAACTCAAAAGTCCCAAGTCCCCAGTCCAAAGTCTTATCTGGAAATAAGTTCTTTCCACCTAGAAGCCTGTAAAATCAAAATGGGTTATTTACTTCCAAGATACAATGGAGATACAAGCACTGGGTAAACATTCTCATTCCAAAAGAAAGGTGCTACAGGCGCCACCCAAGTCTGAAACTCAGCAGGGCAGTCATTGAATCTTAAAACTTCAAAACAGTCTCCTTTGACTCCATGTCTCACATCCAGGGCATGCTTCTGCAGGGGATGGGCTCCCAGGGCCTTGGGCAGCTCTGACCCTGTGGCTTTGCAGGGCTCAGCTTCTGAGCCTGCTCTCACAAGCTGGCATTGAGTACCTGTAACTTTTCCTGGTGCAGAGTGCAAGCTGCTAGTGGATCTACCATTCTGGCATTTGGAGGACAGTGAACTCTTCCCACAGCTCCACTACCCAGTGCCCCATTGGAGACTCTGTGGGCGGTGCTTAAACCCTACATTTTCCCCCTGCACTGCCCTAGTGGAGGTTCTCTGTGAGGGCTCCACCCCTGCAGGAAGTGTCTGGCTGGAGACCCAGGCTTTTCCATGCATCTTCTGAAATCTAAGCGGAGGCTGTCAAGCCTTCTTCACCCTTATACTCTGTACACCTGCAGGCTTAACACCATGTTGAAACTGCCAAGGCTTATGGCTTGTGCCCTCTGGAGTGGAGGCCCAAACTGTACTTGGGCCCATTTGAGCTGGAGCTAGAGCCAGAGCAGCTGGGATGCAAGGAGCAGTGTCACAAGGCTGAGCAGGGCAGTGGCATCCCAGGCCTGACCCTTGAAACCATTCTTCCCTCCTAAGCCTTTTGGCCTGTGATGGGAGGGGCTGCCTCAGAGATCTCCGAAATGCCTTCAAGGTCTTTCCCCCATTGTCTTGGCTATCAGGACATTGTTTGCTTTTAATCAGGCTAATATCTCTAGAAAGTGGTTACACCACAGCCTTCTTGGATTCTTCCCCTGAAAAAGCTTTTTCTTTCTTTGCCAGATGGCTAGGCTGCAAATTTTCCAAACTTTATGCTCTGCTTCTTCTATAAATATAATTCCCAACTTTAAGTTATTTCTTTGTTCCTGCATCTGCGCATAGGCTGTTACAAGCAGTTAGACCACCTCTTGAACACTTTGATGCGTAAGAATTTTCTCTGTCAGATACCCTAGGTTGTCACTCTTAAGTTCAAACTTCCACAGATCCCTAGGGCATGACAGAATACAGCCAAGTTCTTTGCTAAGGCATTACAAGGATGACCTTTGCTTCAGTTACCAAAAAGTTCCTCATTTCCATTTGAGACTTTGTCAGCCTGGACTTCACTATCCATATCACTATCAGTATTTTTGTTACCACCATCTAGCCAGTCCCTAAGAATTTCCAAGATTTCTTGGAACTTTTTTCCTGTCTTCTTCTGAGACCTCCAAACCCTTCCAACCTCTGCCTGTTACCCAGCTCCAAAGCTGCTTCCACATTTTCAGATATCTATAGCAATGCCCAACTCCTCAGTACCAATTTTCTGTGTTAGACCATTGTTGTGTTGCTACAAAGAAATACTGGACACTGGGTAATTTATAAAGAAAATAGGTTTAATTGGCTCACAGTTCTGCATGCTGTACAGGAAGCATGGTGTCAGCATCCACTTGGCTTCTGGGGAGGCCTCAGGCAGCTTTAATTCATGTTTGAAGCTAAAGTGGAAGCAGGTGAGAGCAGGAGCAAGAGAGAGAGAGAGCAGGGAAGGTGCCACACACTTCTAAACATCCAGGTCTTGTGAGAACTTACTCACTATCACAAAACAGCACCAAGCCATGAGGATTCCACCCCATGACCCAAACACCTCCCACCAGGCCCCACCTCCAACACTGGGGATTACATCTCAACATGAGATTTGTAGGGGACATCCAAACTATATCCCTGCTATACCAGTATAGATGAAGCTAAAACCAGAAGCAAAAACTCCAAACTCAAAACTATATCCCCTAAAGGAACAGATTAAAAGGGGGATTTGGCCTTTAATCATTGCCTTTCCAGAGTTCCAGCTCATCAGGCCATGTAGCTCTCCATACAATACTCCCATCTTACCTATTAAAAAGCTAAATAGTAGAGGAGGTTACCTAGTTGTTACAAACCCTTACACCTTGCTGACTATCTTGTCAGGAGACTTCTGTTAGTTCACAGTATTAGACTTAAAAGATGCATTTTTCCTCCATTCCCCAAGTCTTGAATCTCAAGAACTCTTTGCTTTGGAATGGGAAGATCCAGAAACAAAGAGCAAGCACCAATGTTGCTGGACTGTTGCCACAAGGATTCAAAAACTCCCTCATCTTTTTTGGGGAACTCCAGTTACAAGAGGGGGCTATCTTCCAATATGTAGATGGCACATTGATAGCAAATAAAGTAAAGTTCAGATGAAAATAACATAACCATCTTAAATTTCCTGGCTGAGTGAAGGTACAAGGTATCCCAAAAGAAAGTACAAACTTCTCAACCCTTGGAAAGGTATCTAGGATTTGACTTAACTAAAGGACAGAGGAATTTACTCCCCAACTGCTGGGGAGCAGTAGCCATAGCTATGCCATCCACCAAAAGACAATTATGAGGGTTTTTAGGAATGGCTGAATTTTGCCTTATATAGATTCCTAATTTCAGGTTGATGGAAAAAATCTCTGTATAGCATGCTGAAGGGAATGAAGGATGGGCCTCTAGTATGGTCTGCCAAATCTCAAAAAGGCTTTCAGTTGGTAAAAGAGAAATTGTTAGCAACTCTGGCTTTAGGGATGCCAGACTTCAAAAAGCCGTTGGATCTATTTGTGCACAAAAGACAAGGAATATGGTTGCAAGTGTTTACCCAAAATCTAGGAGACACCAAGCATCCTGTATAGTACTTTTCAGACACTTTGGACATCATAACCCAGGGGTAGCCAGTGTGCCATAGGGCAGTGACCACCACCTGTAACTTACTGCAAGAAGCTGAAAAATTCACCTTGGGGGCAGTCCACAATCTTGCATACCCCACATTGTGTGTTACCATTATTAGAGTAGAAAGGTGGTTATTGGTTTACTTCAGGCCAGATGTGGAAAAAAAACCAAGGAATTTTCTAGGATAATCCTAATGTGATGCTAAAAACGGTCCACCTTAAACCCCACGACTCTGTTTCCAAACCCATCAGTGGAACCTAGGCATAACTGTTTACAAATTATTGAACAAGTCTATTCCAGCCACTCTGACAAACAGGTGTGCCCTTGGGAAAAACAGATCTATAAATGTCCACGGATATAAGCAGCTTCATGGACCAGGGAAACTGGAAAGTGGGATATGCAGTGATAATTTTGCAAGATATTATAAGAAGCTGAAGCACTGCCACCAGGTAACGTCAGCCCAGAATGCCTCAACCGTGCTCTTCACTGAGGAAAAATTAAGAAGATAAACATTTACACTGATTCAAAGAACTCTTCTATGGTGCATGCACATGGGGCTATTTGGGAAGAAAGAGGGCTATTATTAACATTGGGAAAAAAAGGACTCAAACATGTGCAGGAAATTTTAAAATTACTAAAAATGGTGTTAGAACCTAAAGAAGTGGCAATTGTAAGAATTAAAGAAAGAGGAAACAAACATGAAACGTGGCTGACAGTTAAAGACAGGTTTTCTTTAGATAAAACCTGAGAGGTGCTCCTGGCCAATTTTGGTCAAGAGCACTTTCTCTTACAGACTAAGAGTATATATTGGTTTTACGGTGAGGTGGCTTATCAGAAGCTTGGAATGTTTAGGTGTGTGGAGAAGTTTATGGAAGGGTTGGAATCCCTCTGGGAGGAGGGGAAGTTATCTTGGGGCAGACATCTTTCTGGGGCCCAGAGGGGGGTTATCTCAGGGCTAGCATGTCTCTGGTCAAGGAGGAGTTTGGATGTTTCTTGTTGGAGATGTTATTTGTGTTTTATGGTCATGCTGACATTAGCCATTAGGCTGATGCCCTTTAGATTTAGGCAGCTTTTTTATTAAGGTGAACATTAGAATGAGGAGCTTGTTCAAGATGGCGATGCTCCTGCTCTGTCAGCAATCATACATTGCCTGAGCCACGAAAAATCAAACTGTTTAATATCTCATGGAAATCAAATAAAGCAGACCAGTTAGCAGCCTGGACCAAAACTTCCACTATTATGGCCCTAGTCTCACAGATTGACTTGACCCTGTTTTGTCCAACATATTCTCTGGAAGGTTTAAGAGGAACCCAAGGGTAGGGTTTCAGTGTAGTGGTCCTAAAACCCAACTCCTGGTTTATAAGCCAGCAAGGAACAGTACTGATCCCTGATATTTTTTTTCTTTTTTTTTGAGACAGAGTCTCACTCTGTCACCCAGGCTGGAGTTCAGTGGCACAATCACAGCTCACTGCAGCCTCAACCTCCCCAGGCTCAGGTGTTCCTTCCACCTCAGCTTCTCAAGTAGCTGGAACTACAGGCATGTACCACCACGCCTAGCTAACTTTTGTGTTTTAAAAAAAAATTTTTTTTACAGACAGGGTTTTGCCATTTTGCCCAGGCTGGTCTCAAACTTCTTGGGCTCAAGCTATTTGCCCACCTCGGCCTCCCAAAGTGCTGGGATTACAGGCGTGAGCCACCATGTCCAGCTCTGATCCTTGAGATTTTAATGGAAAAAATAATTAGTTTGCTTCATCTGAGTACCCACTATGGAAGGGATGCCACACTTAGGTGGATTCAGAATTGCATCATAGGTCCTAATATGCAAAAGATTATATAGAAGGTCATATAGAAATGTTTAATCTGTTCCAAGAATAATCCAAAATCGGGTTCATCCACACCAAAGGGAATACATGCAAGAGGCAATGGGCTAGGAGAAAATTGGCAAACAGATTTTACTGTAATGCCAAGAGCCAAAGGGAATTTTAGATAGTTGTTAGTAATACATTTATTTATTTATTGGATAGGTGGAAGGCTTTTCCTGCCACACTGAGAGGGCTTCAGAAATAGTAAGAATCTTAATGGAGGAAATTATCCTCAGATTTGGGTTGCAATTCACCATCCAGAGCGATAATAGGAGTGCCTTTATTGCCAAGATAACCTAGGAGGTGTCCAAACAGCTGGAAATTAAATTACATGCCTCTTGGCAACCCTAGTCCATTGGAAAGACTGAAAAGATGAACCACACCCTAAAAAAAACACTGTTGCAAAAATTCGTCAGGAAACAAATCGGACATGGGACAAGGTATTGCCAGTTGCACTGCTTAGGATTAGAGTGGCCCCTAGAAGCGGGCTTCAATTAAGCCCTTATGAAATCTTGTATGGGAGACCCTGTCTATATTCTGAGCCACAAGGTAAACAGATAAGTGATTTAAAAATCAAAGAGTTGGACACTGTCAGGTATGTACAATCTTTGGATCTATCTTTAAATGCTGATATGATTTGGATCTGTGTCCTCACCCAAATCTCATGTTGAATTGTAATTCTCAGTGTCAGAGGTGGGGCCTGGTGGGAGGTGATTGGATCATGAGGGTGGTTTTCTCATGAATGGTTTAGCCTCATGGCCCTTGGAACTGTCCTTGTGATAGTGAATTTTTGCACTATCTGGTTGTTTAAAAGTGTGTGGCATATAGCATATGTTACTTGCTATATCATTCTAATTGCCCCTCTAGGAACCAGTAAACATGATTTCTGTTTCACATAGAGACATAACTCTATGGTTAGATTTTCCTAATCTCTGGCCTCTTCAGTAAATTTAACTGATTGTCGTGTATGTCATCCCAAACTGTTTTGGTTTCATGACCATACTGATCCTTTAATCATGCCTGTAACTAACTTTACAGCTGTTCCCAATTTTACCATAGAATATAATGAAAGGCCCTCTTGAGTGACCTATCAAGCAAACGGAGCAATCCTGGACCCTACATCTTCAGTTCCCTGCTTCTTTCTAACTCCTTTGTGGAGGGGTGTGGGATTTGCTCTATACTCTAAGGTTATGAACTGTTCTGAGCCTATTGATTTCACCATAATTAACCAATGGTTTAATTTCTTCTTTTCTTTTTAAATGAAGGCAAGTTTATTAGAAAAGTAAAAGAATAAAAGAATTGCTACTCCACAGACAGAGCAGCCCCAAGGGCTGCTGGTTGCTCATTTTTATGGTTATTTCTTGATGATATGCTAAACAAGGAGTGAATTATTCATGCCTCCCCTTTTTAGACCATATAGGGTAACTTCCTGACATCACCATGGCATTTGTAAACTGTCATGGCGCTGGCAGGAGTGTAGCAGTGAGAATGACCAGAAGTCACTCTCATCACCATCTTGTTTTTGGTGGGTTTGGGCCAGCTTCTTTACTGCAACCTGTTTTATCAGCAAGGTCTTTATGACCTGTATCTTGTGCTGACCTCCTGTCTCATCCTGTGACTTAGAATGTTTAACCATCTGGGAATGCAGCCCAGTAGGTCTCAGCCTCATTTTACCCAGCCCCTATTCAAGATGGAGTTGTTTTGGTTCAAATGCCTCTGACATTTCCCTGCTCCCTTTTACAAGAGAACCCTTAATCCTAAGGGTTGCAAAGGGATGAAAATCCATCTTCTGTAACTTCTTTATGCTGAACAGGGGAGATGATATTCCTACCTAACTACTGGGTCTCTTGCATTCAGGGTAGAGAGGAGTTCGGTTAGAAAGTGTCGGTATGTTGAAGGCCATTCATAACTCTTGAGTTTCAACAAAAGGTGATATCTGGAAGATTAATAAGTGTTCAGTTTAGGGAAACATTCAGTAAGCTTGTCCTGCATTCCTACACAAAGACTATAACAGCAATATATTCAACAACAGGAAAGCAAAATAAGTAAAATTATCTCTAGTAAATTAAATTAGAAAAGGCTTTCCATGAACTGGACAATTGTTGGAACCAAGTTGATATGGGGTTGCTAGCCCATCCCAATATGTGCCCAGAATTAGAATACAGATCCAGATTTTTACATCACCCATCCCTCTTCTTTCTTCTGAATAGCAGTCAGAGGTCACTGGTTTGTTCACAGGAATAAGCAGGGTTAGTCTAAATTGAAGAAAAAAGTCCCAGAACAACTGATGAGACTAGAATCTATTAACATGTGTACCACAGTGTTCGAAAGAGTTTTTCTATCTCCAGTCTCCCATTTTTATTAAAAACAAATCATGGTAAGACCAATTTACTTTCTTATACTTGGCCTGATCATTCATATAAAGTGCAGCAAGAATAATTATTTTTAAATTAGCTTTGATGGAACTCTGTTCCATCGAAAGAATCTCAGATAAGACTTTTTTTCCATTTTTTTTTGACAGAGTCTCGCTCTGTCACCCAGGCTGGAGTGCAGTGGCATGATCTTGGCTCACTGCAACCTCCCCTCCCGGGTTCAAGCAATTCTCCGCCTCAGCCTCCCAAGTAGCTGGGATTACAGGTGCCTGCCACCACACCCAGCTAATTTTTTGTATTTTTAGTAGAGATGGGGTTTCACCATCTTGGCCAGGCAGGTCTTGAACTCCTGACCCCGTGATCTACCCGCCTCCGCCTCTGCCTCCAAAAGTGCTGGGATTATAGGCGTGAGCCCTGAAGACTTTTTTTTTTTTTAAAGCCAAGCCCAGCTGTGGGTTTATACTCTCAAATACTTACGAGTTGGGTAAATTCCTCTTCTCTTGAGGTCCTAAGATAACTGGGGGCACCTGGGCCTGTGAGAAAGTGACATGCTTTACTTACCACGGGTCAGGAACCCTGTACAGGGACTGTATAGACAACCTATGAGGCCAGTTTTCCCAAGGGGCTTTTATTGGCTCTATAAGTCAAGTTTTTTTCCTTAAAGGAAAGCACCCTATTCTCGTCAAAGCCTTGGTAAAATAACCAGTTTCCCCATATGCTCCAAATTGTGTTCATAGGTGTATACTTTACTTAATTGTTAAAAGCTTTAAATAGCTCAAAAGTTTCCTTGACTCTGGAAAACAAAACAAAGGATCAGCAACATTTTAAGCAAACAGCCAAGATTACTTCAAACTTCTATTAGCGCAATACATGCAGTTAGCTCCTGTCCTGTTTGATATTCATGAACATTTCAGCTGTCCATGAGTCCTGAAAGTTTTTCCTCTATCTGAATGTCACACTCTCCAAAGTTATCAGAAAACCTGCATTTAATAACACTTGTTAGGGTTCTATAGGTGATTATAAAACCACCTTCTGAAGAGTATTAAAACAAGATAACAATTGTCTGTGGATGACAAAATTTTAGGACAGCCACTATTAAAGCCACAATGGACAAAAAAATTTTGATTACCTCTGTGGTATACAACAATTTTACATAGCAATTATAACTATTGATAACACACACTAAGTTATATCAGAATTATAGGAGCTTCCATAATTTTGGAATACATGCCAATAACATATTTATACAAACACAGCCCAAAGAAGGCCAAACACCATTTCATATTTGACAATGCTTCCTGTATGACTTTTATACCAAATAAGCCAAAAGTCACTTTTGGACTTTAGGTGACCTAATATCTAAAAGATTAATTAGGTCAGAAAAAGACATATTTTATAATTTGATTTTGGGAAGCTTGTCAAATATCAAAGGTTTAAAACACTAGATATCACAAAATAGAATCCCAGGTGACCATAAGTCATTCATTTTGCCAAAATAATAACTTAAAAAATTTTTAAAAGGCAAAACCCCTTACTCATGAAGAGGGAAGACCTAGCTTTCCAAACAATGTCTCTTTTCTTTCCCCTCTTTTCCTGTAGTTTATTTAAAAGGCAAACAAAAATCTTTCATTATTTTTTAATAAAACATGAAAATCCTGTTCAAGAGAGAAAGCCACATTTCACCCTTTCCATTAATGCACTATTGATGTTAAACCCAATTCTTAATAAAACCTTATACACAAATCTATCCAATTTTAAAGTCTCATCATAAAGTAAGATTCTTATAAACCCTTGAAAAATTTTTGTTAAAGAGCAGATGAGTGCTTTATGAAAAGCCTGTTGTGCTTTTATTCCAATGTTCAATTTACAGAAAAACTGAATACCCTTTAATGTTAGCCAATATGTTCACACACAGAATTTCTTTTACAAGATTAATTTTTCACAAACCTTCCACAACTTGCTCAAATCTTCAGCTTTTTCCTACCTAACTTAAAACAATCCTTTAACCTTCTAAAAAAAATCCACATTCTCATGCCTTCTTTTAATCTTTTACCAAAAACACATTTCACTTTCCTTACACACCTTGCTTGTAAAACTGTTTTTATTTCCCCAAAATTACTAAAGTAATGTGAACTAAAAGGCATTATGCTTTTTATTTTTCTGATAAAATATTTAAGCACTATTTTTAAGCCAATTAATCAAAGCTCTTTCATAAACATCACACACACAACACATATAAATACACAGACAGAAGAATAACCAGTAGTTGTTAAGATTTTTCATTTGCCAGTTTCTTAAGTTTCTTTTAAAAGATGCAGTTTGTAGGGCCTATTAAGCAGGCACAGCTGAAAGGCAAAAACAGATTCCCCAAAATTAAGGTCCCATTTTTATACCAGATCCTGGATCCCAAAAAGAGGGAATTAGCCCATCTCCCATGGGACCCTTATCTCTCAGTGGGGGAATATCTCCATACCTTCCAGGTGGCCAGGAGCATGCTTTTCTAATCCAAACATGCAAAGAGCCACATATTGCCTCATGACTGCCATTAGCCATCCATAAAAGTATATTTCCTACCTTGTTATTACACAGCAAAGCTCTCTTATAATGTGAAGTAATTTCTGATACCTCAAAAAGTAAAAAACGTCAGATAATGCAATGCAAAACAGAACAGAACCTTAGATTTGGAAAGGGATCTATCTGCTTTCAATTCCTTGGGTTTTACAAAGAAAACAGAGGAGGTTTTTTCCCAAAACAGGGTCTGTGGCACCTCCTCTGTTTTTCCTCAAGAAGTCCAGGCTATTAGAGCTTGAATATCCGCTTTTAATTAAGCTGACTTTTAACCATAATGCTCTTTTTAAAAAGTTCTTTTAAATTTCTTATTACCCAACTTTAGCCAGGCCAAATGACCAATATTTCTGGCTCAGAGAAAGGAAAATTCAAGACAGTTCTTGGAGGAGAAGAGAATTAAAAAATGGTAAATCTTACCCAGATATCAATCAGAAAGGACTCATTCCCTAAGCCAGGAATTGAATCCGGGCAGCCATTATAATACGGCAAAACCTTAGCTGCCGAGCTATAGCACTGGGCAGTTTCCACTCCTCTTCTCAGAAGGAGCCTAGGACAGCCAATTTTGAGCTTGCAAAAGTTTTTAACTGCTCGAGATAATGTTTAGGGCTAACTGATATGAACCCCAAAATTCCTGTTCCCTGGATGGCAGAGACCGAGAGAAGGTACTGCCACGTGTTACAAAGTCAAGCTCTCAAGGACATTTTTCAACATGTAGTCTCGGCATAAGCTGAAAGCATTCCCCTTGAGAATTGCAATGAGACAAGAATGCCCTCTCCCACCACTGCTATTCAACATAGCACTGGAAGTCCTCGCCAGAGCAATCAGGCAAGAGAAGTAAATAAAAGCATCCAAATAGGAAGAGAGGAAGTCAAACTATCTCTCTTCGCAAATGATATAATTTTAAACCAAGGAAACTCCGTAGTCTCTGCCCAAAGGCTCCTAGATCTGACAAACTACTTCAGCAAAGTTTCAGGATACAATAATCAGTAGTATTTCTAGACATCAATAACATCCAAGCTGAAAGCCCAGTGAAGAATGCAATCCCATTCACAATTGCCACAAAATGAAGAAAATGCCTATAGGGATACAGCTAACCAGGGAGGTGAAAGATCTCTACAAGGAAAATTACAAAACATTGCTCAAAGATATCAGAGATGACACAAACAAATGGAAAGACATTCCATCCTCATGAATGGGAAGAATCAATATCATTAAAATGACCATACTGCCCAAAGCAATTTGCAGATTCAATGCTATTACTATCAAACTACTAATGTCATTTTTCTCAGAATTAGAAAAAAAGCAAAACGAACAAAGCCAGAGGTATCACACTACCCGACTTCAAACTCTACTACATTTACAAAACCATATGGTACTGATACAAAACAGGCACTTAGACGAATGGAACAGGATAGGGATCCCAGAAATAAAGTGGCACACTTACAACCATCTCATCTTCAACAAAGTTGAGAAAAACAGCAATGAGGAAAGGAACCCCTATTCAGTAAATCATGCAGGAATAATTGGCTAGCCATATGCAGAAGACTGAAACAGGATCCATTTCTTTCACCATATACAAAAACCAACTCAAGAGGAATTAAAACTTAAATGTAAGACTTAAGCTATAAAAATTGTAGAATAAAATCTGGGAAATAACATTCTAGACACAGGCATTACCAGAATCTCTGGGATACATTTAAAGCAGTGTGTAGAGGGAAATTTATAGCACTAAATGCCCACAAGAGAAAGCAGGAAAGATCTAAAATTGACACCCTAACATTCACAATTAAAAGAACTGGAGAAGCAAGAGCAAACACATTCAAAAGCTAGCAGAAGGCAAGAAATAACTAAGATCAGAGCAGAACTGAAGGAAATAGAGACACAAAAAACCCTTCAAAAAATCAATGAATCCAGGAGCTGGTTTTTTGAAAAGATCAACGAAATTGATAGACTGCTAGCAAGACTAATAAAGAAGAAAAGAAAGAAGAATCAAATAGACGCAATAAAAAATGATAAAGGAGATATCACTACCCATCCCACAGAAATACAAACTACCATCAGAGAATACTATAAACACCTCTACGCAAATAAACTAGAAAATCTAGAAGAAATGGATAAATTCCTGGACACATACACCCACCCAAGACTAAACCAGGAGGAAGTTGAATCCCTGAATAGACCAATAACAGACTCTGAAATTGAGGCAATAATTAATAGCCTACCAACCAGAAAAAGTCCAGGACCAGACGGATTCACAGCCGAATTCTACCAGAGGTACAAGCAGGAACTGGTACCATTCCTTCAGAAAATATTCCAATCAATAGAAAAAGAGGGAATCCTCCCTAACTCATTTTATGAGGCCAGCATCATCCTGATACCAAAGCCTGGCAGAGACACAACAAAAAAAGAGAATTTTAGACCAATATCCCTGATGAACATCGATGTAAAAATTCTCAATAAAATACTGGCAAACAGAATCCAGCAGCAAATCAAAAAGCTTATCCACCACGATCAAGTGGGCTTCATCCCAGGGATGCAAGGCTGGTTCAACATACACAAATCAATAAATGTAATCCAGCATATAAACAGAACCAAAGACAAAAACCACATGATTATCTCAATAGATGCAGAAAAGGCCTTTGACAAAATTCAACAGCCCTTCATGCTAAAATCTCTCAATAAATTAGGTATTGATGGGACGTATCTCAAAATAATAAGAGCTACTTATGACAAACCCACAGCCAATATCATACTGAATGGGTAAAAACTGGAAGCATTCCCTTTGAAAACTGGCACAAGAGAGGGATGCCCTCTCTCACCACTCCTGTTCAACATAGTGTTGGAAGTTCTGGCCAGGGCAATCAGGCAGGAAAAAGAAATGAAGGGTATTCAGTTAGGAAAAGAGGAAGTCAAACTGTCCCTGTTTGCAGATGATATGATTGTATATTTAGAAAACCCCATCATCTCAGCCCAAGATCTCCTTAAGCTGATAAGCAACTTCAGCAAAGTCTCAGGATACGAAATTAATGTGCAAAAATCACAAGCATCCTTATACACCAATAACAGACAAACAGAGAGCCAAATCATGAGTGAACTCCCATTCACAATTGCTTCAAAGAGAATAAAATACCTAGGAATCCAACTTACAAGAGATGTGAAGGACCTCTTCAAGGAGAACTACAAACCACTGCTCAACGAAATAAAAGAGGACACAAACAAATGGAAGAACATTCCATGCTCATGGGTAGGAAGAATCAATATTGTGAAAATGGCCATACTGCCCAAGGTAATTTATAGATTCAATGCCATCCTCATCAAGTTACCAATGACTTTCTTCACAGAACTGAAAACAACTACTTTAAAGTTCATATGGAACCAAAAAAGAGCCTGCATTGTCAAGACAATCCTAAGCCAAAAGAACAAAGCTGGAGGCATCACGCTACCTGACTTCAAACTATACTACAAAGCTACAGTAATCAAAACAGCATGGTACTGGTACCAAAACAGAGATATAGACCAATGGAACAGAACAGAGCCCTCAGAAATAATACTACACACCGACAACCATCTGATCTTTGACAAACCTGACAAAAACAAGCAATGGGGAAAGGATTCCCTATTTAATAAATGGTGCTGGGAAAACTGGCTAGCCATATATAGAAAGCTGAAACTGGATCCCTTCCTTACACCTTATACAAAAATTAATTCAAGATGGATTAAAGACTTAAATGTTAGACCTAAAACCAAAAACCCTAGAAGAAAACCTAGGCAATACCATTCAAGACATAGGCATGGGCAAAGACTTCATGTCTAAAACACCAAAAGCAATGGCAACAAAAGCCAAAATTGACAAATGGGATCTAATTAAACTAAAGAGCTTCTGCACAGCAAAAGAAACTACCATCAGAGTGAACAGGCAATCTACAGAACGGGAGAAAATTTTTGTAATCTACTCATCTGACAAAGGGCTAATATCCAGAATCTACAAAGAACTCAAACAAATTTACAAGAAAAAACAACCCCATCAAAAAGTGGGCAAAGGATATGAACAGACACTTCTCAAAAGAAGACATTTATGCAGCCAAAAGACACATGAAAAAATGCTCATCATCACTGGCCATCAGAGAAATGCAAATCAAAACCACAATGAGATACCATCTCACACCAGTTAGAATGGCAATCATTAAAAAGTCAGGAAACAACAGGTGCTGGAGAGGATGTGGAGAAATAGGAACAATTTTACATTGTTGGTGGGACTGTAAACTAATTCAACCATTGTGGAAGTCAGTGTGGTGATTCCTCAAGGATCTAGAACTAGAAATACCATTTGACCCAGCCATCCCATTACTGGGTATATACCCAAAGGATTATAAATCATGCTGCTATAAAGACACATGCACACGTATGTTTATTGCGGCACTATTCACAATAGCAAAGACTTGGAACCAACCCAAATGTCCAACAATGATAGCCTGGATTAAGAAAATGTGGCACATATACACCATGGAATACTATGCAGCCATAAAAAAGGATGAGTTCATGTCCTTTGTAGGGACATGGATGAAGCTGGAAGCCATCATTCTCAGCAAACTATTGTAAGGACAGAAACCCGCATGTTCTCACTCATAGGTGGGAATTGAACAATGAGAACACTTGGACACAGGAAGGGGAACATCACACACCAGGGCCTGTCGTGGGGTGGGGGGAAGGGGGAGGGATAGCATTAGGAGATATACCTAATATAAATGACTAGTTAATGGGTGCAGCACACCAACATGGCACACGTATACATATGTAACAAACCTGCCCATTGTGCACAGGTACCCTAGAACTTAAAGTATAATTAAAAAATGCAATTCTTATAATATTCAATTTAAAAAAAAAACAAACTATCCTTTGACCCAGCAACCTCATTACTGGGTATATATCCAAAGAAATATAAATTGTTCTATGATAAAGACACCTGCACGTGTATGTTCTCTGCAGTGCTATTCAGTATAGCAAAGACACAGAATCAACCTAAATGCCCATCAATTGTAGACTGGATAAATAAAACATGGTACATATACACCATGGAATACTATACAGCCATAAAATGAATAAAATCTGTTCTTTGTAGCAACATGAATGGACTGGATGCTGTTATCCGAAGTGAATTGATGTGGGAAGGTAAAAGCAAATACCACATGTTCTCACTTATAAGTGGGAGGTAAACACTGAGTACACATGGACATAAAAAAGGGGACAATAGACACTGGGACCTACTTGAGAGTGGAGGGTAGAAGGAGGGTGACAAGTGAGAAACTACCTACTGAGTACTATGCTCATTACCTGCGTTACAAAACAATCTGTACACCAAACTGCCATGACACCCAATTTACCCATGTAACAAACCTGCACATGTACCCCCTGAACTTAAAAGTTCGAAAGCAAAAACAAAACAAAACACACAAAAACCACAATAGCCCAGGACGCTAGAATCACAGGATGTTTTGTTCCCTTATAGAAACTAAAGATAACATCTTCACATATGTCTCTAAGTTGTTTTTCAGAAACTTGGACCCCCACCAAATGGATGCTGTGGCATGCAAACCTCAGAAAAGGTAGAGCTGTGGACTGAACTCTGACCACCCCTCTTTGTTCCAAATTTCTTCATGAGGGGCCTGGAGAAAGTTACAGCCCACCCACGAGCCAGAGCTAGCATTCTTTTCTGCTGACCCCAAAATTTTAAACAAAGTTTCTCAACCAACTGCAAATCAGAAAATCTCTGTATCTATTTACAGCCTTTAAGCCCTCACTTCAAGATATCCCCCTCACTTCAAGATATCCCATCCTTTTAGGCCAAAACCAACGTGTAACCTCCATGTATATTGATTTATGAATTGGCCTGTAACTTTTGCTTTCGTGAAATTTACTCCTGCCTTTAAAAGCCCTTACCTGCAAGCCGCTGGAGAGGCCTGGATTTGAGCATTAGCTGCCTGATCCTCCTTGCTTAGTGCCCTGCAAATAAGCACCTTCATTTCTACCACTGCAAACCTTGGTGTGGATATCTGGTTTTACTGTGCCAGGTGAGCGGACCCCAGTTCAGTTTGATAACAAAAGGATAAACTTTTCAATAAATTGTATGGAAACCTGTATATCCACATGCAAAAAAGAGAAATTAGACCCTTCTCTTACACCATACACAATAGTGAATTCAAAATGGATTAAAGACTTAAATGTAAGCCCTGATACCACAAAATTCCTAAAATAAAACCCAAGGGGAAAGCTCCTTGACATTGATCTTGACAATTATAGTTTGAATATGACACCAAAAGCTCAGGCAACAAAAGCAAAAATAAATAAGCGGGACTACATCAAACCAAAAAGCTTCTGCACAGCAAAGGAAACAACAAAATGAAAAGGCAGACTACAGAATTGAAGAAAATATTTGTAAGCCATGTATCAGATAAGGAGTTACTATCTAAAATATATAAGGAGCTCATATAACTCAATAGCAAAAACCAAATAACCCAATTATAAAATGTACAAAGGACCCAATAGACATTTTTTCATAGAAGACATACAAATGGCCAACAGGCACATGAAAGGGTGCTCAGCATCACTGATCATCAGGGAAATGCCAATCATAAACACTGTGAGGTATCACTTACATCTGTTAGGATAGCTATTATCAAAATGTCAAAAGACAACATGTGTTGGTAAGGATGTGGAGAAAAGGAAACTCCTGTACACTGTTGATGGGGATGTAGCTTGGTGCAGCCATTAGGAAATAAGTATGGAGGTTCCTCAGAAAATTAGAAATATAATGGCCATATGACCCAACAATCCAACTTCTGGGTATATATCCAGAGGGATTTATTTTTATGTATTAGTTAATGGTGCAGCATATCTGCTGGCATGCTGACGACTACTCCTGTCTTCACCTGGATATCCACACCAGCTTCTCAGACTCTTTGTCTCCTTTCTTGACTGGGGAAATTGAGGTTCATGGTGGTGAGTTACACGCTCTTATGGAATTCAGTGACCAGACACTTGTCTCTTGTAACATGGTACTAAAGAGTTTTATTCTGGCAAAACAACTTTTCTTTGCACCTTCCATGAGGCATCTTCTATTGTTCCTAGGCTCCCCTAACCTGGGCATTTTGTGGGAATTTCATTGGCTACCTGGTACCTGGAAACTGTGCAAGGAGATTCCCTCCACTCTTCAACCCAGAGATTGAGAGGGGTTCCCTTGGCTTTCTGAACCCAGAGATTCGATGGGAGGGTTCCCTTGCCTCTCTGAATCTGGAAATCGAGAAGGGTGGTAGTGGGTCCCTTGGCTCTTGGAACCCAGAAATTGGGGAGGGGATCCTTAGGCTTCTGAATTCAAGGACTGTGTGGGGTGTTCTCTTCGTTCTCAGACACAGGGAGTGTGAAAAATTAAGTAAGTGGGACTACTTTCTGGTCACTTACAAGTTTTTCTTCTCTTTAGTTTAACTATTTGTTAATTCTATGGGTAATTCTTACTGTGTCAGTCGCCTTTTCTCCTTTCTTCCCCGCTGTTTACATGCTTAGCCATAAAGGCACTGACTCAGTTCACTAGCTCCAGAAATGGCAAAATTTTACAGCCAATTTGGAACTGCAATGGCCTCTTTGAGAACTTGGGGTCTCCCTAAACCGGCTTATCTAAGATTTCCCGCTTCTTGTCACTCTCCCCCTCCCTCATCCCTCCTCCCTCCTGTTCACCACCTTGGACCTTTCCTTCAGCTCCCTGAATTTTTTCATCTGTCCCCTTCAACACCTCTACTTCCTGCACCCCTCTATCCACTCTTCAGCAGGCCTTTCCATTCCCACTCAGGCCTCTTAGCTGCCTATAGTCACTAGGGCTTCAGGCACCCTTCCCCCATCGAGGGCTCGCCAGGTGCTCAGGGACCTCAAAATCAATCACTCAAGGATGAAAAGGCTCACTGGGACCACTGTGGATATTATATCCACTCAGATGGATTTTTGAGACATCCAGACATCCACTTGATGTCTCTTTGGTCCCTCACCCAAAATTTAGTCTATAGCTTCTTATTGGATTATACATCAGGGCAAAAGAAAATCTTACAAATCTCCTTTACAAATATTAGTGGGATGCTTCAGCCTTCTTATTGAGCAGGTAACCCCGTCTTGTCCCATCTACCAAAAACACAATCTTCGTCAAAATTTAAAGGTGTGGGAGGCTGAGGCAGGAGAATGGCGTGAACCCGGGAGGCGGAGCTTGCAGTGAGCCGAGATCCCGCCACTGCACTCCAGCCTGGGCGACAGAGCGAGACTCCGTCTCAAAAAAAAAAAAAAAAAAAAAAAAAAAAAAAAAAATTTAAAGCTGTGTCAAAGATGAAAGCCAATTAAAAAAATTAAACCGTGAGTTTTGTATTTTTGTGTTTATGCCTGAGTCCTGGCTGAAAATTTAGAAATAAAGCCATAAGATCTGTATTTGTATCTGTGTGTATGTTTATGTATACATGTATGTATGTATATGTGTATGTTATGTATATGTGATATTTTCCTGACTATAGATGGTATTACCAAACAAACTTATAAATCCTTTAAAGGAGCTCCATTCTAGGTATCCTGGAGATAAATAAGCACTTATATAAATTAAACTAAAACTCTCAAGAATTTAGAAACTAACCCAAATGCTTTAAAAACTCAACATCACATCATTTAGTAAATCTTTGATAAAGAAGAGTTAGCTTAAGGCCAGACCCAGTGGGTCATGCATGTAATCCTAGCACTTTGAGAGGCCAAAACAGGAAGGTTACTTGAGGCCAGGAGTTCGAGACCAGCCTTAGCAACATAGCGATACCCTGTTTCTACCAAAAATTTAAAAAGTAGCTGGACATGGTGTTATGCACCTGTAGTCCTAGCTGCTCAGAAGGCTGAGGTGGGAGGATTGCTGGAACCCAGCCTGGATGACAGAGAGAAACTCCGTCTCTAAATAGATGTAGATATAGTTGTAAATAGATATCTGCTTTAATAAAAACAGCTATGTCTCTGAGTTATCAGCATTAAGCATAATACAAACATACATATTTATATTACCTGGGTATGTTCTTACTAAGCTTATATAGGCTTCCTAGTCAAAAAGTTAACACTGTATCTGTTAGATATTTAAGATTTCACAGAATATAAATTTGAGTTTAATCGAGTCATTATTCTGATGATAACTTTTATTTCAACAATATTTATAATATGGTTAAAAACAGTTTCCAATTTTTAGGGGATAACTTACAACCTTATGTTATGCTAAATTAAGTAATAGATATTCATTAAATGGCTAGATTATTTCTAAGTAAAAATACTGAAATATTAATTACTATGCATAAATTTATATTTGTATTTATATTATTTTTCCTTCTGGTCTTTATATGGTACAGAGAGGCTAAATATTTTTTGGAGCTGGGTGCGGTGGCTCATGCTTGTAATCCCAGAACTTTGGGAGGCCAAGACAGGAAGATTCCTTGAGGCCAGGAGTTTGATACCAGCCTAGGAAACATAGAGAGACACCATTTCTACCAAAAAAAAGGAAAAATATCTGGGCCTAGTGACTTGGGCCTGTGTTCCTAGCCACTCAGGAGGCTGAGGCAGGAGGATAGGTTGAGCCCAAAAGGTCAAGGCTGCAGTGAGCTGTAACTGTATCCCTGTACTCCAGCCTGGGCAACAGAGTGAAACCCTGTCTCGAAAAAAAAAAAAAAAGACTATGATACTGGCATCAATGAAATAGAATTTAGAGTCTATAAATAAAACCGTATATATATTGTCAAGTGAACTTTTGACAAGGACACCAAAACCATTCTATGGGAAAAAAAAATCTTGTCAACAAATGGTGCTAAGACAACTGTATTTCCACTTGTAAAACAGTTAATTCAGACCCCCACCTCACATCCTATATAAACTCAAAATGAACTAAACACCTAAATCGAAGGGCTCAAACTACAGCCCTCTTAGAAGAAAACATAGATGTTGATCTTCATGAACTTGGATTAGGCAATGGTTTCTTAGATATGACACCACAAGCAACCAAAGGAAAGAATAGATAAATTGGACTTCATACAAAACAAAAACAAAAACAAAAACAAAAACGTTCGTGCATCTAAGGACACTATCAAGAAAGGGGAGGAAAGGGTTGCAGGTCTTCTGCCCTCTGGGCAAGCTCAGTGCATATGCTGATGACAGCAGCCAGTGGGGAATGATGACTGATATCCTTTCTACTGCTTTGGGCTTGGAGGAATGGCTCTTCCTTGCTCAGCCTGGGATGAGCTACACTTTTACCACAGGTCTCAGTGGGTGCAACATGAGTATCAAAGGAGCCACAGTCCCCCCACTTCCCACAGAGGGAGAGAGCCATGGAGTATTTCCTCCTCAGGACTGGGTGTAGTGAAGTTCCAGTTCTTAGGAGCTTATATGTATTATTTTCCATGTGCAAACCGTGGAGCCATACCACTATACCAAGTTCTTACCACCTACTCACTTCTGTTATATCACTATCCACTGGGTCCCTTATTTCTGTCAGCTGCTTTTGTTACCTTTCCCCAGGTGCCACCATGTAAGCTGTGATAGCACTGCAGATAGAACAGAAAATGTTTCTGTGAGCATAAATATGTCCAGTCTTGCTGGTCTATCACCATGTGGTATCTCCAGGAGAGACTGATACATACTGTGGACAATTATGGTAATAAATATGGATACAAAATTCCTCTGTGTTTTAGGATAAATTTTGTTACTGAACACTCAATTGCATATGCACCTTGTCCACTGAATCCAAATTAACTCCTCGAGCCTAGTTGTGCAATATCCCATTGTTCTAGCATTCTACATTACGATGCAATTTTTGTTATTAATAGCAGATTTGGGATGAGGTTATCACCTCACTTGGTGATAACCCAATATACATCTCAGAAAAATGTCCAATGAACCAGGTCTACACAACTTTCCCATTGACAAACCTGGCACTTAATTGTGTCCACTTGTTATTTGTAAAGCCAGGGAGCAAAAGTAAGCCACCAATATGAACATCCCTAGCTCTACAGAAATGGAACTTAGGGAAATTATAAATCCACTAGGGTCACCTTCCCTCTCAAGTCAAAATTTCAAGTGCACCGAATACCCCTACCACCTAGTTTCTAGGATTAAAAGAGATCACTTAAAATGTCTCAAGAAGAAGAACTCCAGACCCATTTCTTTGTGGGTTTGGAGTAGACTTGTTCTGGTTAGGATGTAGGTCATGACAGAGCATTAATCTCATTGTAACAACTATAAAAAAATCAGATGGTCAAAAATCTCATATATATTGAGACAGTGTCTCACTCTGTCACCTCAGCTGTAGTGAAGTGGTACAGTCTCAGCTCACTGCAACCTCCGTCTCCCTGGCTCAGAGGATCTTCCCACCTCAGCCTCCTGAGAAGTGGGACTACAGGTGCACGCCACCATGCTTGGCTAATTTTTGGGTTTTTGTAGTGACGGGTTTTTGCCATGCTGCCCAGGCTGGTCTCAAACTCCTGGACTCAAGTGATCCGGCCGCCTTGGCCTCCCAAAGTGCTGGCATTACAGGCATGAGCCACCGTGCCCTGCCTGAAGTCTAAAGTAACTAAATTTCAGAGAGAGACAAACACATATCAATGGCCATTGTCCTCTCCGGTAAGAATGGTCTTACAAGGCAGAGGATTGTGCCGGCCATAGGTGCAATAATTGCTGGGATAAAGACAGTTAATGACTGTGTGGCCTGGGTAGACACATTGGAATCTGTAGGAGCCCCAAATGCATACCTAGTTCTCCCCATCAATGGATTCTCCTAATGAGTTTTTTTTCTGAGTGCGTGGTGACAGAAGTAATATGGCAGGCTGGGGTGAGACAGAGAGAGAGAGAGAGAGAGAGAGAATCAATCTTGTATTTAGGCCCCAAAGTTCTGCTTGACTCTAGCAACTGGAGGAAGCAGCCTTTAACACAAATCCTATCTTCAGGGTGTTTGAAATCTAATACTAATACTAACTAAAGATGTATGCAAGCCATGGTACAGCTCGAATTCTGATTGGATTGAAGTTATATACCTCAGGGAAACTATAGTACCTAACCAAGGAAAGAGTGTACTCTAATCCCTATGGTTCTTTGAAGCACAATGCCTGACATGCAACTTTTAAAAACCCAGAACATGTGAAGTAACAGGGAAATGTGACCCATGATCGACAGTAATTGGCATGTCATCACTTCTCTCATGTTCCATTTTCCAAAGCAAGTCTCTAGGCCAGCCTAGATTCCAGAGGTAGGGAAACTGACTCTAACTTGTGATAGAAGGAGTTTTGAAATCATATTACAAATGGAGAACCAGGGACATTAAAAAATCAATCCCAACACTTTGGGAGGTCAAGGCAGGCCAATCACGAGGTCAGGAGATCGAGACCATCCTGACTAACACGGTGAAAACCTGTCTCTACTAAAAATGCAAAAAATTAGCTAGGCGTGGTGGCACGCACCTGTAGTCCCAGCTACTCGGGAGGCTGAGGCAGGAGAATCGCTTGAACCCAGGAGGCGGAGCTTGCAGTGAGCCGAAATCACGCCACTGCACTCCAGCCTGGGTGACAGAGCAAGACTCCATCTCTCTCTCTCTCTCTCCCTCCCTCTCTCCCTCTCTCTCTCTACTCTCTCTCTCTCTCTCTATATATATATAGAGAGAGATTTATATATATATTTTTATATACGTATATATATGTGTGTGTATATATATGTGTATATATATGTGTATATGTGTGTATATGTATATGTATATATATGTGTGTATATATATGTGTATATATATGTGTATATGTGTGTATATGTATATGTATATATATGTGTGTATATATATGTGTATATATATGTGTATATGTGTGTATATGTATATGTATATATGTGTGTATATATATATAAATCTACTACAAGAGTTCACAGGCAAGTCCCTCACCTACACTTTGTCACATGTGGTCTGCTTCTGCCCCTCGTACCCTTACTCTCTTACTCTTCCTGTTGTTCCTATTGGTGGCTGGGGAAGTGACGTGAGGGCAGTGGTGCCTGTGCAGCAGTGCTCAAGGATGCATCAAGGGTTCACTCTCAGGAAACTCCCAAAGCTGCTGGCCAGATGGGTAGCCAGTCCTAGACATGGCAGAGACTGGCTGAGTTTCCCAAATGCCTCTCTTGACCAAGGCCTGCAGAAACAGAAAGTCATATTTTCACATTGGCCAATCCTTGCATTCCTCAGGAAAATGGTTCCAATGTTCCCACTCACATCCTGCTTTTTCTCAGAGCTCAGACCTGGGACCACTGAGCTGGCTGCCACAACCAGCCTCCAATACCCACACCATTCTTGGCCACACCACCCTTTTTCATTCCTGTGCCCTTGTGGTTATTTACTGAAGGCTTACCGTGTGTCTAATAGAAGGTAAAGCTCCATGACTCCCCTGCAAGAAAAATGTTCTTATTGCTCATTTACAGATGAGAAACAGAGATGTTCAGTGGTTTGTGCAAAGCCACCCAGCTGCTAGGTGAAGCCAGCTTTGCCTGCTTCCAAAGGCCGTACACACTCTTTCCAATGCAATGGCTTCCTAGGTGGTGAAGGCTGGCTTTGTAGCCTAAGAACTATGATGAGGCTCTTGAGTCAGGAACAGCTAGCCTCTTCCTGTTGTGGAGATTCCTGCAATGAGGAGGTAGGCCTGTGAATGTAGTGATTTGGGGGACCTAGTCTGGAGTCCTAGTACCTGGCTGTCCACCAACTCCCAGCTTCCAGACGCTGCCCCTAAGCATAAGCTTCCTCTCTGCCAGTTTCCAATCCCCTTTCTCTCTCAACACTTCCACTAGGCCATTTTGATGGTTGGGCCTGTTGCCCCCGGAGGCACATCAAGCCCTTACCGCGCAGGTCCCGATCCCAGGGCAACACGGATGCCTCCCCCTGTTTAGCTATTTGCCTCCCACAGAGACTCTGAGATTTTTCTCCCTCATCTATCTGAGGCTTCTGGGAGAAGTTGGAAGCCCACGTGCCCTTAGTACAGCTGGCCTGAGATATCCCTGCCCTGTGCAGTCCCAGATGGGCTGCTGGGGCGCGATCTTCCACCTTCCCATTCCAGGGCCTCAAGGCGGCCTCCAGAGTGGGCTCCACAGCCTGAAGGTGGCATTTCCCCGTGGGTGGTTGCAGTGTCTGCAGACAGTGAGCAGGCACCAGCGGGACCCCAGAGTGGCTGAGGGCACACTGGGCAGGAGCCAGATCGCTGTCCCCCCAGGCAGTAGGTGCGACAGCGGGTCCTGGTCTGGAGCCTGAGGAGAGGGGAGGAGGGTCTCCTTGCTGCAGGAGTCTGGGTGGGGTGAGCTCCTGGCTGCAGGGCACCTCTGGCTACAGAAGGGGACGATGGGAGAGAGAGGGGCTCTGGCTGTGGGGGAAGGGGACTCCTGGCTGCTGATGTGGGAGGCGTGGGAGGGGGTTGCCAGGTTGCAGGGAGGATGGCATTAGGGAGAGGGCTCCTGGTCAAGTGCTGGGAAAAAGAGGAGGTGGGCACATCCAGCTGCAGGGTTGCACATGATGGTTGGAGGGGCTCCAGCTGTAAGTTTTGTGATCAGGGGCTGTTCACCAGGTGAAAGAGGCGCTTCCTGCTGTGGAGGTGGGGGGTGCAGTGAAGGACTCTGAGCTGCAGCAGTAGGGGTGGGGGAGCATGGGCTGTGACACTGGGCAGGGGAGATGCTTCAGGCCCTGCATTTGGGAGTGGCTGGTCTCTGGCTGTGCGGTGGGGGTGGGCTGACTGGCAGCAACGTCCCTCTCTCCCCTTTGCACTCACAGGCTGCGTCAGAGACTGCAACAGTCAGCACACATTCCTGTCTGATCAGGCTCCCTCCCTCAAGTCCTCTGCGATGGCTCTGGCGATGCTTCGGGACTGGTGCAGGAGGATGGGTGTGAACGCAGAGCGCTCTCTGCTCATCCTGGATATCCCTGACGACTGCGAGGAACATGAGTTCCAGGAGGCCGTGCGGGCTGCCCTGTCGCCCCTGGGCAGGTACCGAGTGCTCATCAAGGTCTTCAGAAAGGAGCTCGGGGCCAGGGCAGCCTTGGTGGAATTCGCTGAGGGTTTAAACCAAAGCTTGATTCCCCGCCAAATAGCAGGCAAAGGGGGACCCTGGAAAGTGATCTCCCTGCCCCAGGCCCTTGATGCTGAGTTTCAGGATATACCCAGTTTCCCTGCATAGCCCCAGGGGCAAGCAGTGGCCAGAGGTGCAGGTGAGGCAGGAGCTGCAGGTGAGGCAGGATCTGTAGGTGAGGCAGGAGGTGTGAATGAGGAAAGATCTGCAGGTGAGGCAGGAGCTGCAGGTGAGGAAGAAGAGGCAGGTGATGGAGGAGCTGCAGGTGCAGCAGGAGCCATAGGTGAAACAGGAGCTGTGGGTAAGGGTGAGGCAGAAGCCACAGGTGAGGGAGGATCTGCAAGTGAGGCAGAAGGTGCAGGTGAGGGAGGAGCTGGAGATGAGTTGAGAGTTGCAGAAGAGGCAAGAGAGTCAGATGAGGGAGCCGCAGGTGATACAGGACCTGCAGGTGAGGCAGGAGCTGTGGGTGAGGCAGGAGCTGTGGGTGAGGCAGGAGCTGCGGGTGAGGCAGGAGCTGTGGGTGAGGCAAGAGGGACAAATGTAACAAGAGCCTGGGTCCAGCCTCGGCGCTGCACCCTGCAGGCTGTGCTGGAAAACAGGGCCTACCAGGAACTGAGACCCTTTTCAGGGAGGGAGCAGCCAGGCTGCGAGGAAGAGTCCTTTGAGAGCTGGATGGAGCACGCCAAGGATATGCTGCAGCTGTGGTACCATGCGTCGGAAAGGGAGAGGAAGAGATGGCTGCTGGAGAGCTTGGGTGGCCCAGCCCTGGACGTTGTGAGCGGCCTCCTAGAGGAAGATCCCAACTTGGCGGCACTGGACTGCCAGGCGCTGCTGGACTGCTGGGCAGCGGTGCTGGGGCAGGCGTTTGGAAACCGGGACCCTCGAATGACTTCCAGGCTGAAGTTCCTGACCTGAACGCAGGGGCCCTTTGCCTTCCTGGTATGCCTGGAAGGCCTGCTGCAGATGGCCCTGGAGAAGGGGGCCGTCTGCCCGGCCCTGGCCAACCACCTGTGACTGCGGTAGGTGCAGCCTCAGGCCTGCCCTGGCGAAGCACTCCAGAATACCCTGAGGGGGATGCACTGGAGAGGAGGCCGCCCTACTTCCTGGGGCTGCTTCAGCTCATCCAGGAGATGGAGGCGTGGGCGGCCTCCCCAGTGAGGAGCCAGCATGTTGTGGCCTGGCCAGTGGCCACAGTGGAAAGTGAAGATCCAGTTGCCGCCCAGGCAGCTCCTGCCTGTGGAGATGCTGCTCAGGCCTCCTCAGCCCAGGAAGACGCCAGCCAGGCTGACCCTGGCGTGGAAGATGCTGCTGAGACTGCTCCTGCCACCAAAGAGGCCGCCAGGAGCACCCCTGCCATTAGGGAAGGTGAAAATGCCCCTGCAGGCCTCGAAGGAGCCAGAGGGTCTTGTCCAGGCAGGAGGCCAGGAGGCTGAGGAGCCCCCCGACCCAAGGGGGTCTTATGTTCATACTGGAGGAGTTGGAAAATGAGGATGGGGCCAGGAAGGTTGGTCAGCCCAAATCCTCCCCAGGCAAATAGGCTCAGAGGGCCCCAGGGCCTCCTCTCCTCTCAGGCCGCAGCATCCTGGAGGCAGTGGGGAGGCCAGGCCAGGGCTGGTCCCTCATCCCACATCAGGATCGGGGCCCCCCACCTCCCTCCAAAGGGCCCTGGCCACCACCATCAGCCCTTCCCGGTGACCCAGATGACCACGTTGATACCAAATGGGGTTGGGGGAGGCACCCCTGCTTTGCACCCAGTGCTGCACCCAGCCCCAGCCCCAAACCCTGCCGTCTCTGGGGGGCTGGCCAGGAGGGAGCCCTGAGTGGCCAGCTGCGACCTGGGTGGGGGCACCTGAAGATGTCTGTCCCCCACCCCTTGTCCTGGGTTGGGAGAGACAGGGGAAAGAGGTCCTCTCAAGGGTGCCAGCTGCCTGGGTCTCCCAAGAGGGTTGCCCCATTTGCCGTCCCCGGGGCAGGCTGCCCCCTGTTCTGGGAAGCCCACCCTCACCTGTTTAGGCCCCGTAGTGACCCACGCGCCCAGCAGACGCCCACCCACTGCTAGCTGTCGTTCCTGTGCAAAGTTGTGTGTTGTGCACCCACCCGGGCGGCCGCCACTAGGCCCGGGGCATGTGCTGTGAGCTTCCTGTGAGCCCAGGTTCTGCTCACTGCTGTCTGTCCTGCATCTTAAACACCACCTCTGCTTTCCTGGTGTAGATCTAGGCCAGTGGCTGCTTGTTCTCGTGGAGCTGTGTGTGTTCTTCTCTGAGCTGCTCCTCCCCGGAGGCCCCCAGCACAGACCCAGGAGATGGCGGGAAGGAGGAACCAGGGCGCGGCCAATGCTCACCCTGTGACCACGATGGTAACCATGACTGTGGGAGGAAGAGCCGGACCCGGGACGGAGTGGGGCTGCCCTGCCTGAGGCTCCCAGGAGAGCTTTATGCTTTGGCATTCCACCCCTGTTGTTACTTGTGACTGTTTCCTCGACCTGGTGGGCTGTTCCCTGCTGTGTTTACTGGTGTCCTGTGACTGTCTGTGATGACTATAGGGCAGGGCCCTGCCCCAGCAGATGGGCTTGGGAGGGGGCTCCCTGAAGCCGGTGGACACTGCCAGAGTCCACGTCCTGGCAAGAGGCGGGCCCTGGGGCCCTCGGGAAGGAGGGAGGTAGCAGTGGGGTCGGCAGCAGGACGGGGGTAGACGAGGCGCCTTGCCAGGAACCCCAGGAGGAGGGATCCTAGGACCTGTGTCCTGTAGTGGCTGTTTGCAGTTTCTCTCTGTGTTGTGGTTCCCTTCTTTTCAGTGATTTCGGTACACGTTTCTCTTCAATAAATTTCATTCCATTTTCCAGCCGGTCTCGCCTCTGCTGTGGGAAACTAGTGGGAAAGGTCTCTTTGGGATAAAATGGAAGTTGGGGGACAACAGTGGCCTGGAATTCTGACCCTATTGTGCTCACTGGGATACGGTCAGGGCATAGTAGGCCAGCGATTGTAGAGAATGACCTAACTGCGATGGTGGTTCCAACCCAGAGTCAGTGGCTTATGAGGATGAGGAAAGAAACCAAGCTGAACATGCTGGATGGTGCCAGTTGACGGAACACTGCCGTGCGAGGGCAATGTGTGGCTTGCTCCCCAGGGCATGCATGGAGGCTCCCAGAACGAAGTGCATAAGACGTGGAAGGGCAGGCAGGGGACAGCAGGCTGGGGCGGAGGCCTGGGTTGAAGCTCTAGCATAGACATCTTTTTAACTGTTCCTCAGTTCCTCATGTTTATCCTGTGTGTGGAGCTTTCACCATCTCTTTGGAAAGACAGAAGAGATGGATAAGGAAAAGGAGTAGAACAGAGCGGCACCCCTTGCCTTCCCCAGAGTCTGGGTAGCGGGCGCAGGACGTGTCGCCTGTCCAAATGCGCAACTTTCACCAGTGTACGCTACGCGTGCGCGCCTGTGCACCTTGACGAGCACGCAGCCGTCATGAGTGCGCCTGGGCACGCCGCCATTTCCTGCAGCCGCGACAGCACGGTCGTATATTTCCGGTTGTCATTTTATTCTTTTTGAGAAATGGTCTCGCTCTGTTGCCCAGGGTGGAGTGTAGTGGCGCTGTCATAGCTCACTGCAACCCCGACCTCCTGGGCTCAAGCGATTCTCCCGCCTCAGCCTCCCGACTAGCTGGGACCACAGGCGTGCAACCACCATACCCGGAACCACAGTCACAGTCGGTCGCAGTGCCCGCTGGGAAAATGCGACCGTCCACAAAGCGAAACGGCCATCGGGGCGAGTTCGGCCTCGGCGGGGATTCTCCTGAGGTCACGCCCGCTCTGGCCGCCAGAGGACGCCCGAGGATCACGAATGGGCCCGAGGAGCTGGCTGCCCCTTCCCACGCTCAAGGTCTGCAGCCGTGGCCAGAGTGGCCTTGGGGTGACCGCGCGTGGACCGTCGCCGGCGGGAGGGAGCGCGGTCCCGCGGGGGCCGAACGGGGCTCCTGTGGCCTGAGCTTGTTTCGCAGGGAGCCCTGGCGGCCATGGCTCTGGGACACCAGACAACGGTCGTCAGGGCTGTCCAGGGTAAGGGGGTGTGGACGTGCAGACAGGGAGGGCAGCTGGACCCTCCAACCATGCTGGGCCCTTGGGCTGACCGGGGCTCGTCTGTGGGGCTCAGTGAGGAGGGACTTTGTTCCCTAGGAGTTTGATGAGGGAGCGCCATGGGGGTGGCGTCATCCTGACATCCTGCAGGGCAGTGGAGCCTTACTTTCCCTAGCCCCAGAGATCATGAAGTCTCTCTTTGTTTAAAGGTAGAAACCAAGGACAAGAGATTGGTGGGAACTGCTCTGGTTACAAAATTGCAGAACCAGACTTCTTAATTCTGGGACCCGTGCTGCTTTCATTACACTCTACCGCTTCCAGTTTGTGATGTGCTCCTTCTGTCAACAGTTAGCAAGCCTGCTGGCTCTGTTGCTCTGGCATGAGTCCAAAGGTGAAGGATGGGGGGCTGATGCATTTTGATACTCAAAATGTCTCCTAAACTGTCCAGTATGGTATACCATCTCCTGCCTCCTTGATGCTTGTGATGGCACCCCAAACAGTATATTTGGAAATCTAACATTCTTACTCCTGCCTGGACAGGCCCTCAGTATCATTCAACGAAAGCTCAATTATTACACAGGGAGTGACAGCACAGTTGTGACTTTCCCATTGTCATTTTTTTTTTTTTTGACACAGTCTTGCTCTGTTGCCCAGTCTGGTCTATGTCCACAGTATCTTCCTGGTCTGCTTATACGAAGTCAAGCAATTTCTGTGCTGGCATGGGTTCCAAGCACCTGAGAAAGCCCAATGTCATCTCTTTTCACAGTGGTTTTGTCTTTTGGCCGTACTTTATATTCCTTCTAGCATATAACCCCTTCCTGACTGAAGGCCAGGCAGAGCACGGGCCACTTTAAAGTTTAACTTTCAAGTAACTAAGATCCTCCCTTTCCCAGAGCAGCAGCAGTGCTTGGAGAAGCACCTGCCTCAGTCTTTATTCTCCCTAGAAACTGACCTTTCCTTTTCCCATTGTAACTTACCTCTGAGCAAGTTGGCAAAAAAGCCTGCATGCTCCCTTCTTTGCTGCATGAAGGAAATTCAAACCATGCAATTTCCTGTCTCCATGTGGGAATTCTCATCTTGGCCCCCCACTTCTAACCTCAGTGAAAACCTAGGCCACTCTCCTTCCTTTGCTTCCAGAAGCCATTTTGGAATTGCTGGAGATGACTGCTCCCCTCTCCTGAAAACCCTCAATTACATAAGTAGTGAAACTTTTCTTGTCCTCTTGGTGTGTATGTGGTGTCATCAGTCTTAACATCCTAGCCAATTTTTGAGTGGGGATCTATCTGCCTCTGAAGGTGACCTTAAAAACAATTTTGCAGGAGGCATAATGGAGGTTAGAGCCACTTTAAAGACCTCTAGGATGTATTAACAGGTATGGTGGTCCCCATCATATCTCCATTTTATCCGCCAGTTCTGTCCCCTGTAGAAATTGGATGAATTCTGGAGAATGAGTGTACACTACCTCATGCTTTATCAAGTAGTAATCCCAGTTGCAGATGCTGTGTACCAGACACAGTATCATTGCTCAAATAGATTTATAAGGCCTTAGGTGCATAGTATGTGGCCATTGGTTTGATGAAGGCATTCCTTTCCATTTCAGCTGGTCAAGGAAAGAGGATAAGAAGCTGCTGTGGTTTGAATGTTTGTCCCCTCCTAAACCTATTGTTGTGGGAAATTGAGGACTGGAGAGACCAATATGGAGAACAGGAGGATTGTTTATTTTAGCTACACACCAGCTTAGTGGATTTGTATTCAAGAAGCTGAGCATTAAATAAAGACAGAGCAGGGTTTTTATAAGCGGATTTACAAAAGTAAAATAAAAGTAGCTAATTATATGATAGGTTATATAATTTATAGCATAGCATAACTTGTGGCCTTGCATAGCCAGTGGCCTTGTAGCTGCGTTGAAAGAAAAATAAGAACTGGCTAAATACAGATATTTGTAAAACATAGGTATGCTTAAGAAGCCAGGGAAAGGAGTAACAGTAAAGGAATTTGTGTTTCTCTCTTTTTTTTCCTTTAACCTTGTTTTGGAGGGGAGGGGTGTCTGGAGCCCATTCCTTTGGCCTTGGCTCCTTAAACAGCGTTATCTTATAACTGTCTTTGAAGTTAGCTTGCTAGGCAGAGGAAAACCCCTTTTTTTCTTCTTAACCCTTGCCTTGCCTGTTACTTTTTTTTTTTGGAGTGAATGAATGCATATTTATTTTTAAATTTCTGCCTCACTATGTTGAAATTTAATCCCCAGTGTGACAGTATTGAGAGGTGTGGCTTTAAGCCTTACACTTTTCAAGTGTAAGGGAAGCAGATGAAGTTCCCCAGTCATTGGTTTTTTTTTTTTTCACTTGTTTTAAAACTAACAAAAAGTATTCATTCTACTTTTGAATTGTCCCCAAAATGCCAAGTCTTCCCCTTCTCAGCCAGGCAGGATTTGGGAGAATGCCTTCTAAAAACACACTGCTCCTTTCTGGTATTGGGCCACTAAATCCCTTACCTTACTTACTCCCTTACTCATTGGCAAGGCCCTCATGAGTAGATTAGTGCAATCATTGATTAATGGGTTAATGGATTAATGGGTTATCATGGGAGTGATACTGGTGGCTTTATAGGAAGAAGAAGAGAGACAGAGAGACCGGAGCACACGCAGCCATCTCACCATGTGATGTGTTGTGGCACCTCAGGACTCTTCAGAGAGTCCCCACCATCAAGAAGGCCCTCACCAGATGCTGCCCCTTTACCTTGGACTTCTCAGCCTCCATAACTGTAAGACCTGTTTTTTTCTTTATAATTACCCAGTTTCAAGTGTTCGATTATAAGCAATGGAAAATGGACTGACACAGAAGCATTTCACGATCATGTGGACAAACAAAAATCTTTATTTACAATTTGTCTCAGGACCATGTTAACGCTTCTGCCCTGTGTTATACCTATCCTGTGGCATAATATAGTTCAAAGAGATGTGGATCATCTAGACAGTGCATAGAATGGCACGTGGATCTGTTACACTGACATCATCATTCTGATTGGACAGGACAAGTAAGAGGCAGCCTACACACTGGGAGGCCTTGGTGAGACACGTGCACTCCAGAGGGTGGGCAATAAGCCCTATGCGGATTCAGAGATCTGCTACATCAGTGAAATTTTTAGGGGTCCAGTGTTCGGAGGCGTGCCAGGATGTCCCCTCCAAAGGAAAAGACAAATTACTGCCTCTTGAATCCTCCACCACAAAGAAAGTAGTGCACCTGGTGGACCTCTTTAGGTTTTGGGGAGAAAACATTCCACCCATAAGATAACTTCTACGGTTCACACACTGGTTGACACAGAAGGCTGGGAGATTTGAGAGAGGCTGGGAGCAGGAAAGGGATCTGCAGCAGGTCCAGGCTGCAGTGCAACTCTTGAACCGTCACATCTGACAGACCCTGCAGTGTCAGAGGTGTCAGTGGTAAGAATGGAGGCAGGGTAGGGTTTAAGGCCAGTCCCCATGGGAGGATCGCCACACAGGCCTCTAGGGTTCTGGAGCAGGGCCATGCCACCCGCATCAGAGAATCATACACCTTTTTAGAAAACAGCTTCTGGTGTGCTTCTGGGCCCTTGCAGAGACAACGCTTGACCATGGGACACCAAGTGACTGTGTGTCACTTATAAGCTGGAATTTCTCCTTATAAGCTGGGTCTGTCAGACCACAAAGTGAAAAGTCAGATGACCCTCCAGCAATCCATTGCACGATGGAAATAGTTCATCTAGTCAGGAACAGAAGTGTGAGTGAGCTATGGAAGTAGCAGCCAAGATGCCTGTGTGACCCATCACAGTTACACCAGTGCCCTTCCCTTAGCTCACACCTATGGCTGTGCGATCTCATGTGGCTAGATGAAGGAGGAGGAAAAGGCCTGAATATTGCTTATGAATGGTTTGGCTCAGTCTCTGAAATGGACAGCAGCTATATTCCAGCCACACCCACCTAGGGACGTCCCTGAAAGACAGTGGGGAGGGAAGATCTTCCTGATGGGTGGAGCTTTAAGGTGTGCACCTTATCATCCACTTTGTGTGGAAGAAGTGGCCCAGGGTAGGAATATGCACAGATTTCTGAGCAGTGGCCAATGGACTAGCCAAAGGTCTAAAAAGGAAAGGACTGGAAAACTGGAGACAAGGAAGTCTGGGGTAGAGGCATATGGATAAACATGGGAGTGAGCATGAAGGAAAAGCTTACGTCACATACAAGTGCCCACCAGAAAGCATCAACAGTAGAAGAGGAGCTGAACTGTCAAGTGCACAAAATGACTCAGCAAGTTGGATATTAGCCACCCTTCACCATCAGCCAGTCCAGAACTGACACAATGGGCACATAAACAGATGGGCCACAGTGTGAGAGATGGAGACTGCTCACGGGCCCAGAAGCATGGAATCCTACTTAACAAGGCCTTTATTGCTGCTACTAGCTCTGAAGGTCCAGTCTTCCAGTGAAAGAGACCAATGCTGAGACCCCAATATGGCACCATTTCTCCATGTTGGGTCCATTATCTCTTAGAAGAGACATCCATTCTTTCTTACAAGGACAGAAACCTATTCTGAGTATGGGTTTTCCTTTCCTCCTGGCAGAACTTCAGCTAACATCACTATCCAGGGGCTTTCAGAGTGCATGACCTGCAGACCTGGAATCCCACACAAGAAGGTATCCTACCAAGGGACACACTTCAGAGTGAAGGAGGTATGTGCATGAGCCCATGAGCATGGGATAGTCTGGTGTCACACTGTGCCACCCAGAAGCTACTAGCTTGATAGAGTGTTGGAATGGCCTTCTGGAGGTGTAGCTGGAGCACAGGCTTAGAGGCAATACCCTACAAGGATGAGGCGCCATCCTCCAGGATGCAGTATATGCACTGTGTCAGAGATGTCCATGTGGCACTGTGTCCCCAGTAGGAAGAATACATGGGTCTGGAAGCCATAGGGTGGAGGCCAAAGTGGCCTCACTTTCCATCTTTCCCAGTGACCTACTCAGGGGCCAACATTGTGCTTCCCATCTCCTTAAATCTAGGCTCTGCAGGGTAGAGGTTCTGGTTCTTTGCACTCTTATCAGGACATACAGCCTGGGTTCCAGTTGTACTTATAGCCACCACTGCTGCCTGGCATTTTGGGGTTCCTTGATTCCAGACACCAGCAAGCAGGAAGAATCATCATGGTGGTGGGAGTAATAGAGAATTATCAAGGAAGAGGTAAGACTGCTGTTATATAATAGAGGCAGAGAGGAATATGCTCGGGACTCAGATGATCTTTTCTAGTGACTTTTGGTACTCTTTTGCCTCATTGGCTGTAAGTGATCAAGTACAGTGTGAGTGGCCTAAGAAGGGTATGGATACGAGGGACTCAGACCACTCAGGGATGAAGGAAGCTGCCAAAACTGCAGAGGTTATAGTTGAGGGTGAGGGAAATCTAGAATGGATAGTGGAAGAGGGTAATCATAAATACCTGTTGCAGTTGCAGGACCAACTGCACTGATGGGGCTTGTACTTTGTCCCGCCAACTTCTCTCTTCTTCTTTTTCTTTTTTTTTTTTTTTTTTGAGACAGAGTCTCACTCTGTCACCCAGGCTGGAGTGCAGTGGTGCGATCTCTGCTCACTGCAAGCTCTGCCTCTCAGGTTCACACCATTCTCCTGCCTCAGCCTCCCGAGTAGCTGGGACTACAGGCCTGCCACCATGCCTGGCTAAATTTTTTTTTTTTTTTTGTATTTTTAGTAGGGACGGGATTTCACCGTGTTAGCCAGGATGGTCTTGATCTCCTGACCTCGTGATCTGCCCACCTCGGCCTCCCAAAGTGCTGGGATTACAGGCATGAGCCACCGCACCCGACTGCCAACTTCTAAGTTTACCTTCAGAAAGAGTGGCCCACAGGAGCCAAGGAGGAACTGCTTCCCGAGCAGCTATGGAGTAGTGGATCTGTGTGGCACAAAGGATGGCCTGTGGCAGCTATGGAAGTGCACTGCTTGGATGTCACTTTAAGAGAGGGCCTGTTATGAGGAGTGCAATTAGTTGACAGCATTCAGGTGGAATGTCTTCAGGGTCCAAGGCAGCATTTGAGGTGAGACCATGCTAGTTCCAGGCAGCTCCCTATCAGAGGCTTAGCACAGCAGGGTACTAGGGTCATTTTTGCTCAGTGTGGGACTCCTCTATGGGCCATCTTTGCATCAGAGCTCCCCGTTGGGCTGGCCAAGACTTTTTGAAAGCTGCACCACTGTCTGAGACTCTTCCTTCCAATCCTTCCTTCTCCCTCTCTTTCCACTTGTGTTAGACCCGCCCTGTGGTCTGAAGGTTCTTCCTGCCTCTTTCTGTGTCCTCTCCCCTTTATCTTCTGTGATAATTTTTTTGCACTTCTAACTCCATCTTGACTTCCTGGAGGACCTGAACTGATGCATTTGATTTGGTTTTAGAGACAGCGCCTCCTTATCCTCCCTCCTGGGGAGGGTAGGAGAAAAGCCAAAGCACTCTTTGCTCCTAAAAATTTCCTTTAAAAATAACCTCTGACATGTTTAATCTCTTCAATAGCCTCGATGGAATGGTGTTTGCTGAATGGGCTTTGCCATCATTTAGTAAACTCAGGGAGTTTGTTGAAGGAATTTGAGGGCTGATCAAGGAAAAAGATATGACTGCAAGGGGCAGTAACACAACAAGCTTTATTCGGTGGCACTTGGACAGGGTTGCATAAGAGGGAAAGTCCTCACAGCACAAGACTATCCAGAGGTTTATGGATGGGCTAAGAGGCCACCACCTGGAAGGGAAGGAAGGCAAAGGGACTCACAGGGCAGAGGAGGAACAAAGAGGGAGCTTATGTGTCTGGGTGAGGTCAATCGGTACCACGTTGGAGAGTCTCTGCATATGCAAAGCAAGCAGGCTTTAAATGGCTAAAAAACTGCTTATTTGGGATGTTTTAAAAATAATCAGGCTGGGTGCGGTGGCTCATGCCTGTAATCCCAGCATTCTGGGAGGCCGAGGTGGGCAGATTGCCTGAGCTCGGGAGTTCAAGACCACCCAGGGCAATGTGGTGAAACCCTGTCTCTACTAAAATACAAAAAATTAGCTGGGCGTGGTGGTGTGTGCCTGTAATCCCAGCAACTTGGGAGAATGAGGCAGTAGAATCGCTTGAGCCCAGGAGGTGGAGGTTGAAGTGAGCCGAGACCGTGCCACTGCACTCCAGCTTGGGCGACAGAGTGAGACTTCGTCTCAAATAATAATCATAATAATCAGACGTGTAAATATATGAGTTGGGCACCAGTGAGCTTTTCAGCTAACAGGTCTCAGCCTTCAGTGAAGAAATAAAAAACATAGGGGCCAATACACAGAGGCCATCTTTGGTTCATTTATATAACAAACAATGTGTGATGTTTCCATTGAGAATGTAGATCGTACAGGGACTTAGCACCTCTTGTCCTCAGATTTGGGCTAAAGTTCTGTGAAAATAGGCAACATTTCATTTGCCATCCTGTTATACATTCAATACTCAGCAACTATGCCCTGCTGTGCCTTGTGGCAGATGCTAGGGACACAATGGTCCAGGGTTCCTGCTGTCACAGAGCTTTGATGTGTTGAAAGAATTGCACAAATGCATATGTGATCACTGGGTTAAGTGCTAAGGAAGGCAAGTAGTACAAGAGTGCTATAAGAATGTCTTAAAGAGTGACCTCAGAAGAGGGTGCGGGTGCCAGAGGAAGTATCCTTGATGAAGGGACATGAATGCTGGGACATGGAGGATAAGTAGGATTTAGCCAGGCAAAGAGTAGAGGTGGGGGTGGAACCATGCTCAGGCAACAGAGACAGAATATGCAGCAGGCCTTGAAGCTTCCTCTACCTAAGCTACCTGCCCCCAGTCAGTCACACCCCAGGCTTTGTCATCTCCTAAAATTGTCCCATCTTGAGAATCAATGACTCAAGTATGTCACTTTCTGACACAGACTCCCTACTGTGATCCTTTTTCAACCTCTTTGGGGCCTTCAGATGTTGACTCCTCTGTTTCTTCCAACCTATCAGCCCTCTTCTTTCCCTCCTAGTTTCTTTTTGTTTGAAGAGCTTTACTCAGACACAATTCACACACATATATTTAAAGTGTAACATTTGATAAATGTTGGTATAGGCATACACCTGTGAACCCATCACCACAGTCAAGATTAGCGAGTGTATTCATCATTCCCAGAAAGTTCCTAATTCCCCTTTGTAACCTCTGCTTCCCTGTATCCTACAACCTTGCTAAACTCTAAACTCCCTTATTAGTTCTAATAGATCTTTTGGGTAGATTCTATCAGATTTCCTACACAGAAAATGTTACCTGCAAATAAAGACAGTTGTACTTCTTCCTTTCTGATATGAATGCTTTTATTTATTTTGCTTGTCCTATTTTCAAAAGGCTTTCTTCTTGGCTCCTTAGCTTCTTACTACATACAGCTTCATAATTCAATATTGGTCTTGTGTAGCAAGCCAACAGTGTGACAGACACAGTCTTCCATCTCTCACTTCTCATTGGAATCTTGGCTCCTTAGACCACGAAGTTTGTCTCTCCAGCCCTGTGAGACTGTGGAAATCTCTGCTGGGTGTTTGACCCCCAGCCGTGGCCATCTAGGTAAAGCCTCAATTCTCAGCCTCCTTCCCTGCACCTGGAAGTGTCTGTAGCGCCACCTCACCCTCTCATGGTTCTCTTCTTTCCTGCATGTTGGCCCCTCAAGTATTCATCATTTTAATAGGTCTCCAGTGCCTTTAAACTGATCCTTTTGTCATGTTTCATCGGGCTTTTCTTGTTGTTCTCTATAGGAGAGTTTGTCTGCCAAAAGCTACTCTTTCATACCCCTAAGCAGAAGTCAAATCAATAAAATTGTTACTCCTTAAATGTTCTCAAACACTTCCACTTCTCTTTATCTCTTCCACCACCATCCTAGTCCAAATCACTCCTCTGTGTTAGTGCAACGACCTCCTTCATTGCTCTCCTTGCATCCACTCTTGCCTCCCACTTAGGCATTCCCCATATAGCAGTAAGAATTCTTTTTTAAAAAACAGATAAGATTATATCACTTCACTGCTCAAAACCCTTAAATTGTTTTCGATAGTTTTCTTAGCATAAAATGAAAAATAAATATTATTAATAACAGTAAATGGTACTTGCTGAACTGTGGTCATGCTCAATGTGCATCAGTAATGCAAATGGTCTTTCCTGTGACTCCTCTCGTTAATACAGAGAAGTAAGCAGACATTCATCAAGTTCAACTTAATCGGTCAAGAACACAGATAGGGTCACTAAAGGCAGCATTTCAAGCCAGGTCTCTTCAGCTCAAGAGCATGTCTTTGAAGCAGAGTCCTGAATGGAAAAATGACTCCTTTTCTATGTTCTCATCTTGGTATCAGTTAGGGCTGTCCAGAGAAACATAATCAATAGGAGAGATAGATGTATCTCCTGTTGAGGCAGAGAGAGACAGAGAGAGAGAGAGAGAGAGACATTAAGGAACTGGCTCACATGATTGTGAGTTGGGGGCTGGCAAGTCTGAAATCTGTAGAGTAGGGCAGCAGGCTGGAGACCCAGGGAAGAGTTAATGTTGCAGCTTGAGTCCAAAGGCTGTCTGAACACAGAATTCCTTTCTATTCAAGGGACCTCGGTCTTTTCTCTTAAGGCCTTCAACTGACTGGATGAGACCCATCCACATTGTGGAAGAGGGCAATCTGCTTTACCCAAAGTCTGTTGATTTAAATGTTAATAATATCTTTAAAAAATAGCATCACAGCTGCATCTAGATAGTTTGACCAAGCAACTGGGAACTATAGCCTAGCCATGTTGACACGTAAAACCAGCCATCATACTTCCTGACTACATTTTCATTGTAAAGAATTCAAACAACAGGGAGATATATAGAAGAAATACTGAAAGTCACATTTCCACTCCATCCCTTTCCTTCCCCAGAGATGAACACTGTGAGTTCCTCAGTCAGCATCCTTCCAGAACTCTGCCTATTCCTTTAACACTCATACATGTAAATATATGCATATATAATTTGGTTTTATTTTACTTAAGTGAGATTATCCTGTAAGTGCTGTCTGGTGTCTTGTTTTTTTGTCTTAAATGGTAACTCATAGAAATCATTCTGTGTTAGTGCATACGTATTTATCTTGTGTTTTCAGTTGGACAAACAAAACATTCATTCAATGTTTACAAAATTAAATCAAGTAAAAATAAAAAGTTCTCTTTGATCACTTCCTAAACCTCACTGTCCTTCTCAGCAGTAAGTGGTTTTAAAAAATATATTATTTTTTTGAGACAGGGTCTCACTCTGTTGCCCAGGCTGGAGTGCAGTGGTGTGGTCACAGCTTACTGCAGCCTCGAACTCCCAGGCTCAAGTGATCCTCCCACTTCAATCTCCCAAGTAGCTGGGGGCACAGGCACATGCCACCACACCCAGCTAATTTTTTATTTCTTGAAGAGTTGGGATCTTTCCATTTTGCCCAGGCTGGTCTTGAACTCCTGGGCTCAAGCCTTCCTCCTATCTAAGCCTCCCAAATTGCTGAGATTACCGGCATGAGCCACCATGCCTGGCCAGTGAATACTTTGATAAGTTTGGTGTACATCTATCTAATTAGGCACAATATTACATAAAGAGGTGAAGATGGCAGGGTGGTCTCTGTATTTCCTTCAGGTTCTCTTTTCCTCTCTGTTCTCACCCCTGTATAACTTGTATCAAGAATTTCATGCTATAACAGTGAACTTATATCATGTGACATGAACTATATTAATAAGAGAGAAGATTGTTTGTCTTTCAAGTGTGCCACTATGAGGCATGTGAAAAATCTGAGCCTATTCCTATGGAGGGCTGTTAGCAACAGACAGCTGTAAAATCCAACCTTTTCATCCAGGCTGGAGCCAGGAACTATTAGTTCTTAGGTTGGAGAGACATATAAGGGTCAAAAAGAATTTTTCAACCAGAAAGCCAAGACTGTGTTTTATTGTGAGAGTTTCTTAGATAAGTATCTGCAGGAACTTTCCAAAGGAAGCGATCAGGGGAAGGGAGGCTGTGGAGAGGACTCTGTAAGCTGGTAGGATCCACTGCTACCCTACGGGTGGGGGTGGGCATCGTGGGTTGGACCAGAGCCAGGGCACAAATTGGGACCTGTGGTAGGTTGAATAATGGCCCCCAAGGATAGCAGGTCCAAATTCCTGGAATCTGTATATATTACCTTATTTGGGAAAAAGGTCTTTACAATGTGATTAAGCTAAAGATCTTGAGGTGGGGAGATTATCCTGGATTATCTTGGTGGGCTCTAAATCCGATCACACTTGTCCTTATAAGGAGGTAAAGGCAGATTGTCTGCACACACACCCACATACAGGAGGAGGTGATATGATGAGGGAAGAGAGAGAGGTTTGAAAATGCTGGCCTTAAGACCAAGGAATCCAGGCAGCCACCAGATATTGAAAGAGCTAGGAATGGATCCTCCCCTGGAGCCTCCAGAGAAAGTGGGGCCCTGCTGACATCTTGTTTCAGCCCAGTGATACTGATCTTAGACTTCCAACCTCCAGAACTGTGAGAGAATAAAATTCTGTTGTTTTAAGCCAATAATTTAACAAATTATTACACACAGGAAACTCATACAGGACCTAATCGAACTCTTCAGGTGTTAACCACATACACATAGTTCCCCCAGCTCCTTCCTCCCAGAGCCTGTGGATGGAAGCATGGAGATTTTGACGTTGGGGAGTCTTCCTATTACTGAGGAATGGAAAGAGAACATGAGGAGGAAGCTGAGTGTCTGGATCAATGTTTACTCCCCCGTGAGTGGTTTGTGAGCTAGGCAAAAGGGGGGCAACAGAGAATACAGTTTACATGGCCCTCACGTTTTAGGGAGCACTCTAGGGGAACGCTCAGCCAGAGGTCCATGATCCCAGGAACAATATTAAGAAACTCTTAATTAATGGCACTCTAACTGAATCTTAGAGTTGGAGTGCATCCGCCTTCACAGTAGTGCAAGAGAAATTCAGGGGAGGTGGGGTGGCTGGGTATGGCAAGATGCTGGATAAATGGAGGCAGAGACTGGCTAGGGACCAAGACATCCTAGATCACCCTGGAGGCTGCCTGGGGCTATATGTATGGCTCAGGGGAAGGGGAGAAGGCAGGCAGAGAAGTATCAGTTGCTATTTGTACTTTGTTTAATTTTTGTTTATCATTAATCTCATAAATTTGAAAGCAGCCAATTAATAACAATAATAATAGAAGACAAATGGCCAAGATTCATCTGAATGCATATTCTATGCATTTAACAAAGTAATTTTGAGGTAGGAGATCAGCAGGACTTGTTTTCTGAGCACTGGTCATGACCCCACTGATAAAAACAAGATCTGGTCAAAATATGTTATAGTAAAGAAACCAGTCATAACAGCTAAAACCAAGATGGGGATGAAAGGGACCTCTGGTTGCCCCCACTGCTCATTACAGGCTAATTGTCATACATTTGCATGCTAAAAGACACTCCCACCAGTGCCATGGCAGTTTACAAATGCCATGACAGTGCCTGGAAGTTACCTTATATGGTTTAAAAGGGGAGGAACTCTTGATTCCACCCCTTTTCTAGAAAATTCATGAATCACTTATGCCTTATTTAGAATATAATTAAGGAGTAGCTATAAATATAGCTAGCCAGCAATCCACGAGGGCTACTGTGCTTATGGGGCAGCCCTGCTCTATGGAGCAACCATTTTCCTGTACTCTGTTGCTCTGATAAACTTATTTTGCTTTCACTTTACTCTGTCGGCTTTCTTTTGAATTTGTTCATGCATGAAGACAAGAACCCTCCTAGGCTGAGCCCCAGTTTGGAGATTTGCCCACATCAACTTCCCACAGACCTTCAAATATTGGCCTTATCAGCCAAACATTTCCAAACATTTAATGAAAATTACCTGCCTATCATATGAGACACTCTTTAGTGTTTCAAACACCTTCAAAAGCAGACCAAGGTGGCATCTCAGGTGCGGTGGTGATCTCACAGGTGGCAGCAGAGGGGAGGTTTAACCTGTCAGAGCTCACAATGGCCTGGGCCTAGACCCCAAGGCATGTGCCCATGCTAGGATTTCCCACCAGCAGTGGATGGTCCTCAAGATAGCTGAGCACCTAGACTTGCAGTTGGTGGTGAAGGGGGGGTATGGGGAGGAGGGTTCAGAGGTGTTGGGCATGCTGCTGTTCCTTTTGCAGCCCCCAAGCCTGGATGGTTCAGGAACTGCTCTCCCCAGAGAATGCTAAGAAACAGATAGGGCTCCCCAGATTTATGCCAGGAGTATGTGTGCATGGTACATATACAGTCCGACTATGGTCAGATCACAGCCCATCCTGATGTCCTAATCAGAGTTTAAGGGGGTTCAGCCAAGTTACAACGTTCTGCAATAAGTTTTTACCTGCTGGAGAACACAGAAGGAAGACAAAGAAGTAGAAACGAGCATGTGTGGTCCACTAAAGCAGTGTGTGGCTGGGAATGTGTGGAGGAAGGGTGCTGTCCCCGGGACCCCCTCATGGGAAGGGGAAAAGGGTCTGTCCCCGGGGCCCCCTCATGGGAAGGGGAAAAAGTGGCTTCCTTTTTCCTCTGTAATCTCTTTTGGGAAATTCTGTTAGTGCTCTTTTCCTTATGTTCGTTTCCACTTCTTTGTCTTTTTGCATTTTCTGGGAGAGTTCCTTGATCTTTAACTTTCAGATCTGTGATTTAGTCAACTGTCATCAGCTCTACTATTGAACTTTTTCTTATTTTGGGCAATGCAGTTTAAGAATTTCAAGAATTCCCATTACTTAATTTTGAAACCAGCTTCTAGTATTTTACAGGTTTACATAAGTAGATCTAACCCTAGTTTGTTGTTAGGTTTTAACAAAGATACTGCTCCCAAAAGGCTCTCTGATCTGAGCATTGGCTTGCTGTCTACCTAGAAGAGACTCCGTGATTTGACATTGGATCCCATGCAGATATAAGGCACTGAAGCTGCCGCTGCAGAGGATTGGCAGCTAATGGTGCTGTTGCATTTAATATTTCAGCTCTTTAACTATTCCACCCAGGGACCAGAAGCTCTCTGCCTGGTTCCCTAGTGGCTTCACGGACACAAGTATATGTGGCCATAGAATCCTGGCACATAAATTGCAAAATTACTATAAAAAATGCTGAAAGTATAGTCTTTTGGAGGTCAACTAGATTCCTCACATTTCCAAACCCTGCATTTCAGGAAATATTGTAGTTTTGGCAAAGGCCACCCATACCCACACCCTGGTGAATTCCTGAACCACCATTCAGTCACCCAGGAAAATGCCCCTTATGCTTCCAATCATCCCTTAGCTCCACCCTCATGTCACTGGGACTGAGGTTTTAGATATAATTATTGTAAATTATTAGGGGAAGGATGCTTTAGATTCCTGTTACGGACTATTGGTTACAAAAGATATTTTCATTTTCTTTAAGGGATATTGATTTAACCCATTTATGCCTGAGGTTGCAATTTTTTGAATTTTTGCAATCAGACCTTGGTGATGACCTTGAGCAGTAGGATATAAATAACTCCCACATGCTTAGCATTCCAATAATGGAACACTAGGCATAAATTGGTAATTTTAAGCTAGCACTGAAGTATGGAGTTTAGGTTTTGTGAATCATTCCTTTATAGGAGCAAGGAAACCTTGTATACTGAAAATTGTGCTGGGGCAATCAAGAGGTTGTATGCTGGGATGACCAATCTCCCTGGGTGTGTTTCTTTCTCCAGCCCCCTTAGTTGCTAAGAACCACTGTTGATATTAGACGTGAAAGACAGGGTCAGGCATGGTGGCTCATGCCTGTAATCCCAGCACTTTGGGAGGCCAAGGCAGTTAGATTGCTTGAGCCCAGGAATTTGAGACGAGCCTGGGCAACATGGTGAAACCCCATCTCTATAAAAAATACAAAAAAATTAGCCGGCCATGGTGGCACACACCTGTAGTCCTAGCTACTCAGGAGGCTGAGGTGGGAGGATTGCCTGAGCTCAGGAGGACAAGGCTACAGTGAGCCATGATCACACCACTGTACTCCAGCCTGGGCAACACAGCAAAACCATGTCTCAGAAAAAAAAAAAGTGAAAGACAGGAAGGTTTAGAATGGAGATGCTAAGCTCCCAAAGGACATTTGGTGAGAAAACTATACTGGTCCATGAATTTGCACTCTTTGACACCTGACATCTATAAAGTGTGAAATGGAAGGCCTTCCTTAGTGACTGATAAGAAACCTGGTATTTCTGAAATTTCCAAGAGTACTACACCAGAGAACCAAAAACAAAAAGTCAGGTACCAGCTACTAACACATCGCCACCACCCTGCCCACCCTGCCCACATGCACACATACATAAGATCATTGCATAAGGCTGGGACTCATGACAATACTGTGTAGGCATGGACAGAACCTCATGTCTCCATGAGTTGACTGGGGTTTCCAATATAGCGATTACCTATATAAACTGATGGCCAATATGAAGATAACCCAGCTGGTCATAATCCAGGCCTAACGTTATTGATTTCAAAGGGGAAGTATCTGACATTTTGCCTCCACAGACCAATCCTCTTTGCCATCCTAAAGGCAAGCTAGACAACACTCTGAAGCCTACACCATGTCTGTATCTCCTGTGTCTTCCCCGGAAGTGTCAAATTCAACCTCATTCATGGAGACCCTCCTGTTATCATGTAGTCTACAGTGGCATTATGGTGACCCCGACTGGCCAAGTCAAGTAAATGTGTCAGCCAGAAATGAGGAAAAGCTCACCTTCCCCCAGGACAAACACCAAGGGGGCTCCAATGTCCAAAAGCTTACCGTATAAAAAGGTAACCCTACAAATTGAAATGCAATGGAACGTGAATATTATACAACATTTCTAGTTTGTGATTTTCAAGAGGGCCCAAATATCTAATAAATAAAGCCATGTCCTCTTCTGCCATGTTTCTCTTCCATGAAACTATTGCCCACTTTCTTCCTACTTAGAAGCAAGCAAGTTCCATTGCTCACTCTTATCTTCCACTTATTTCTCCTTGTGACTGTTCATAATTTTCAATAGTACCTCCATTCAAAGCACCATTCTATTACAGGCTCCAGTTACCAGCACTGGAATATTACAGGTTATGTGCTCCTCCTCAATGTCTCCAGGGCATGTCAGAGGTCTTCATGGCAGCCTCTCCCATCACAGGCCCAGAGGCCTAGGAGGAAAAAATGGTTTTGTGGGCCAGGCCCAGGGAACCATTGCTGTTTTGTGCAGTCTCGGGATTTGGTGCCCTGCATCACAGCCATGGCTAAAAGGGGACAATGTAGAGCTCAGGCCATTGCTTCAGAGGGTGCAAGCCCCAAGGCTTGAAGGCTTACACATGCTATTGCACCTGCGGGTGCAGAGAGTCAAGAATTGAGGTTTGGGAAACTTCACCTAGATTTCAGAAGATGTATGGAAACTCCTGGATGTCCAGGAAGTTTTCTGCAGGGGTGGGGCCGTCATGGAGAACCTCTGCTCAGGTAGTGCAGAAGGGAAATGTGGGGTTGGGTGGGAGCCCCAACACAGAGTTCCCACTGGGGCACTGCCTAGTGGAGCTGTGAGAAGAGGGCTACCATCCTCCAGACCCCAGAATGGTAGATCCAATGAAAGCTTTCACCATGGCACCAGGAAAAGCCACAGATACTCAACACCGGCCTGTGAAAGCAGCTGGGAAGGGGGCTGTACCCTGAAAAGCTGCAGGGGCAGAGCTGCCCAAGGCCATGTGAGCCCACCTCTTGCATCAGTGTGACCTAGATGTGAGACATGGAGGCAAAGGAGATCATTTTGGAACTTTAAGGTTTAATGACTGCTCTATTAGATTTCTGGACTTGTGTGGGGCCTGTAGACCCTTTGCTTTGGCCAATTTCTCCCATTTTGAGCAGGTGTGTTTTCCTAATGCCTATATCCCCATTGTATCTAGGAAGTAACTAAATTGCTTTTGATTTTATAGGCTCATAGGCGAAAGAGACTTGCCTTGTCTCAGATGAGACTTTGAACTTGGACTTTTGGGTTAATGCTGGAATGAATTAAGACTTTGGGGGACTGTTGGAAGGGCATGATTGTATTTTGAAATGTGAGGACATGACATTTGGGAGGTACTAGGGGTGGAATAATATGGTTTGGCTCTGTGTCTTCACTTAAATTTCACCTTAAATTGTAATAATCCCCACGTGTCAAGGGTGGGACTAGGTGGAGATGATTGAATCATGGGGGCAATTTCCCGCATACTGTTCTTGTGATAGTAAGTTCTCATGAGATCTGATGGTTTTGTAAGGGGCTTCCCCCTTCACTTGGCTCTCATTCTCTCTTCTGCCATTGTGTGAAGAAGGATGTGTTTGCTTCCCCTTCCACCAAGTCCTCCCTAGCCATACGAAACTGTGAGTCAATTAAGCCTCTTTTCTTTATAAATTACCCAGTCTCGGGTATTTCTTCATAGAAGTGTGAGAACAGACTAATACAGAATCCTAATTAAACTATGGACTGTGAGCAACAATGCTTTGTCCATGTATTTTCATCAGTTGTAACAAATGTACCACTCTGGTGCAGGATGTCAGTAGTGGCAGGGGTTGTGTGTTAGCAGTGTAGAGGAGGTACATGGGAACTCTCTACCTTCTATTCAGTGTTGCTGGTAACCTAAAACAGCTCTAAAGTTTTTAAATTTAAAATGCTGCAAAATGATGACTCTGACTTTTTAATATTGGGCTAGATAATTTTCTAATTCTGGACTCACTTGATTGTTCCCAGAAATTTAACTTTGATTGACTAAAATTCATTTTAGCCCAAATGTTTTACAATTCTGTAAAGTAACAAAGGTGTGATTTTTTTTTTCCTGAATGGGAAATAAGTGCCATGGCCTTATTGTCTCAAGGAGTAAATCAGTTTTGAATTTAACTTAGCAATTTACCTCATCATTTCTTTCCCCCAAAACTATAAGTCCTTCAAATCTTTTCGAACCAGCTCTTCATTCTGCTCCTCCCTCACTGATTAGTTAAATAAAACTTTGACCCATAATCACTATCTGTTTGTGTGGGAATTTTATGATTAAAAAGAATTGGTAATTGTAACTTTACATCATCCTACAATCAAGGACGGCCTGCTCTTGTGGGGGCCCTGGCCTTCTGTTGGTCAGGAACAATGTAAAAGTTCTTATTTAGAGCACAATGAGGCAAATGAAAAGGGAACAGACAGTGACCAACTGTTACTTAAATCTAACCTGTAAAAGAAAGATTCTTTTTTTCCCCAAGCCAAACTGTATCTAGCTTTATTAAAGATACTTTCCAGAAACAATCATGGTATTTCAGGCAGGACATGGGCAGTCATTCACAGTATAAAACATTTCAAATTCCCTACTTCAATGGACTACCAAAAATCAGAAAGCCACTGTAAAACCCAATGAAGACTTCATCTGATGCTCTGAACAGGGAAAGTTTAGAGTGAAGGTTGACATTTCTCATTTAGCATGTTGTTTTAACAACCTTTCATGAGTTGACCCTGACTTTCAGGAAGTGAAATGAAAATGGCAGAATTTATCTGATGATCCACAATCTAGAAACAGAACCGCTGCTCTTTTGAGGGGCACCATCTCAGTGGCATCACAGGCAAGTCCAGATTGCCTGACACACTGGTAACCAATTATTTGGGTTCAGGTCCCAACAGGTGTCTGGGTTTGAGTGAGTTAAGTCTATGATGAAAGGTGGAAAGGGAGAAGAGGACATAAAAACAATTTGTTTTTCCATACCAAGGCTTTTGTGCCAAGGTGGCCATGTGTGTCAAAGTCAGGGAATCTCTCCTCTTGGGAACCAATAGGAAGTCTCTCAAACCTAGAAGGGAAATGTGTTTTCCCCACATCAATCCAGCTTCATAGACATTCTATTAGTGACCTATGCCCCTTTCCCCCCAAACAACAATGAAGTGCTCTGCGTGCTAACAGCATAGCTTAAAAAAAGTAAAACAAAATTATGAATTTTTATAAAACTCGATAAAAAATAGTATTTCAAACTCTTCAGTCACCAGAAGTACAGTTATCAAAAATGCAGACACTTCACGTGGCATCTCCAGGACCTTCAGCTTTCTGTGCCTGGTCTGTTTTGTCATCTCCATTTTCTGCAGGGTTATTCCCCTCCCTGCCAGCATTAGCATTTACCCTTTTCCCTATGGGTACCTTCACTCACTTTTTTGCAGGGGCCTCTTTAGGCTTAGACTCTGGCTTTGGAGAAGCAGGTTTAGCAGACAACCTCTTGGATCTTTTCTGTGGTTTGTCCTTCATGTTGGATTTATCTCCTTTAGCATCCCCTTCAGCCTTTCTCTTGGGGATGGTGGTGATAGTGGCGGGACATAGGCTCTGGGGGAGGGATGCAGTGGTGCACGGGCTTTGGCCACTCTGGGGAGTCGTTCTTGTCTCTTTACTTCCAGATTCTTTTTTTTATTTTTTTATTTTTTTTATCTTATAAGTAATTCCTTTGCTCTCCTCTGGCTCTCATGTATCCTCATTATTAAATAGTTATGCCATCTAGTCCAGATTCCATTTCAGAAACCTTTCAGCATTTTTACCATTCGAAGATTTGCAGTTTAATCTTTTTATTAGTTTTCTAGAGTGACTGTACCAAAGTACCACACTAGGTGGCTAAAGCAATAGAAATGGAATGTCTCACATTTCTGGAGTCCAGAAGACCATCAAAGTATTGTCAGTGTTGGTTCCTTCTGAGAGTGGTGGGGGAGAATCTGCTCAGAGACCTTTCTCCTAGCTTCTGGGGCTTTACTGCCAATCTTTGGCATTCACTGGTTTGTGGAAGCATCACCCCAATCTCTGCCTTCATCTTCACATGGTGTTCTCCCTGAGCATCTTCATGTTTCTGTGTTCAAATTTCCTTGCTATAAGGACACTTGTCACATTGGATTAGGGGCCCACACCACTCCAGCTTGATTTCATGTTAACTAAGTACATCTACAATGACCCTATTTTCAAATAAGGTCACATTCTGAGGTGCTAAGGATTAGGACTTCACCATATGAATTGAGGTATGGGGAGACATAATTCAACCCATAACAGTCTTAAATTAAGAGGTGTAATTTCTGTCCATTTGTGTATTTTCCCAGAGAAATTTCTTAAAGTCCAAATAAAAAACTTAATTGGTCCAATAATGATGATTCAGAGGAGCTATTGTTATCTGAGCTTCTATAAAAATTAGCGTGCTTTGGGCTGCAAGTACCAAAAGTGTGACTCAATGCCAGCCATATGAATGAACCATCTTGGGTGCCCAGCCCTGTTGAGTCTTTAGACTTGATTCTCAACTCATATCTCAATGCAACCACATGAGAGATCCCATGAGTGAACTGCCCAGCTAAACCTTCTCTCAATTTCTCACTTACAAAATTGTGAGCAGAATAAAATGGTTGTTTTAAGCCAGTATGTTTTGGGTAGCTGGTTGTGCAGGAATAGTAACTTAATGGGAAGAAATATCCAAAGTAAATAAATAACTCCTATGAAAGAATTAAAAAAGAGAAGCACCCCAGTTGAGAATTGAGACAAAAATAGGAATTTCAATCAAGAGGAATAAAAAATGCCCCCCCAACCAAGGTATTAAATCTAATTCATAATCATAGAAATTCTACATAAAAGCATAATAACAATTGACATTCCTCAGGATTAACAACATTTAAGTCACACAATATGAAATGTTAGTGATGATATGGAGCTTGATGGAAACATAAATTTGTACAGCAACCCAGAAGACAATTTGGCAATGTCTCTGAATACTAAAGATAGTCTTTGATTCAGCAATGCCATGGCTAGGTACATAACTTAGAGGAACTCTCCAAGAATATTTAAAGCAGCATTGTTTCTGATAGTAAAAATGGGAAACAACTTAAATATCTGTCAATGGGAAAATTGATAAATTTTGGTACACACACACACACAATGGAATACTATACAGAAGTGAAAATTGAGGAATAAAATTTGCTTATATCAAAATGGTGATTCTCACAAACAATAATTAGTTAATACAGTGATGACTATGAATAGTATGATATCATTTCTGCCAAGTGTAAAAGAGACAAAGACAATTTTTTAGGGATATAGTCATTTGCAGAAAAAGCACGAAGAAATGCACATGGAGGACAAGAGTGGGAGACAACAGGGAAGGAATCTGCAGGCGCTTACCCTCACTGGCAGTGTTTTATGTCTTCATCCAGTTACTACATTCAGGAGTACTGGATGTACTTTTTAAGTACGTTTTGTATGTTAAATATTGCAGAATGTATTTTATAAAGTATTTAATTACCAGAAACTCTTTAAAAAATTCCCAGGCCTGTTTCAGACTCAGCAGATCAGATTGCAGAGGTGGGGCCCATGAATCTGCCCCTTTTGTGACCCCGATAGTCACTACTGGTCTAAGCCAGGGCAAGGCCACCCCGGTGGAGGTTGCTTCCTTCATGCTGTATTATGTTTTTCACTTTACAAGTAATAATGTTTATCCATCAGTTCCCCAACTTTGGTGCTGCTGTGTTATCTACCATGCAAGGAGATGGGGAAGCAAAAGTAATTAAGACATTTCCACTGGTTTCAAGGGCAAAGGTTAACTCCAATATAAAGGAGTTCTAAAACTTTTCAAATTGGACATATTCACATCTATTGTCTTGATACCAGTGTTTCCAAATCCTTTTTTCCCAATGCCCAGAACATCCACAGATCACTGCGTCTGTCTGGGAACTTCACAGGCTTCTTTCCGGAGACATTCCAGACACGCCCCTCTGCCTTGGCATGAATACTTGGCATCTCCCCTTGACATCTCAAGCTTTGTCATTTACTCACTGTGTGACCTTGGGCCAGTAGTGTCCCTTCTCTGAACCTCTGTTTCCACCCCTGCAAGTTGGGCAGATGAAGGTTCAGTTTGAAGCTGGTTGAGCCCTTGGAGTGACAAAGCAAGGGACTGTGAATGGACAAAAATGAGAGAAATAAATTCTAATAGGCATGAAGCAACCAGGGGAGAAATAGTCCCAATTCTACCCAAAGACTGATGGGCACTAATTTAGAATCCAGTCTCAATTCTACCTTCAATACGGTGTGTGACCTTGAAAATGTCTCTTAATCTCTCTGAGCCTCATGAGTCAAATCAGGATAATGTTAATACCTGCTTCAGAGTTCTGGTGAGGAGCAAATGAAATAACTCCTGTAAAGATGTTTCAGGAATTCTGTCTGACCAGGAAAAAGCCCTTGGGGCCATTTCTTCTTGGTCCCTGACAAGTGCCAGGCTGACGAGCAGAACTCAGGGTGGGGCAGGAAGTCAGTGGACAGTTTTGTGCCCCACTCACTGCAAGGTGGCCTCCCAGACTTGGCTGGATGGGTGAACCTGGCCTGAAAATCAACCACAAGCCCCTTTTCGTTGTGTTTGGAGAGGAGCTGAAGCTGTGTGAATAGGAGTTGAGCATGCGGCTGGCAGAGCAGGCAGGACCCACAGAACACCTGGGCCCACTGCCTGAGGGACAGTCACTCCCTTCTTCATTTGGCTGCTGCCCTGGGATCAAACGGATACAATAGAACCCACGGCGCACGGCTGCCAAGGAAGGGCAGGCCCAAGGGATTGGGCTCCAAGTCCTGGAAGTGGTTTCCCAAGTCACTAGATTTGCAGCGCACAAAACCGGAAAGGTCCCGGTAAACCTGTCCACTGGCACCTGGGCAGCGAAGCGCTTTGGCCGGAGGGCCTCAGGTCCCAGCAGCGGGATGGACAGCGGGGAGATGGCTGACCCTCCTTGGGGTGGTGTGCGTGACCTGCATGAGTGCCTGGGGCATCTCCTGCACGGAATGGCACCCGCACCAGGTGCCCCTGGCCTCGCCAGCCAGAGGACCAGTCCTGGACGGGGAGGGGGAGGACAAGAGCAGGTGAACAGGCCCCAGAACCCGGCTCCCTGACCCTGGCCATAATGCAGAGCTGCCTGGCGCACCTCAGACCACTCCCTGGCCCTCTGGTGGGCACGCCGGGGTGCAGACCCCTCGCCCCGCTGGCACCTCCGTGGCACGTGCGGGAGGGGCAGGAGCCGGGACCAGGAACCGCTGTGGTGAGAGCCAAAGGCACGGGGACTGGCCGCCACAGACCTTTGGCCACCGCAGTGGGGATGGGGGTGGGCGGGCGCTTGTGTGCCCGGGGGCCCGGGGGCCCCCGTGGCGGGGGGGCTAGGGGAGAGGAGCAGGTGACGTCACCCGGGGACCTGGGGCCCCCAGGGGCGGCGGCGAGAGCCCGACCTCGTGACCCGTCCGCGCCAATGGCCCTGCGGTCTCCCGGACGACGCGGAGGGGTCCGCGCTGCACCGCCGCCGCGCCCCCGCCCCGTGTCCGCACTGCAGAGAGCCGCGGCGAGCAGGCGCCGGCGCACTGGCCCACGTGCTGCGCGAGCGAGGGAGAGCCACAGTCTGAGCGAACGTCCGCGCTGGGAGCCAGGGGTGCCCGACCCCCGTCCGCCGCCGCCGCCGCCGCCGCGCATAGCCCCCGGAGAGCCCTCTGGGGACCCCGACCAGAAGGGACCTTGCCCTGGGAGAAGGTAACAGACCCACCTGGGGAGGGAGACGCTGGGCCCCGGGAGACTCCGCCGCCCCTCGCCTGTCCGCCCTATCAGAACTGAAGCAGCCTGCAGGGCAGGGGTCCAGGGTCCTGGGGCAGCGCGGGGAGGGGGCTGAGGCCCGCAGAGACCCCACGGGGGGTGGGGGTGGGGGGCTGGGCAGGGGCGGGGCCTGGCTGCAGAGGCGCCGCCCGGGGAGGAGGGCGGCTGGGGGTGGGGGTGGGGGTGGGCGTGGATGTGGGCGTGCGGAGAGGTGGGCATTAACCTCGCTCTCGCCCTGCTCGCATTCACAGGCTGTGGAGACCTGGGCCTTCTGCGATCACCCTAGGAGTTGATCCAGATATGTGCCTCACGCCCTGATCACTCCCCCCAAATTAGTATCCGCAGAGATTCGAGGACATGCCGTTGACCTTGTTACAGGACTGGTGTCGGGGGGAACACCTGAACACCCGGAGGTGCATGCTCATCCTGGGGATCCCCGAGGACTGTGGCGAGGATGAGTTTGAGGAGACACTCCAGGAGGCTTGCAGGCACCTGGGCAGATACAGGGTGATTGGCAGGATGTTTAGGAGGGAGGAGAACGCCCAGGCGATTCTACTGGAGCTGGCACAAGATATCGACTATGCTTTGCTCCCAAGGGAAATACCAGGAAAGGGGGGGCCCTGGGAAGTGATTGTAAAACCCCGTAACTCAGATGGGGAATTTCTCAACAGACTGAACCGCTTCTTAGAGGAGGAGAGGCGGACCGTGTCAGATATGAACCGAGTCCTCGGGTCGGACACCAATTGTTCGGCTCCAAGAGTGACTATATCACCAGAGTTCTGGACCTGGGCCCAGACTCTGGGGGCAGCAGTGCAGCCTCTGCTAGAACAAATGTTGTACCGAGAACTAAGAGTGTTTTCTGGGAACACCATATCCATCCCAGGTGCACTGGCCTTTGATGCCTGGCTTGAGCACACCACTGAGATGCTACAGATGTGGCAGGTGCCCGAGGGGGAAAAGAGGCGGAGGCTGATGGAATGCTTACGGGGCCCTGCTCTCCAGGTGGTCAGTGGGCTCCGGGCCAGCAATGCTTCCATAACTGTGGAGGAGTGCCTGGCTGCCTTGCAGCAGGTGTTCGGACCTGTGGAGAGCCATAAAATTGCCCAGGTGAAGTTGTGTAAAGCCTATCAGGAGGCAGGAGAGAAAGTATCTAGCTTTGTGTTACGTTTGGAACCCCTGCTCCAAAGAGCTGTAGAAAACAATGTGGTATCACGTAGAAACGTGAATCAGACTCGCCTGAAACGAGTCTTAAGTGGGGCCACCCTTCCTGACAAACTCCGAGATAAGCTTAAGCTGATGAAACAGCGAAGGAAGCCTCCTGGTTTCCTGGCCCTGGTGAAGCTCCTGCGTGAGGAGGAGGAATGGGAGGCCACTTTAGGTCCAGATAGGGAGAGTCTGGAGGGGCTGGAAGTAGCCCCAAGGCCACCTGCCAGGATCACTGGGGTTGGGGCAGTACCTCTCCCTGCCTCTGGCAACAGTTTTGATGCGAGGCCTTCCCAGGGCTACCGGCGCCGGAGGGGCAGAGGCCAACACCGAAGGGGTGGTGTGGCAAGGGCTGGCTCTCGAGGCTCAAGAAAACGGAAACGCCACACATTCTGCTATAGCTGTGGGGAAGACGGCCACATCAGGGTACAGTGCATCAACCCCTCCAACCTGCTCTTGGTAAAGCAGAAGAAACAGGCTGCAGTTGAGTCGGGAAACGGGAACTGGGCTTGGGACAAGAGCCATCCCAAGTCCAAGGCCAAGTAGGCTCGGGAGAACAGGGCAACATTTCCTACCACAGGCCAAGGAGACAAAAGAGATATTGGAAGGAGGGGAAAGAGAAGCCCAGACAAACAGCAGATGAGTTGAGTGGGGCAGAGGGACAGGGCAGCCAGACCAAGGCCAAGCCTTCTCACCCTTGGCCAGCTGGAAGGGACTTCAGCAACCAAGACCACCTGGCAACAGGCTCAGTGGGGGTCAGGTCCAGGTCCCCGAAGAGGTGCTGGAGAGGAAAGCAGGGAGCCACTGCATCCAGCACATGGGGTGCCTGGGCCTCAGATGGGGACCCCAAAGAAGCAGAAGCTGAAGAAGGTACGGCTGGGGGTTCTGTCCTGCTCATCCAACCACCCCTAAATACCCACCCTGTGGACTTTGAGCTGAACATGCCCACTGGCCCCCAGGCCACATGGGACCTGGAGGAGCCTACCTGGGGCCTGCCCCTGCCAGCAGGTGCCAGGGCTGGTGAGGAAGAGCTGGGGGGCAGAGGTAAAGCCCTGCAGGGGAGGCCACAGGGTCCATCCCGTCTTCAGGATCATCTACACTGCACTAGGGGAGCCCCAGGAAGGCAGCACCCTGGAGGCCCTGTGCCAGTGAGGACAGGAGACCCTAAGGCCCCGGGAGCCCAGTGCCAGCCAGAGGTTGTGCAGGCAAGGAGACCAAAGATTGATGAGAAGACCCCCAGCAGGGGTACTGGGTACCCGGCAGGCCAGTGCCCTCACAGTTGACTTGGACCAGGGTGGCTGTGAAGGGAAGTCTTTGTTGCAAAGGAGGAGGAAAAGGGAGGACTTGGTAGGGTTTTGTTTCTTCTGCTTGTTTCTGTACAGGGCCACCAGACTCCTGGAGAGATCAAGCAAGGAGAACCTGGGGCTGCCATGGCCAAAGCAACTCAACAGATGCCAATGCCAATTCCAAGGCCAGCCACAACCCTGCCACCTTGGGGAATCCAGCCTGGAGGCATCCCCTAAGCAGCCAGCCATGGCCTGGGTGGAGGCACCTGAAGACGTCTGTCCCAAACTCCCCCAGCCCTGAGCTGGGAGATGACAGGGGGAAAGAGGCCCTCTCAAGGGTGCCAGATGCCTGGGTCTCCCAAGAGGGGTCCCCCAACTCACTGTTCCCGGGACAGGCTGCCCCCTGTTCCAGGAAGCTCATCCTCACCTGTGTAGGCCCCTGTAGTGACCCACGCGTCCAGCAGACGCCCACCCACCGCTAGCCGTTGTTCCTGTGCAAAGTAGTGTGCTATGCACCCACCCAGGTGGCCGCCTCTGGGCCCAAGGCACATGCTGTGAGCTTCCTGTGAGCCCAGGCTCTGCTCACTGCTGTCCCGCGTCATGAGCACCACCTCTGCTTTCCCTGTGTAGATCTAGGCCAGTGGCTGCTTGTTCTTGTGGAGCTGTGTGTGTTCTTCTCTGAGCAGCTCCTCCCCGGAGTCCCCCAGCACAGTCCCAGGAGATGACAGGAAGGAAGCACCAGGGCAAGGCGGACGCTCACCCTGTGACCACGATGGTGACCGTGACTGTGGGAGGAAGAACTGGACCCAGGACGGAGCGGGGCTGCCCTGCCTGAGGCTCCCGAGGAGCTTTGTGCTTTGGTGTTCCACCCCTGTTGTTACTCATGACTCAGTTTCCTTAACCTGGTAGGGTGTTCCCTGCTGTGTTTTCCAGTGTCCTGTGACTGTCCTGTGCGGGCCATAGGGCAGGGCCCTGCCCCAGCAGATGGGCTTGGGAGGGGACTCCCTAAAGCCAGTGGACACTGCCAGAGTCTACCTTCCTGGCAAGAGGCAGACCCCGGGGCCCTCAGGAAGGAGGGAGTTGGCAGCGGGGGCTGCAGCAGGAGTAGGAGCAGATGAGGCGTCTTGCCAGGAACCTCAGGAGGAGGGGGCCCGGGACCTGTGTGGGACCTGTGTCCTGTGGTGGCCGTTTGCAGTTTCTCTCTGTGTTGTGATTCCCTTCTCTTCAACGTTTTCAGTACGTGTTTCTCTTCAATAAACTTCATTCAGTGTTCCAGCCGGCCTCGCCTCTGCTGTGGGAAACTGGGGATGAGGTTGGCTGGGCATGGGGTTGGGGTGGAGTGAGGGCCACAGTGGCTTTGTTAACACTGGTGTATACTTGGGGCTCGGTCTGCAAGGCATTCTAGAATGCCCTATCTGCGCATGTTGGTCATGAGCTAGGGTTCACGGCCCACGGACCCAGGCAAAGAAACCCAGCTGAGCAGGCTGGATAGTCCCAGTAGACAGGACACTGGTAGGCCCAGGCAGTGGCTGGTTGGGTCCTCAGGGCACTGGTTGAGCTTCTCAGAAATGAATAACATATTTAAGGAAGGGTGAGGGACAGCAGGCTGGACCAGTGGCCCCAGGATCCCTTGTATCACTATTGGGCTTCCACACCTGGAGCATCAAAACCAGGCCCATCTCTGTGAGTGTGTGTGAGATGGTGAATATGTGTGAGTATGCGTACTAGTGATTGTGTGAGAGTGAGTGTAGGAGAGTTTGTGTGTGTCATGTGTCAGCGAATGTGTGAATATGTGAGTGTGTGAGATGGTGTGTGAATATGTTAATGTGTGTTTGTATTTGAGTGTGAGTATGCATCAGTTTTTGTGTGTGAGTGAATGTGTGTTAGTGGTCAAATGTATGTTTATGTGTTTAATGTATATGTGTGTTAGTAAAAGTATGTGAATATGTGAGAGTGAGACGGTGTGTGAATGTGTGTATGACAGTGAATGTGTGGGTGACTTTGTGTTGTTGAGTGTGCACATGAGTGAATGTGTGTTTCAGAGTGTGTTTATGAGTTTGTGTGTGCATATGCGTGAATGTGTGGAATGGGTGAGTGTGTGAGTATGTGTGTTAGTGTGTATGAGACAGTTTATGAGAGGGTGTGTGAATTTTCGTGTGAGTGCAAATGTTGGGTGATTGATTTTTTTTTTATTTCTTTAAGGGATCAAGAGGGTTGGAAAGAAGGCAGAGAGAGGTAGAAGTTTCTTTGCCACCAAACAGCAGTGAGACTTTTGTTGCCTCTAGGCTGATGGCCCTAGAGCTGGGCCTACTAGCTAATCATCCATTTCTGACCCCTGGCACATTCCTATTTTTAAGGTTCACATGGCTTCTTGGCCTTTTGGCTACGATCAAGTGCAGTATCTATTTTAAGGTCCCTAATCTAAAAATAGATATGTGTTACAGTTATTGTGTGATTAAAGCTGATAGAAACATCCTCGTATGAATCTCTGTGGACTTTTGTTTTCCTTTCTCCCGAGTAAATACCTAGGAATGGAATGGCTGGGCCACAGGGTAGTGGTATATTTAACTTTATAAGAAACTTCACACAGATTTCCAAAGCTATTGTGACAATTTATACTCTAATGAGCAGTGCTCGTTTCTTAGGGTACTCCAAAAAATCTTGTATTGCCAGCTTTAAACTTTTAACCATTCTGTTGGGTGACTCACTGTGGTATCTCACTGAGGCATTAGTTTGCATTTCTGTGATGACTAATAATATCGAGCACTTTTTCATGTGCTTATTAGCTATCTGTCTTCCTTAGCGAAGTGCCTGTTCAAGTCCCTTGCCTAGTTTTTACCTGGCTTTTTAAATTTTTTATTAGAGTTGTGCAAGTTGTTAAAATACTCTGGATACAAGTACTTTGATATGTGTGCTGGGAACACTTTTTACCAGTTGTGTCTTTCTTATGCATATTCTTAATGGTGTCTGTTCATAAGCTGATGGGTTTAATTATAATGAAGTCCATTGCATCATTTGTTTCTTTTTACAATGACCACTGCCTGGGTCTTGCCTAAGATATCTTTCATTGGCCCACATTTGCAAACATATTGATCTATGTTTTCTTCTAGAACCTCTGTAGTTGTAGCTTTTGCATTTAGGTCTTAGAATATACCTATATTGGCTGGGTGCAGTGGCTCACACCTGTAATCCCAGCACTTTGGAAGGCCAAGGTGGGAGGATTGCCTGAACCCAGGAGTTTGAGACCAGCCTTAGCCTCAAAAAACAAACAAACAAACAACCCCAAAAGTTAGCTGGGTGTGGTGGTGCATGCCTATTATCCCAGCTACTTGGGAGGCTGAGGTGGGAGGATCTCTTGAGCCCAGGAGATTGAGCCTGTGCTCTAGCCTGGGCGACAGAGCCAGCTCCTGTCTCAAAAAAAAAAAGTACCTAAATTAGTTTTTGGTGTGGGGTCAAGATGCATTTGAAAAGACTTTCCTTTCGACATTGATTTTATTTAGAGTGTTGGTCAAAAACTGTTTGACTTTGTACCTGTGGGTCTATCACAGGGCTCCTCTCTTCTACATGTTTCACTTCTAAAGCTTCCATTTGATTCTCCATTATCGGTGTTGTTTTTCTGTTGAGATCCTTCCTTAATCATTTCTTCATCATTTTCATGTTTCTCTTTCAATTCTGGAACAACACATTTACTTCTAATAACTGTCTTTAAGTTCTCATCTGCTAATCCCATCGTCCTTGCCATTTCTGGGCCTATTGAAACATTTTCTCCTTGGTGTGGGTCACGTTTTTCTCCTTCCCATGTCTAGAAGTTTTTGTGTAAAATCTGGATATTTTAGGTTAGGATGTAAAATATCTTGGTCTTGTTGTTTCCATTAATTCTGTGTTGAGTTGTTCCAGCAGGCAGTTTGTTTACTTACAGAGCAGCATAAGCCTTTGAAGCCTTGTTTTTAAACTTTGTTAATGTGGGTTTTCATTCTACCTTAGACTTGCTCCCGAGGTGTGGCATTTCTAGGCTCTGTACTGAATGCCCAGCTATTTCAATGTGGTCTCTCCACTGTGGCTGGTGGGAAATTGAACATCTCTGAACACTGTGTGAGCTTTGACAATTGTCCAGCTCACAGCTTTGGAGGTGTTCTGTGCTCAACCTTGTGGTGTCTCTATCTGAGCAGAACTTAGTATGCAGCCAAAGACTCAGTGGGAACTTTGTGAGGTGCTCTGGAGCTCTTTCTTTGCTCATTTCCCTTCTCTTCTGTACAGTGACTGCAAATTCTAGAAACCCCAGTGGCATTCAATTGCACAACTCAGTGAGAATGCCACATGCTGTTTGCATTCTTCCTTTGCTTTGCCATAGACTGTAAGTGCTTCTAAGCTGATATCTGGGCTGATCTTTGGCCCTACATCATTTGTTTCCCTTCTCTCAAAACTTGCAGTCCTGGTGAGCTCTCCACAGCCAAGGCACTCACTCTTTGATGAATGGGGTTGAATGATCTGTAGATATTTGGAGGCTGTAGTGAAAGTTAGTGTGGCTGGGTCCCAGGGTGATGGACAGAGAGGCAAGGAGAAGACAATAGCTCCATAGGGAGGTCAGACAGGGCCACGAAGGGTCTGTAATGCTAAGTACTTTGCTAACAACTTTGGACTTCTGCCCTAGAAGTGCAGCAAGGCACCTGGGTCTTCAGGGAATGACCACTGCCCTGATATTTGTGAAGGATAGGAATGACCTGCTCATGTCTGTGAACTAGAAAAGTCAGCGAGGAAGCAGTGTTAGGGATAGCTTGGAGGGGGCATTCGTATACACCAGAGGTGGCTACAGAGATCGAGATGTTGGCTAAATCCAGGGACTACTGAGTGCTCTCATCTGCTGAGGTTGGAGAGACACCAGAGCCAGGAGACAAGGAGATTTCTGTTGGACAGGGTCTCTTTCCAGTCTTGAGCCACACTTCCCCTTGGGAAACTAGAGTTTTGACTGATCATCAAAAAGCCCCTAGAGGTAGCTCTTGTCAGCTAGCACTACTCACCTTCTTCCCATCCCCCCATCCAAAACTCCAGGCCATGGGGTCACATTGTGTCACAAGAGGGACGGCCTGGGATCTTCCGGAGGCCATGTGCTGCTGGCTGCCTTCTCTCCTCTGAGCTGACACCCTTAAAAGCCTTATTTCTACCAGAAAGTGTGGTATGTCCTCAAGGAGGCACAGTTCAGCCCAGCTCAGTGTGATGGTTAATACTGTCAACTTGATTGGATAGAAGAATATAAAGTATTGTTCCTGGGTGTGTCTGTGAGGGTGTTGCCAAAGGAGATTAACATTTGAGTCAGTGGGCTGGGAAAGGCGGACTCACCCTTAAACTGGGTGGGCACAATGTAATCAGCTGCCATCGAGGTTAGAATATAAGCAGGCAGAAAAATGTGAAAAGAGACACTGGCCTAGCCTGTCAGCCTGCATCTTTCTCCCATGCTGGATGCTTCCTGCCCTTAAACATCGGACTCCAAGTTCTTCAGTTTTGAGACTCAGGCTCTCCTTGCTCCTCAAGCTTACAGACAGCCTATTGTGGGATCTTGTGATCGTGTAAGTTAATACTTAATAAACTCCCACATATATTATATATATATATATATACACACACTTAATAAACTCCCATATATATATATATGGTTATAAACTCCCATATATATATATGGGAGTATAAACACTTAATAAACTCCCATATATATATATATATGTATATGTGTATATATATATAGTTTATATATATGTATATGTATATATAGTTTTTATATATATATGTATATGTGTATATATATATGTATATAGATCCCATTAGTTCTATCCATTTAGAGAACCCTGATATGCTCAGTTCCAACAGACTTTCACAGCATAGGCCCATCCTTCAAGCAGGCAACTTGCTTGCTGTGAGCTATGACTATGAGCTATCCTATTGGTTTGCTCCTAAAGTCTTGCCTACAGGGAAAATTTATTGTGGCATCCCCCAGGGAACTTGATCACTGCCCAGTGCTCACAAACTCATGATTTGAGAAAACCATGGGCATCTTTTTCTTGTGGCTAACTAGACCAACGAGGAAACTATCTTCCACAGAACCAACCAAAAGGACACAGACGAATGGCCTGAACTTCACGGAGCAATTTGGAAGCAGGCAACAGAGAAACACAGCACAGAACACTTATGGGGCCAACTCCAGCCAAACCTTGATATTTCCTTGGCAACCATGGTCCCAAAATTCACTCTGATATGTGATATGAGACACCGTTCAACACACATAGCACCTGGGAAGCCAGGACCCCGGAGTCCTCCAGGAGAGGACAGGGACACGAGTCCCTGGAACCAGGGTGCAGCCATCTGCAGGCTTCTCTCCCAGAAACCGTGGCCCTGCCCCTGAATGCTGGTTGACTGCTGAGTCACCATCCAAACTCCAAAGTCAAAGTGAGGAGGGCCGGCAGGCTCGAGGGCAGAAAGAGCAGGAGCAGGGGCCTCTGACAGGAATCCCTGGACTCCTGGCAGAAAGGGCCAGCCATGCCCAGATGACACTGCCTCCTTGGGAGGAGAGTGAGTGTGCCCCATGGGTTGGAAGAGCCAGTGGCACACACAGGAAGGAAGGGAGCTGGAAGGCAGCTGTGGGAGGAATGATGCTGATGGCATCTAGCTGCAGGCAAGCTCACTGGGAGCAAGCACCGGGCTGAGCTTGCTATGAAGGCCATTTCAATCCCAAACCAAGGCAGAGAGGACTGATCACCAATGCAGTTGTACCCTGAGCCCCATGGAACCACCCAGCCCACTGCCACCGGCCTCCACAACCAATGCCCCACCAACGCTCCTCCAGAGGGACTTGACTTCAATGAGTTGAAGACTGTGCCACAGGCAACCAGCTGTGTCAAGGACCAACGCAGAACAAGCTCACACTTATTCAGCCCAGCAGGACCCTGAGTCTGGGAAGCATGGCGTGCCACATCGGGTTGTCCCTCAGAAAAACCCTGCTAGGTGGGAAGGAGCCACCTGCACCTGTGAGGCTGCGGAGGACAGGCTAGGGGCAGGGCAGGTTGTACGTGCATGTGCATGCGTGCGTGTGCGTGCGTGCGTGCGTGTGTGTGTGTGTGTTTCCGTGTGTGTGTGGGTGGGGCACAGCCAGACAGAAGCTGAGGAAGTACTGCTCCCCCCACCCCAGGTAGGGGCAGCCAGCCAGGGAATGGCAGGGTCATATGGCAGGAGGCAGGTGCTAGCCTGGCAGCCCAAGGACCTGTCGTGGGCTCTGGGCAGGGCAGAGAGCCGTCGGGAGCAGAATCAAAGAGGGCATTGGAGGAAGAAGCTTCTGAGCAGTCAGAGCAGGCCGCGGCCGGTGGGGAGCTGGCCCGAAGCCACAGACTGGGGAGCTTTGGCCCTGCCTGAGGTAGGACGGTAGGGAGGAGCCCCAGGCTCTCCCTGGAGGACACAAGGGGGCCCCCGTTGGCTGTGCAGAGCCTGGGCCCTCGGACATTGTGGTGCACAGCAAAGAAGCCCTTCTTGGTTCAAGAGCAGACAATGCTCCCACTCAACCTGTGGAGGCTGTAAGGGACACGTCCGAGGTCAGCCAGCTGGGAGGCAACCAGGTGGGGAGAAACACACACGGAGACCTCCTCTGCGTCCCGGCCTGCGTTGGAGGCACTCAGCAAGGCTGGCTGTCCTTGGGACTTGTTTCTCAAGAGCCAGTACTACAGCAGGTGCTCTACGGAGGCGTCTGGTCACCAAGCAACCCAGAGCCTTCTGTGAATCTTGATTGCAGCATCTCCAATCAAGTGCCACCTCACAGTACAGTGCTTCCGTGTTTATCCCTTCAGGTGTCCAACATCTGCTGGGCACGCTGGCTCTGTGCAGTGCCTTCTGCTGGCAATCAGGGGGACCAAGCCAAAAAGATGGAAGCCTCTGGGAGCCAAACCAAGCAGGGGCCACCTATACAATTCCTCTACCTTTACCAGGGAGTCTGCCTGCCCACAGGGCAGGGCTGGGTGCTGCGGGGCAGGGTGGGGAGGGACGGGAAGATGGAGAGTGGCAGGCTGGCGGGAGGGAGGAAGAGGGCAGAGCGAATGTCTACCTGGGTGTCACACGAGCCACTTGAATGTGACCACGGCCACAGGAACTCATCCCCATGCCCGTCACCCCTCTTTCCACAAAAGGCAAGAGGAAAGACAACTGCCAGCATGATCCCCATGTCAGACAAGGGTCCTGCCTTCCACCCGGTCCACACACAACAAGGAACCCGGGACCCTGCCTGAGCCCTCCCCGGGCCTTCTCCCTCTCTAGAGCCTGTATCTTCTGCTTTCCCTTAGACCCTCCTTGCCCAGCCCCGGGGTCGGGGGGGCCTGGACTTGGGCTGCAGCCCCCTCGCTGCTCCAGGCTTCCCATCCTGCTGATTAGTTCCCCCAGACGTCTGGCCGGCCGGTCTCAGCATCACCACCTCCTGGCTTCAAACCCATCGGGGCTCCCCACAGCCCTCAGGATAAGGTCCCGGTACCCTGGCAGGCTGGAGCAGGCTGACAGATTCAGGCACTTGCTGGAAAGAAGGCACCGAGAGCCTCCTCTGGGCCACACTCTGTTCTAGGTGCTGGGGATCTCAGGGTAGGAAACGCTGTACTACGGTTTGAACGTTGTGTCCCTGCCAAAATTCATGTTGAAAGTTAGTCCCTAACGCAGCAGTGTTAAGGGGTGAGACCTTTAGGAGGCAATGAGACCATGGGGGCAGAGCCCTCGGGGATGAGAGGAGTCCCTTGTAAAAGGCTGGAAAGCACTAGGTAAGCCCCCTTTTTGCTGTTCCCTCCCCACGACCATGTGAGGACGCAGGCACAAGACACCATCTTGGAAGGAGAGACTGAGCCCCCACCAGATGCTGAACCTACTGGTGCCTTGATCTTGGGCTTCCCAGCCTCCGGAATTGGGAACAAGAAATTTCTGTTCTTTTGTAAGTTTCCCAGTCTCCAGTGCCTTGACTTTGAGCTTCCCAGCCCCCAGAATTGGGAGCAATACATTTCTGTTCTTTGCAAGTTACCCAGTCTCAGGTATTTTGCTATAGCAGTGCAAATGGGCTAGACACACAGGCAAGTCCACTCCACCTTCTGGGGCTCTAGCTTGCCACCTGGGGAGGGAGCCCCTGATACCCAAAAGCAAAGACTCAGACCAGCATTTCTCACGTGCCGACACATGTACTGATGCCGCCAATAAGAATATAAACCGAGGGCACGTGATTTGTGTGTCCCAGCAGAGGGGGCCTATGGGAGGAGGGGACAGTTCAGCTGAGACATGAAGGAGGAGGAGGTGCAGGAGGAGGGGGAGGAGGAGGAATAGGAGGAGGAGGAGGAGGAGGGAGAGGAAGAGCAGGAGGAAGCTGCTGCCACAGAAGGTTCTTGGGCCTGGATGGCTCACACAGAGGAAGGAGGGATGGCAAAGGCCGAAGGTGGGAACAAGCCCTGTGCTTTGGGGCCAGCTGAACAGGCCAGATCGGCAGGAATGTGGTGAGAGGAGCTGGGGGCATGGCAACATGGGGTGGATTTCGGGGAAGGAAGGAGAGCATCAGAGGAAGCCAGATCCCCAGGAGCAGCGTGGGGGGTGCTCTTGACCAGGATGGGGACTTTGAGATTACTCTAAGGAGATGGGGTGCCACAGGGAGGAGCAGGGTCTGGTGGTGTTGCAAAAAGATCACCCTGGCTGCTGAGGGGGTGTTGGTGGAGCAGGGAGGAAGCGGAGTGGAGGCAGGGAGAACAGGAGGCAGGGCGGGCCAAGGACCACGGAGATGAGAAGGGTAGCAGTCTTGGAGCAGAGTCAACAAAATCCAATGATGGGTTAGATTTGGGAGTGAGGAACAAAGGAGAGGGGAGAGAATCTTGGCTGCTTTGTTTGAGTCACCAGGTAGGAGGCAGAGCCCTTTGCACAGAGGGGGAAGCCCGGGGACAGTGTAGGCATGGTGAAGGGGACGAAGCCCTCCGGTTTGAACATCTTAGCTCTGAAATGTCTGCGGGGCATCCACGTGGGCAGATGGATGGGTACGTGCGGAGCTTGGAAGAGAGGTCACGTCCAGAGACAGAGCATTCATCGGAGGTGCCGTATGTCCCAGGGTTGAGGCTGGGAGCCCGCCCCCACCACGCTTAGATCCAGCAAAGTAGGAGGAGGAGGAGGAAGGTCCAAGGGCAGAGAGGCAGGTAGAGAGGGAGGAGGTCAGCCCAAAAGTGGGGTGGGGGAGAGGAAGAAGCTGAGAAAGGAAATGGTTTTGAGAAGGAAGGAGAGTCAACTGTGTTGAGAGGTGGAGACAATGGGGACAGAGGACTGACAAAAGAAAGACAGTTGACGTGTCACAGCCCAGCCTTGCCCGGGGTTGGCGGGGGGCAATGGGTGTCCTGCAGCGTCCTGGACTTGGAGTCAGCAGGTGCAGAAGGAAGGAGAGTGGGAAGAGACAAGGCCGAAAACAGGAAATTAGTTGCGAGCCGGCCGGTGGGCTGGCTGGGCCAGTTGGAGACACCAGACCCACAGATGTTCCCAGGGCGGGGGCGGCCGAGGCGGGGGGGGGGAGGGGGGGGGGGTCGGTGCCCTTTCTGAAGAAGGACTCCAGAAAAATCACGGCTGAAAACAAGAGAGAGGACAATATGTGGTATAAGCCGTGACAAGTCTAACACTAAAGGTTCGATAGACAGACACTCTCACAGCAGAGGTAAAGAGCAGCAGTTTGCCTGAATGAGAACAAGCAGTCTTGGCCCTCAAGGGGGAGAAGCGGTGGGGGGCAGGGGGGCGGGGAGGACTGGACACACGAGCCCAACCGGGGAGGCTGCTTTGTGACAGAAGACATGCGTTTCTTCGCTGACCCCACGTTTACTACCTGGGAGGTAGAAAAGCCTGGGGAGCAAGACCATGCCAACCTAAGTACCACACAGAGAGGGAGCCTCCCTATAAGAATGGTATTCAGAAATAGGCACTGCAGTGGGGACGCGTGCGCCCTAGTGAACTATGTGCATATTCAGGCAGGGGAAGGCAGACAAAGGTTTTTCAGGACAAGTGAAGAGGATTACATAATTGTTTTGACATAATGATCTTTGGCTACAAGGATGAATAACAAGGGTAGCATTGGTCAGGGGCTTGGACAGGAAGTTGCTGGGCAGGTGTCCTCACAGAAGTATTATTTGTGTCAGGTTGCAACAGCCTTTGTGCAAATTTGTGGGTTTTGCAGTCTTCCGTGATAGCTTTTGTTATCAGGCATTCGTGCATGGGAACCCTGCCTAGGTGGCCCTCCACAGCTCTATTTGTCAGGTTTTTGGATTTTTGTTTGCTTGAACAACAAGTGACTCCATCTTGATTCTGAAACCTTTCACAACCATACGGGCAAGCCAAAGTCTAATTGTGAGGCCCACTCCAATGCGACCTGCTTCTGGGCAACGTGATAGACTGGCCATGGCTTATATCACAAAAGGAGAAAGGCTTCGATCTTGACGCTAGGAACTTTCTCCTGGAAACGGGCCGATGACGCCTGTCATCTGCGAGATGAGGAGGAAAGGAGCAAAGGAGATTCACAGAAGAGGAACCAGGAACGGCCAGTGAGAGGATGCACGACCTCGCCACCGCTCGGGGAAACGCAAGGCACACAGCGATGAGGTGGTGTCTCTCCCCGTGGGATGGGCAAGCAGGCGAGGCTGGACAGGACCAAAGGCTGCTCGGGCTGTAGGAACCCAGGACCGCTCCCACGCTGCCAGTGCGAGGGAACATGGGTTCAGCCACGCACCGGAGGTCACAGATGAGCAATGCTTGGTTGTGGCGTTGATAGGCACAGCCCAAGTCCCAGCAGAGCCACTGCCTGCTGTGCACCCCAGAGTCTTTCTGGCTGACGGTGGTGGCTCAGACAGGCATGCGGGATGCCACTGGCAGCAGTGTCTGCAACAGCCAAACAGTGGGAAGGACCGGAATGTCCATCCCCAGGGTCATAGACAAATACTCTGGGGCTGTGATTCAGCAAGGAGCTTGGGCGAGCTGGACGCTTGGGGGAAACCTTGGCCAGCAAGTTGCCAAACAGGAGGTCAGGCAAGGAAAGAGAAGGGGATGAGGGAACGACACCCAGAGGTGTGACCCCGTGGGAACCTGTTTGCCACCTGCCTGGTGGAGATGCTGTTCACATGGCCCCAGCCTCCCATGATGGGTCAGGTGCAGGGTGGTCAGATCCACGGGCGCAGAATCTCTGTTTTGAGCGGAGGCTGCTCTGCCCTGGCGCAGTGTCTAGCCCCGGCAACAGAGGACTGGGGAAGGACCTATGGAAGGCTGACTCAGGCCCTGACAGACGGAGGTCTCCAGGGAGGTACGACACCCATGCTGCCCTCAGGGCCAAGAGAGCAATGTCCCAGAGCCCATCAGGCTGGTGAGGGCACAGGGGGCAGGGGACAAATTGAGTAGCCCACTCCGCGCGGACTACCTTTCCAGGCACACACTCAGGCAGAGACCCAGACTCGGGACTTGCGGCTGCAAAACGGACGAGGCCCGGGCATACTTGGGTGCTGGGTCACCCTCCTAGGTGCTGGCTCCTGGCACCAGGGCAGCAAAGTGCTTCGGCCGGAGGGCTGCGGGTCCCTGAAGCCGGATGGGCAGCGGGGAGATGGCAGACCCTCCGTAGGATGGTGTGCGTGAGCTGCGTGAGCGCCTGGGGCATCTCCTCCACGGAATGGCACCCGCACCAGGTGCCCCTGGCCTCGCCTGGCCTTGCCAGCCAGAGGACCAGTCCTGGACGGGGAGGGGGAGGACAAGAGCAGGTGCACAGGCCCCAGAACCCGGCTCCCTGACCCTGGCCAGAACGCAGAGCTGCCGGACGCACCTCAGACCACTCCCTGGCCCTCTGGTGGGCACGCCGGGGTGCACACCCGTCGCCCCGCTGGCGCCTGCCTCCGGGGCACGTGCGGGAGGGGCAGAGGCCTGGACCAGGAACCGCTGTGGTGAGAGCCAAAGGCGCTGGGACCTGCGGCCCACAGACCTTTGGACACCCCGGTGGGGGTGGGGGTGGGCTGGCGCCTGTGTTCCCGGGACCCGCGGCGCGAGGGGAGTGGGGGTGGGGCTAGGGGATAGGAGCAGGTGACGTCACCCGGGGTCCTGGGGCGCTCGGGAAGGCGGCGAGAGCCAGGCCACGTGACCCGCCCGCGGCAACGGCCCTGCGCTCTCCCGGGCCGGCGACGCGGAGGGGTCCGCGCTGCACCGCCGCCGCACCCCGGCCGCGTGACCGCACTGCAGAGAGCGGCTGCGAGCAGGCGCCTGCGCACCGGCCCAAACGCCGAGCGAGCGAGGGAGAGGCACAGTCAGAGGGAACGCCCGCGCGGGGAGCCAGGGGCGCCCGACCCCGCCGCCGCCGCAGCGGCGCGCAGCCCCCGACGCGCCCTGTGGGGACCCGGACCAGGAGGGACCCTGCCCCGGGAAAAGGTATCAGACCCACCCGGGGAGGGGGACGCTGGGTCCCGGGAGACTCCGCCGCCCCTCGCCTGTCCGCCCTAACAGAACTGAAGCAGCCTGCGGGGCAGCGGTCCGGGGTCCGGGGTCCGGGGTCCGGGGTCCGGGGGCGGCGCGGGGATGAGGCCAAGACCCGCAGGGACCACCCCCCCGGGGGGGCGGGGCGGGACAGGGGCGGGGCCTGGCTGCAGAGGCGCGGCCAGGGGAGGAGGGCGGCTGGGGGTGGGAGTGGACGTGGACGTGGACGTGGGCGTGGGGAGGGGTGGGCATTAACCTCGCTCTCGCCCGCTCGCATTCACAGGCTGTGGAGACCTGGGCTCCGACCCCAGTTCATCCCCCCACACCCCCGCCGCCCCGTGCCACCCTGGTCCGCGCTGGGAACCCTATCCTGCCCCTCGTGTCAGCCCGGCACTGGCCAGAATCGCGGGCATGGCGGTGACCATGCTGCAGGACTGGTGCCGGTGGATGGGGGTCAACGCTCGCAGGGGCCTGCTCATCCTGGGCATCCCGGAGGACTGTGATGATGCCGAATTCCAAGAGTCCCTCGAGGCTGCCCTGAGGCCTATGGGACACTTTACAGTGCTAGGCAAAGCGTTTCGAGAGGAGGATAATGCCACCGCGGCCCTGGTCGAGCTCGACCGGGAAGTCAACTATGCTTTGGTCCCCAGGGAAATCCCCGGCACTGGGGGCCCGTGGAACGTGGTCTTTGTGCCCCGTTGCTCAGGCGAGGAGTTTCTCGGTCTCGGTCGCGTGTTCCACTTCCCGGAGCAAGAGGGGCAGATGGTGGAGAGCGTGGCCGGCGCCCTGGGTGTGGGGCTGCGCAGGGTGTGCTGGCTGCGATCCATCGGTCAGGCGGTCCAGCCCTGGGTGGAGGCCGTGAGGTGCCAGAGCCTGGGCGTGTTTTCCGGGAGGGACCAGCCAGCCCCAGGGGAGGAGTCCTTTGAGGTCTGGCTAGACCACACCACCGAAATGCTGCATGTGTGGCAGGGGGTCTCGGAAAGGGAGAGGAGGAGGAGGCTGCTGGAAGGCTTGCGTGGGACCGCCCTGCAGCTCGTGCACGCGCTCCTGGCGGAGAACCCCGCCAGGACGGCGCAGGACTGTCTGGCGGCCCTGGCCCAGGTGTTTGGAGACAACGAGTCCCAGGCGACCATCCGGGTGAAGTGTCTGACCGCTCAGCAGCAGTCAGGCGAGCGTCTCTCAGCTTTCGTGTTGCGGCTGGAAGTGCTGCTGCAGAAGGCCATGGAGAAGGAGGCCCTGGCCAGAGCATCCGCCGACCGCGTGCGCCTGAGGCAGATGCTCACCAGGGCCCACCTTACTGAGCCTCTGGATGAAGCACTGAGGAAGCTGAGAATGGCCGGGAGGTCTCCAAGTTTCTTGGAGATGCTGGGGCTCGTTCGGGAGTCTGAGGCATGGGAGGCCAGTCTAGCCAGGAGCGTGAGAGCCCAGACACAGGAAGGGGCCGGTGCCCGGGCTGGTGCCCAGGCTGTTGCCAGAGCCAGCACTAAAGTAGAGGCGGTCCCAGGAGGTCCTGGTCGGGAGCCAGAGGGCCTCCTCCAGGCAGGAGGCCAGGAGGCTGAGGAGCTCCTCCAGGAGGGGCTCAAGCCCGTCCTGGAGGAATGTGATAACTAGGTTGGGGCTGGGGAGGCAGCCCAGCGCGAGTCCTCCCCGGGCAAATAGGCTCCGAGGGCCCCGGGGCCTCCTCTCCTCCTCTCAGGCAGCAGGGCCCTGGAGACAGGCGGAGGCGGGGCCAGGGCCGGTCCCTCACCCCACATCGGGATCGGGGCCCCCCACTTCCCCCCAAGGGGCCCTGCCCACCACCACCTTCCCGGTGACCCAGATGACCACATTTAATACCAAATGGGGTGGGGGGAGGCGCCCCTCCAGTGCCAGGGGCACGTGCTGTGAGCTTCCTGGGAGCCCAGGTTGTGCTCACTGCTCTCCCGTATCGTGAGCACCACCTCTGCTTTCCCTGCGTAGATCTAGGCCAGGGGCTGCTTGTTTTTGTGGAGCCGTGTGTGTTCTTCTCTGAGCAGCTCCTCCCCAGAGGACCCCAGCGCAGTCCCGGGAGATGGCGGAAAGAAGGCACCAGGGCACAGTGGACACTCATCCCGTGACAGCGATGGTGACCATGACTGTGGGAGAAAGAACAGGACCCGGGATGGAGTGGGGCTGTCTGAGTTTCCCCAGTGAACTTTGTGCTTTGGCGTTCCACCCCTGTTGTTACTTGTTACTGAGTTTCCTAGACCTGGGGTGGGTGTTCCCCCAGGAGGAGGGGGGTCCCGACCTGTGTCCTGTGGTGGCCATTTGCAGCTTCTGTGTTGTGATTCCCTTCTCTTCAACGGTTTCAGTACATATCTCTCTTCAATAAATTTCATTCAGTGTTCCAGCCGGCCTCGCCTCTGCTGTGGGAAACTGCATGGGGTGCGGGGTGCGGGGTGCAGTGTTGGCTGGGGACAAGGTGAGGTGAGGTGCCACAGTGGCTGGGCTAACATCGGGGTGTGTGGGGTGCTTGGTCCCTGAGGGTCTGTGTGGTCCCCTGGGCTGCACGGGATGGCGTGGTAGTCTTGAGCAGGGGCTGATTGGGTTCCCAGGGCACGCTGATCACCTCCCAGGAGTAGGTGGTTTGGACGTTGCAGACAGGCAGAGGGACAGTAGGCTAGGTCCTGGTATCCAGGATCCCTGACAGCACTGCGGGGTGGGGTGGGGGGGGCGGCGCTCAGGGCTTTCAGAAGGGTCAGAGTGGCCACATGTGTAACCTCAGGCTGGAAGCCAAGGTCAGGGAAGAGCCCCAGGAGGGCCTGGGCATGAAGTCAGAGGCCCACACGGGAGCCATGTGGAGGACTCCGCGGGTGGGGGACCGCTCTTGGGAGACCCAGGCAGCTGACACCCTTGAGAGGGCCTCTTTCCCCCTGCCTCTCCCAACCCAGGACAAGGAGTGGGGGGCAGACATCTTCAGGTGCCCCCACCCAGGCCACAGCTGGCCCCGATCCCGATGTGGGGTGAGGGACCGGCCCTGGCCCGGCCTCCGCCTGTCTCCAGGGCCCTGCTGCCTGAGAGGAGGAGAGGAGGCCCCGGGGCCCTCGGAGCCTATTTGCCCGGGGAGGACTCGCGCTGGGCTGCCTCCCCAGCCCCAACCTAGTTATCACATTCCTCCAGGACGGGCTTGAGCCCCTCCTGGAGGAGCTCCTCAGCCTCCTGGCCTCCTGCCTGGAGGAGGCCCTCTGGCTCCCGACCAGGACCTCCTGGGACCGCCTCTACTTTAGTGCTGGCTCTGGCAACAGCCTGGGCACCAGCCCGGGCACCGGCCCCTTCCTGTGTCTGGGCTCTCACGCTCCTGGCTAGACTGGCCTCCCATGCCTCAGACTCCCGAACGAGCCCCAGCATCTCCAAGAAACTTGGAGACCTCCCGGCCATTCTCAGCTTCCTCAGTGCTTCATCCAGAGGCTCAGTAAGGTGGGCCCTGGTGAGCATCTGCCTCAGGCGCACGCGGTCGGCGGATGCTCTGGCCAGGGCCTCCTTCTCCATGGCCTTCTGCAGCAGCACTTCCAGCCGCAACACGAAAGCTGAGAGACGCTCGCCTGACTGCTGCTGAGCGGTCAGACACTTCACCCGGATGGTCGCCTGGGACTCGTTGTCTCCAAACACCTGGGCCAGGGCCGCCAGACAGTCCTGCGCCGTCCTGGCGGGGTTCTCCGCCAGGAGCGCGTGCACGAGCTGCAGGGCGGTCCCACGCAAGCCTTCCAGCAGCCTCCTCCTCCTCTCCCTTTCCGAGACCCCCTGCCACACATGCAGCATTTCGGTGGTGTGGTCTAGCCAGACCTCAAAGGACTCCTCCCCTGGGGCTGGCTGGTCCCTCCCGGAAAACACACCCAGGCTCTGGCACCTCACGGCCTCCACCCAGGGCTGGACCGCCTGACCGATGGATCGCAGCCAGCACACCCTGCGCAGCCCCACACCCAGGGCGCCGGCCACGCTCTCCACCATCTGCCCCTCTTGCTCCGGGAAGTGGAACACGCGACCGAGACCGAGAAACTCCTCGCCTGAGCAACGGGGCACAAAGACCACGTTCCACGGGCCCCCAGTGCCGGGGATTTCCCTGGGGACCAAAGCATAGTTGACTTCCCGGTCGAGCTCGACCAGGGCCGCGGTGGCATTATCCTCCTCTCGAAACGCTTTGCCTAGCACTGTAAAGTGTCCCATAGGCCTCAGGGCAGCCTCGAGGGACTCTTGGAATTCGGCATCATCACAGTCCTCCGGGATGCCCAGGATGAGCAGGCCCCTGCGAGCGTTGACCCCCATCCACCGGCACCAGTCCTGCAGCATGGTCACCGCCATGCCCGCGATTCTGGCCAGTGCCGGGCTGACACGAGGGGCAGGATAGGGTTCCCAGCGCGGACCAGGGTGGCACGGGGCGGCGGGGGTGTGGGGGGATGAACTGGGGTCGGAGCCCAGGTCTCCACAGCCTGTGAATGCGAGCGGGCGAGAGCGAGGTTAATGCCCACCCCTCCCCACGCCCACGTCCACGTCCACGTCCACTCCCACCCCCAGCCGCCCTCCTCCCCTGGCCGCGCCTCTGCAGCCAGGCCCCGCCCCTGTCCCGCCCCGCCCCCCCGGGGGGGTGGTCCCTGCGGGTCTTGGCCTCATCCCCGCGCCGCCCCCGGACCCCGGACCCCGGACCCCGGACCCCGGACCGCTGCCCCGCAGGCTGCTTCAGTTCTGTTAGGGCGGACAGGCGAGGGGCGGCGGAGTCTCCCGGGACCCAGCGTCCCCCTCCCCGGGTGGGTCTGATACCTTTTCCCGGGGCAGGGTCCCTCCTGGTCCGGGTCCCCACAGGGCGCGTCGGGGGCTGCGCGCCGCTGCGGCGGCGGCGGGGTCGGGCGCCCCTGGCTCCCCGCGCGGGCGTTCCCTCTGACTGTGCCTCTCCCTCGCTCGCTCGGCGTTTGGGCCGGTGCGCAGGCGCCTGCTCGCAGCCGCTCTCTGCAGTGCGGTCACGCGGCCGGGGTGCGGCGGCGGTGCAGCGCGGACCCCTCCGCGTCGCCGGCCCGGGAGAGCGCAGGGCCGTTGCCGCGGGCGGGTCACGTGGCCTGGCTCTCGCCGCCTTCCCGAGCGCCCCAGGACCCCGGGTGACGTCACCTGCTCCTATCCCCTAGCCCCACCCCCACTCCCCTCGCGCCGCGGGTCCCGGGAACACAGGCGCCAGCCCACCCCCACCCCCACCGGGGTGTCCAAAGGTCTGTGGGCCGCAGGTCCCAGCGCCTTTGGCTCTCACCACAGCGGTTCCTGGTCCAGGCCTCTGCCCCTCCCGCACGTGCCCCGGAGGCAGGCGCCAGCGGGGCGACGGGTGTGCACCCCGGCGTGCCCACCAGAGGGCCAGGGAGTGGTCTGAGGTGCGTCCGGCAGCTCTGCGTTCTGGCCAGGGTCAGGGAGCCGGGTTCTGGGGCCTGTGCACCTGCTCTTGTCCTCCCCCTCCCCGTCCAGGACTGGTCCTCTGGCTGGCAAGGCCAGGCGAGGCCAGGGGCACCTGGTGCGGGTGCCATTCCGTGGAGGAGATGCCCCAGGCGCTCACGCAGCTCACGCACACCATCCTACGGAGGGTCTGCCATCTCCCCGCTGCCCATCCGGCTTCAGGGACCCGCAGCCCTCCGGCCGAAGCACTTTGCTGCCCTGGTGCCAGGAGCCAGCACCTAGGAGGGTGACCCAGCACCCAAGTATGCCCGGGCCTCGTCCGTTTTGCAGCCGCAAGTCCCGAGTCTGGGTCTCTGCCTGAGTGTGTGCCTGGAAAGGTAGTCCGCGCGGAGTGGGCTACTCAATTTGTCCCCTGCCCCCTGTGCCCTCACCAGCCTGATGGGCTCTGGGACATTGCTCTCTTGGCCCTGAGGGCAGCATGGGTGTCGTACCTCCCTGGAGACCTCCGTCTGTCAGGGCCTGAGTCAGCCTTCCATAGGTCCTTCCCCAGTCCTCTGTTGCCGGGGCTAGACACTGCGCCAGGGCAGAGCAGCCTCCGCTCAAAACAGAGATTCTGCGCCCGTGGATCTGACCACCCTGCACCTGACCCATCATGGGAGGCTGGGGCCATGTGAACAGCATCTCCACCAGGCAGGTGGCAAACAGGTTCCCACGGGGTCACACCTCTGGGTGTCGTTCCCTCATCCCCTTCTCTTTCCTTGCCTGACCTCCTGTTTGGCAACTTGCTGGCCAAGGTTTCCCCCAAGCGTCCAGCTCGCCCAAGCTCCTTGCTGAATCACAGCCCCAGAGTATTTGTCTATGACCCTGGGGATGGACATTCCGGTCCTTCCCACTGTTTGGCTGTTGCAGACACTGCTGCCAGTGGCATCCCGCATGCCTGTCTGAGCCACCACCGTCAGCCAGAAAGACTCTGGGGTGCACAGCAGGCAGTGGCTCTGCTGGGACTTGGGCTGTGCCTATCAACGCCACAACCAAGCATTGCTCATCTGTGACCTCCGGTGCGTGGCTGAACCCATGTTCCCTCGCACTGGCAGCGTGGGAGCGGTCCTGGGTTCCTACAGCCCGAGCAGCCTTTGGTCCTGTCCAGCCTCGCCTGCTTGCCCATCCCACGGGGAGAGACACCACCTCATCGCTGTGTGCCTTGCGTTTCCCCGAGCGGTGGCGAGGTCGTGCATCCTCTCACTGGCCGTTCCTGGTTCCTCTTCTGTGAATCTCCTTTGCTCCTTTCCTCCTCATCTCGCAGATGACAGGCGTCATTGGCCCGTTTCCAGGAGAAAGTTCCTAGCGTCAAGATCGAAGCCTTTCTCCTTTTGTGATATAAGCCATGGCCAGTCTATCACGTTGCCCAGAAGCAGGTCGCATTGGAGTGGGCCTCACAATTAGACTTTGGCTTGCCCGTATGGTTGTGAAAGGTTTCAGAATCAAGATGGAGTCACTTGTTGTTCAAGCAAACAAAAATCCAAAAACCTGACAAATAGAGCTGTGGAGGGCCACCTAGGCAGGGTTCCCATGCACGAATGCCTGATAACAAAAGCTATCACGGAAGACTGCAAAACCCACAAATTTGCACAAAGGCTGTTGCAACCTGACACAAATAATACTTCTGTGAGGACACCTGCCCAGCAACTTCCTGTCCAAGCCCCTGACCAATGCTACCCTTGTTATTCATCCTTGTAGCCAAAGATCATTATGTCAAAACAATTATGTAATCCTCTTCACTTGTCCTGAAAAACCTTTGTCTGCCTTCCCCTGCCTGAATATGCACATAGTTCACTAGGGCGCACGCGTCCCCACTGCAGTGCCTATTTCTGAATACCATTCTTATAGGGAGGCTCCCTCTCTGTGTGGTACTTAGGTTGGCATGGTCTTGCTCCCCAGGCTTTTCTACCTCCCAGGTAGTAAACGTGGGGTCAGCGAAGAAACGCATGTCTTCTGTCACAAAGCAGCCTCCCCGGTTGGGCTCGTGTGTCCAGTCCTCCCCGCCCCCCTGCCCCCCACCGCTTCTCCCCCTTGAGGGCCAAGACTGCTTGTTCTCATTCAGGCAAACTGCTGCTCTTTACCTCTGCTGTGAGAGTGTCTGTCTATCGAACCTTTAGTGTTAGACTTGTCACGGCTTATACCACATATTGTCCTCTCTCTTGTTTTCAGCCGTGATTTTTCTGGAGTCCTTCTTCAGAAAGGGCACCGACCCCCCCCCCCTCCCCCCCCCCCGCCTCGGCCGCCCCCGCCCTGGGAACATCTGTGGGTCTGGTGTCTCCAACTGGCCCAGCCAGCCCACCGGCCGGCTCGCAACTAATTTCCTGTTTTCGGCCTTGTCTCTTCCCACTCTCCTTCCTTCTGCACCTGCTGACTCCAAGTCCAGGACGCTGCAGGACACCCATTGCCCCCCGCCAACCCCGGGCAAGGCTGGGCTGTGACACGTCAACTGTCTTTCTTTTGTCAGTCCTCTGTCCCCATTGTCTCCACCTCTCAACACAGTTGACTCTCCTTCCTTCTCAAAACCATTTCCTTTCTCAGCTTCTTCCTCTCCCCCACCCCACTTTTGGGCTGACCTCCTCCCTCTCTACCTGCCTCTCTGCCCTTGGACCTTCCTCCTCCTCCTCCTACTTTGCTGGATCTAAGCGTGGTGGGGGCGGGCTCCCAGCCTCAACCCTGGGACATACGGCACCTCCGATGAATGCTCTGTCTCTGGACGTGACCTCTCTTCCAAGCTCCGCACGTACCCATCCATCTGCCCACGTGGATGCCCCGCAGACATTTCAGAGCTAAGATGTTCAAACCGGAGGGCTTCGTCCCCTTCACCATGCCTACACTGTCCCCGGGCTTCCCCCTCTGTGCAAAGGGCTCTGCCTCCTACCTGGTGACTCAAACAAAGCAGCCAAGATTCTCTCCCCTCTCCTTTGTTCCTCACTCCCAAATCTAACCCATCATTGGATTTTGTTGACTCTGCTCCAAGACTGCTACCCTTCTCATCTCCGTGGTCCTTGGCCCGCCCTGCCTCCTGTTCTCCCTGCCTCCACTCCGCTTCCTCCCTGCTCCACCAACACCCCCTCAGCAGCCAGGGTGATCTTTTTGCAACACCACCAGACCCTGCTCCTCCCTGTGGCACCCCATCTCCTTAGAGTAATCTCAAAGTCCCCATCCTGGTCAAGAGCACCCCCCACGCTGCTCCTGGGGATCTGGCTTCCTCTGATGCTCTCCTTCCTTCCCCGAAATCCACCCCATGTTGCCATGCCCCCAGCTCCTCTCACCACATTCCTGCCGATCTGGCCTGTTCAGCTGGCCCCAAAGCACAGGGCTTGTTCCCACCTTCGGCCTTTGCCATCCCTCCTTCCTCTGTGTGAGCCATCCAGGCCCAAGAACCTTCTGTGGCAGCAGCTTCCTCCTGCTCTTCCTCTCCCTCCTCCTCCTCCTCCTCCTATTCCTCCTCCTCCCCCTCCTCCTCCTCCCCCTCCTCCTGCACCTCCTCCTCCTTCATGTCTCAGCTGAACTGTCCCCTCCTCCCATAGGCCCCCTCTGCTGGGACACACAAATCACGTGCCCTCGGTTTATATTCTTATTGGCGGCATCAGTACATGTGTCGGCACGTGAGAAATGCTGGTCTGAGTCTTTGCTTTTGGGTATCAGGGGCTCCCTCCCCAGGTGGCAAGCTAGAGCCCCAGAAGGTGGGGTGGACTTGCCTGTGTGTCTAGCCCATTTGCACTGCTATAGCAAAATACCTGAGACTGGGTAACTTGCAAAGAACAGAAATGTATTGCTCCCAATTCTGGGGGCTGGGAAGCTCAAAGTCAAGGCACTGGAGACTGGGAAACTTACAAAAGAACAGAAATTTCTTGTTCCCAATTCCGGAGGCTGGGAAGCCCAAGATCAAGGCACCAGTAGGTTCAGCATCTGGTGGGGGCTCAGTCTCTCCTTCCAAGATGGTGTCTTGTGCCTGTGTCCTCACATGGTCGTGGGGAGGGAACAGCAAAAAGGGGGCTTACCTAGTGCTTTCCAGCCTTTTACAAGGGACTCCTCTCATCCCCGAGGGCTCTGCCCCCATGGTCTCATTGCCTCCTAAAGGTCTCACCCCTTAACACTGCTGCGTTAGGGACTAACTTTCAACATGAATTTTGGCAGGGACACAACGTTCAAACCGTAGTACAGCGTTTCCTACCCTGAGATCCCCAGCACCTAGAACAGAGTGTGGCCCAGAGGAGGCTCTCGGTGCCTTCTTTCCAGCAAGTGCCTGAATCTGTCAGCCTGCTCCAGCCTGCCAGGGTACCGGGACCTTATCCTGAGGGCTGTGGGGAGCCCCGATGGGTTTGAAGCCAGGAGGTGGTGATGCTGAGACCGGCCGGCCAGACGTCTGGGGGAACTAATCAGCAGGATGGGAAGCCTGGAGCAGCGAGGGGGCTGCAGCCCAAGTCCAGGCCCCCCCGACCCCGGGGCTGGGCAAGGAGGGTCTAAGGGAAAGCAGAAGATACAGGCTCTAGAGAGGGAGAAGGCCCGGGGAGGGCTCAGGCAGGGTCCCGGGTTCCTTGTTGTGTGTGGACCGGGTGGAAGGCAGGACCCTTGTCTGACATGGGGATCATGCTGGCAGTTGTCTTTCCTCTTGCCTTTTGTGGAAAGAGGGGTGACGGGCATGGGGATGAGTTCCTGTGGCCGTGGTCACATTCAAGTGGCTCGTGTGACACCCAGGTAGACATTCGCTCTGCCCTCTTCCTCCCTCCCGCCAGCCTGCCACTCTCCATCTTCCCGTCCCTCCCCACCCTGCCCTGCAGCACCCAGCCCTGCCCTGTGGGCAGGCAGACTCCCTGGTAAAGGTAGAGGAATTGTATAGGTGGCCCCTGCTTGGTTTGGCTCCCAGAGGCTTCCATCTTTTTGGCTTGGTCCCCCTGATTGCCAGCAGAAGGCACTGCACAGAGCCAGCGTGCCCAGCAGATGTTGGACACCTGAAGGGATAAACACGGAAGCACTGTACTGTGAGGTGGCACTTGATTGGAGATGCTGCAATCAAGATTCACAGAAGGCTCTGGGTTGCTTGGTGACCAGACGCCTCCGTAGAGCACCTGCTGTAGTACTGGCTCTTGAGAAACAAGTCCCAAGGACAGCCAGCCTTGCTGAGTGCCTCCAACGCAGGCCGGGACGCAGAGGAGGTCTCCGTGTGTGTTTCTCCCCACCTGGTTGCCTCCCAGCTGGCTGACCTCGGACGTGTCCCTTACAGCCTCCACAGGTTGAGTGGGAGCATTGTCTGCTCTTGAACCAAGAAGGGCTTCTTTGCTGTGCACCACAATGTCCGAGGGCCCAGGCTCTGCACAGCCAACGGGGGCCCCCTTGTGTCCTCCAGGGAGAGCCTGGGGCTCCTCCCTACCGTCCTACCTCAGGCAGGGCCAAAGCTCCCCAGTCTGTGGCTTCGGGCCAGCTCCCCACCGGCCGCGGCCTGCTCTGACTGCTCAGAAGCTTCTTCCTCCAATGCCCTCTTTGATTCTGCTCCCGACGGCTCTCTGCCCTGCCCAGAGCCCACGACAGGCCCTTGGGCTGCCAGGCTAGCACCTGCCTCCTGCCATATGACCCTGCCATTCCCTGGCTGGCTGCCCCTACCTGGGGTGGGGGGAGCAGTACTTCCTCAGCTTCTGTCTGGCTGTGCCCCACCCACACACACACTGAAACACACACACACACACACACACACGCACGCACGCACGCACACGCACGCATGCACATGCACGTACAACCTGCCCTGCCCCTAGCCTGTCCTCCGCAGCCTCACAGGTGCAGGTGGCTCCTTCCCACCTAGCAGGGTTTTTCTGAGGGACAACCCGATGTGGCACGCCATGCTTCCCAGACTCAGGGTCCTGCTGGGCTGAATAAGTGTGAGCTTGTTCTGCGTTGGTCCTTGACACAGCTGGTTGCCTGTGGCACAGTCTTCAACTCATTGAAGTCAAGTCCCTCTGGAGGAGTGTGGTTTGGGGAGAAGAAGGCGTTGGTTGCTTTGGGGATGTCAGGCTGCCACGGCGTGTTGTACTGGGCCGTGTCCCCTCAGGGGCTGCACTGTCCAATAGAAACATTATGCAAGATATTTATGTGTTTTCAAAATCTTCTAGTAGCCTCATTTAGAAGAATTTTGCCTTATTTAAAAGTAACTGGTGAAATTAATTTTAATGATGTGTTTTATTTAACTCGACATATCCAAAAGTGTTATCATTTCAATGACTGATCAGTATAAACAGTTACCGATTTGATAGTTTACCTTCTTCTTTTGCAATAACTCATCACTCACGGTTTCTTCCTCCTCTTCCAGCACTGCCTTCCCAGTGTTCCACCATTCCCCAAAAGGATTCCACCATTCCTCAGAAGAGGGAAGGCTGATGGGCTGACAGTCTGTTCAGGGGTGAGCTGGGGTTTGGTTTTCCTCCTTTAGGACTCCTTTAACTCTTGGGGATGCACTGTCCCCCTCTGCCCCGGAGTGTCTGCTGACCTATTATAGTTTCTCCCCAGGAGCTTAAGCCTCAAGTCCCTCACTTCCATCAATTGCCCATCTCAGAGGAAGGTGGGCACAATAGAACATCTGGCTAAAATTTTCTCCTTTCCACCTGCCATTTGATCATTCATCACACCTTTGAGAGCTGCTCTGTGCTTCAACATTTTCTATTATGCGAAGTGTGATACCCAGCCCGGGGCCATCGGGGAACTTAGGGTGTTTTCAGGCAGGGGGTGTGGGACAAGCCATGAACATAAAATGATGAAATGACAAGAAACTGCAAAATTAACTGCCCATATCAGAAGTTTAAACACGAAGTGATATCAGGGACAAAAGAAGGAGAAATGCATGCTGCATTTGGAGACTTGGAAGTGAGAGGCAGCGGCATTCCAGGCTAGAGGAGAGCAAAGGCTTAGGGACAGAAATGAGCACAGCCTTTTCAGGGACTAGTGAGAAGACAGGCCAAGGGTGTGTTGGGGCAAAGGTCCAGGTTTCATGCACAGAGTGAACCTAGGTGCTGTCTATACCCTTTGAAAAAAAGTTTGTATTTTGGTAAAATACACATAGCATAAAATGTACCATCTTAACTCTTTTTAAGTGTACAGTCCAATAACATCAGCACATTCAGTGTTGTGCAGCCATCACCACCATCCAGCCATAGAACTTGCTCATCTCCCCAAATAGAAACACTGTCCCCATTCAACACCAACTCCCCAACCTCTCCCCCATCCCCTGGCACCCACAAGTCTACTCTCTGTCTCTATGGATTTGACCACTCTAGGGACCTCCTGTGAGTGGAATCCTACACTATTTGTCCTTTTGTGTCTGGCTTCTTTCACTGAGTACAATGTCCTCAAAGTTGATATCCACACCCTTGGCTACCGGTATCACTGGACAATAGTGTAGGCATTGGGAAGTGGGGAAAATTTGCAGATGATGGTTGCTCTGTCATAGTGGTAATTTAGGGTAAGACTATAGGGTGTGTGGAGGAGGGAAGATCCAAAGTGACCTGATGTTTTGTTTTTACTTGGAAGGCTAGCAGAATGATGGTCCCCATGTGACTTAAGTGAGAAACCATTAATGGGCCTTAGAAAGCCCTCCAATAATCCATTATTTAGCACATTGGAAAGGTTTCAAAGATTGAATTCGCTGAACCATGCCAATATGTAAAAGAAAAAAGACAAAAAGCCCCCACTTTTTTCTGGTCAGTTAGCGCAGGTAGTCACTCCTGGATTCCCGGAGTGTTTTCCGTAGTCCAGTAATGGGCTGCAGCCTGCTCAGGCCTGTACAGAGACCCCAAGGAAATGGTTGGTTACTCTGTGGTGCCAGCTACTTGTTTTCACCAAATATCAGGAAAACAGGCAGGAGAGAGTTTCATCTTTTACTGTTGTATTAGTCACAATAAAGAAAGCATTTAGTTCTAGAGATTTTAGGTAAGTTTTCAAATTAAGAAATTCAGGTAAATTTTCAAAGTAGCAAACTTAAAAAAATCATATTGTATATAAGATCTACAAACCTAATAATGTCATTGTAAGGATATATTTTTCAAAATCAGGTAAGTGGATTTAGAACAGAAAATAAATGAGTAAGTTTCAGGTTTCCTTCATCTTCATTGTTTGTGTTTGGAGGTATGAACAGGTGCAAGGACTTAAGAGGCCCTGACGTCTGAATAAGACAGATTATTGGTTTACATCATTGATGCTAATTTGTTAAGCATGACTTACACACCCAAAGCACAGAAATTGAGAGAGATGTAGTGTAAAGGAATCAGTTCTTTCACAGACATTAGAACAAATGGAGTTAAATTGCATTTTATGGACTAGAGAGGATACACCTCCTTCGTTTTTAATATCCCCATGTATAAAATTGTATTTTCAATTGCTTTTATAATACAATGAAAAAATTCAGCTGTGTAGTGTAAACATGTTGGCCAATATTAACCTCACAGCACTAGCTTTAGTCTTCCTTCTTGGGGACTGGTTTGTTCACTTTTACTTATTGGCCTTTGGGGACACAGGGACTGAGACCTCCTCTGTTTGCTTGTGGGGAACGGGGTTTGCTGAACCCGGGACTACTTGTCTGCTCCTGTAGAAATGACTGGGACTCCAGAGTGCAGCTCCGAAAAAGTGAGCTCCTTTAGAAGCTCCAAGGCTCTAGCACCTGAGGTGTGTTCTCAGGTACCAACCACACAGGTGGCAATTCCAGATACCAAGTATGATCAGATCATCTCTTGTTTAGATGTCTGACTTCCATGAATTTGCCTGTACTCCTAGGGCCAGCCTGTTCTGGGCCTTGACTCACTTTTTATAGGCAGCAGTCTTGATTGTCTGTCTGCCAACCACTCATCCCATCCTTTGTGACATGGTTCAGGCCATCTGCTAGCTAAGACCCCCTGTCCCCTGCCTCTGAATCCCACTGCTTACTCACGACTCTTCTCTTCTGTGAGGGTGTCTGTGGTCAATCCAATCTACTTTGTTCTTTCACTTGAATACTTGTCCTGAAGGTGGACTCTTTACTTAAGTCCTTGCTATCATTTGGTATGTCATTGCTTGTTGTGCTTGTTATCCTTTTTCTTTCTTTTTTTCCATTTTTTTTTTTGAGGCGGAGTTTAACTTGCCTAGGCTGTAGTGCAATGGTGCAATCTCGGCTCACTGCAACCTCCGCCTCCTGGGTTCAAGCAATGACTCTCCTGCCTCAGCCTCCCAAGTAGCTGGGATTACAGGCACCCATCATCACACCTGGCTAATCTATGTATTTTTAGTAGAGACAGGGTTTCACCATGTTGGCCAGGCTGGTCTTGAACTCCTGACCTCAGGAGATCCACCCGCCTCGGCCTCCCAAAGTGCTGGAATTACAGGCGTGAGGCACTGCGCCTGCCCTGTCCTTTTTAATTATTAAAAAATATGTTTCAGTAACACTAACAACTTACAGAAGAAAAATAAATTGTTCATAACCCTATTACTTACATGGGTGATTTCAAATTTGTGTATTTCCTTCTAGTTTTTGTCCTTTTGGATATCTATTTTTGTTATCATAGTCTCTTTTTTTCATGTATACATATAATTTTGGGTTTCTAGATGTTTTAAATCCCTGAGAAGACAGTGGGGGCATTTTTAGGACCGGATGGTAACTGCCTTTGAACTTGAAGGGTTTTAAAGATGAGTGCAAACGCATTGGAGACATAAAAGAGCATAATGTATTGAGGGAACAGTGAAAAGGAGTTTTCCTAGAGCATAGGGTCTACAGGATCAGGAGTGGGAGGCAATGAGGTCAGACAAGTAGACTGAGAAAGGTCTAGAATGCCACTTGAAGGAATTTGACTTCATCCTAGGTGTGCCTACAGAGGTTGTTCAACAGAAACCTGCTGTGCCTAGGTTTGCATTTCAGAAGGGTCACCCTGGTGGCAATGTAGACATTGGAATGATAGAATGCGAGACTGGAGGTTGCAGTCACAAGACAGTGGCAGTAATCCAATAGAAAGCTAGATGAAGCCCAGGGCAGTTGGGATAGCTCCCCTCGGAGCAGTGGATGTGAAGGGTACCGAATCCCTTCTGCAAGGACTGCTGGTGCCATGGACCAAAGATACGAAGCATCCTATCCAAGTCTCACCCTCCTTACGAGAGCACCTCTTCTATCAAGCTACTCTCATTCACCCAGAATCACCATCTCACCACCCCACTTCTCTCCCTTCATTCTTTCTCCACCATACGGCCTGTACCATAAAATTAGCCAGTTGACTTTGTACTCAGGGCTTTCCTGCTCAAATTGCTTTTATCATTCACCGGACAAACATGTCTCAAGCAGGTAGAGAGCTGGGGTTGGAGAGGACTGGAATTGGAGTACTCAGAATACACTTAGGGCTAGGGTTGGAGTACTCAGCATACACCTAGGACTGAAGCTGAAGCACTCATTGTACACCTAGGGCTGTGGCTGGAGCACTCAGTGTACACCTAGGGCTGCGATTGGAACACTCATTGTGCACCTAGGGCTGGGGTTGGAGCACTCAGTGTATACCTAGGGCTGGGGTTGGAGCATTTGGTATAGACCCAGGGCTGGGGTTGGAGCATTGAGTGTACACCCAGGGCTGGGGTTATAGCACTAATTGTGCACCTAGGGCCGTGGTTGGAGCACTCAGTGTACACCCAGGGCTGGGGTTGGAGCACTCAGTGTACAACCATGGCTGGGGTTGGTGCACTCAGTGTACACCTAGGGCTGGGGCTGGAGTACTCAGTGTACACCCAGGGCTGGGTTTGGAGCACTCAGTGTACACCCAGGGCTTGGGTTAGAGCACTCATTGTGCACCTAGGACTGTGGTTGGAGCATTCAGTGTACACCTAAGGTTGTGGTTGGAGTACTCATTGTACACCTAGGTTTGAGTTTGGAGTACTCATGTGTACACCTAGGGCTGGGGTGGAATACTCATGTGTACCTAAGACTGTGGTTGGAGCACTCAGTGTACAACTAGGACTAGGGTTAGAGCACTCAGTATACACCCAAGGACAAATCAAGCTAGGTGTTTTTTTTTTTTTGCCTCTGAAAGAATTCCCCATGTCCTTATGCTAGCACATAGGGGATCATTGGAATCTGCCTTAACTCTTTTCTTCCTAATGAAATGACTTTCTTCTCAGGAGCAGAGATGTATCTACTCCTTTTTATAGCTCCCACAGAGTGAAGCACTCAGCCTGGCACGTGCTCAGTTGGCATTGAACTGGTGCAGAGGGGCCCTTGAATACTTTTGGACCACCTCCTGTCCATCTTCACCTCTTCCTACAATGCTGCCAACTCCAGCCCTCCCTGAGGAGGCTCAGAGTAAGTAGGAATGGTTTGGGCCTTTTAGGAGTCTGTGATATTTACAGCTGTACCCTTAGACTTCTGTCAGGAGAGGGTTGTACCTGGGCCTTGCTCAAAAGGCTATAGGGAGGAATGGGATGTTTGTGAGCTACAGGCCCCTGATCCTCCTGGTTAAGGACAGCATTCCTTCCCATAGACCCTCCGAGCTGGGGCTGTAGAGCCAAGGGTCAGATTTCCATTTCCTTGGCAGCCAAAATCAGATTATTTATGTTTCTCTTTCTGGTTGAAAGCCCAGTGCCAAATGGAGTTGTTGATAAACTTACTTAAGCTGCTGCGGAGGGTTTGGTCTCCCAGTCCTCTGAACTTCTAGGCCAGGGGTGCTCCTATAAGGATCCATCCGAGATGACCTGAGATTCTGCTTCTGTCCAGGAGGGTAAATCCAGTTGTTCCTTGCAGCTGACAGTTTCCCAGACCCTGCTGCCATGCTCATCCCTATCCCTTCTTCCACCCTTTCTCAGAAATCACATTCAGCCCTGTGGAGATAATCTTGGAACATTCTCGGCTCTCCTAGAATGACCTTTACCCTTGAATACCAAGTGACTGGAGTGGAACTCCAGGACACCTCTGTGTCCCAGCACAAAGAGCTAAGTCTCCATTCCCCCCCCCACCAAAACCCCAAACCAGAGATTCCAATTTCCAAACCAGAGATGATACCCCAGTTAGAGTCAGCAGAAGAACCATGAATGCTGGAAAGATAAGTGCTGTGAGGCTCCTGTCCAGGTGAGTGACTGAAGGCCTCGTAAGTCAACACCTTTCTAGTCAGTGAAGGAGCGCATGGGCTTTTTCAAGTTCTGCTGGTGAGAGTGGTTTTCTATTTGCTTTGTATTGTTCATACCTGACCCATTCATAAAAGAGTGAAAATTGTCCATTTGGGGGCCCTGGATTGAATTATGGTTTGAAATTCCAGTTCTTACAAGAAAAAATGAACATTTTAAGGATTCTAAATGTTGCATGGGCTTTTTGTTGGCCTTTGGTACTTACCCACATTCACCATTTATCATGATGAGATGCTCTCCATGCATTCTCCTTCAGAGGACATTGACGTTTACATTCAGGTTCAAGTACAGCATGTTTAATGGTGGCAGCTTAACCCCAAAGAAAGGAGTGAGAAGTGGGTGACAAAGAAAACTATTTGTGTATCTAGTGTTTTTTAAGACATTTATTCATTCATTTAACAAATGGATTTTTTTTACCCAATAAGATTCGCTTTATTACAAAGATAATATATGCTCATTTCAGAAATTAAAAAAAATACAGAGACACAAAGAAAACACAGAAGTCCTGAAATCCCACCTCCCAGGGACAATCACTATCAACGTTTGAGTGAGCATTCTTCCAAGGCTGGCTCCGCACCATCATGTGTGGAGATGTGGAAACACTATTGTGTGTGCTGTGGTCCTCTGCCTGTTATTTTGTCCTCAATCACGTGTCATGGACATCTTTCCATGTCAGTTAATAAGATATAGGTATAGGCAAATATCCATTCTCTTTAGTGACTGTGTAGTATTCCGCTGCATCAACATATCATAATCTATTTAACCTGTCCACTATTGATAGCTATTTAGATTGTTTCCAGATTTTCATTATTCTAAATAACCCTGCAATGAATGACCTTATACTACATATTTGTAAACTTGTCAGGCTATTTCCTTTGGATAGCTTCCTAGGAGTGGGCAAATGATGAAGTGCAGGATATCTAAAATACATTATTTCCTTTCCATTCACAACAATCCTGGGTCATTCAACTAGATGTAAAAGAAAGTTGATTTGGTCTTAAAAAGTTAACTGGCAACATTTTCTCAAAATCCATCAGGCCTGTCAGGAAGATGAACACGATTTTAGGGTGGGGATCCATTTAATTTCCTCATCTTCGCTTGGGTTTCTCTGTTGTTTCTACTTCCTTCGGGCCTTTCTGAAAGATTGAGGGTCTCCTCCTTTTCAGCATTGAGCTCCTTAGCCCTTAGCTTTCACTCTTTGTATTTTGGGTTGTCCCATGTTAGTATGTCCGATCATGGGAACAAATAATAACAACAACAAACACTTGCATAGCATTTGCAGTGTGCCAGGCATGCAGAATCATATCTGCTTTTCAAATATAATTCAGTTAATCTTCCAAAGAGCCTTACGTAGCAAGTTTCATTATCTTCACTCTACAGGTGAAGAAATTGAGGCTCTGAGAGAGTAAGTAGGTGAAGAAATTGAGTCTCTGAGAGAGTAAGTAGGTGAAGAAATTGAGTCTCTGAGAGAGTAAGTAGTTTGTCTGAGTTCACACAGCAAGTAAGTGGCTGAGCCAGGAACCAAACCCATTCAACTTGACTATGGAGGCTCATAGCTACACCTCAGCCAATGTACTTTCTCTCACCAGTTCACACAGGTGTCCACACAGGTGCTGCATGCTCTAGACCGTCCTAACCCATCTGCTTCTGTGACCGGCCAGTGGCATCTGCTCCTCCCCCACCATCTCAGTTGAAGAATTAAGATGAGATGCCTCCGTGTGTTTGTCTGGTAGGACATACTCCTTTTCTTGTATTTGAACGCATACTCCAGGGCTGCCATGGGGTTCTGTTCCCACATCCCTGCCCCCTGCTCTTTGTTCAAGGCTGAGCTCAACCAACTCATCCCAGAACAAGCGTTCATCTGCTTTCCTGTTCAAGGCAATGAGGAATATTTGAGTGGAGTTGAATTCTTCAAAGAAGTCTTAACCTTCAGGCTGGAGAAGACCAGAACTCCTCTTCCTAATTTGGAAATAATGTCTCTTGTTTATGGGGTTTGTTTTAATCATAAAGTATCTTGTGTTCATTTTAGAAAAGAAGAAAGAAGCAAATAAAATCACCTGTTAGAGAAAAGTAACTAATATTTTGATGTATTCCCTTCCAGTACTTACATATATAAGTATATATGTATGCATAGTTATATATATAACTATAAAGAAAAGATCATGCTATGTACTTGTATATAATTTTGTATATTAATTTTTGTTTAATTTTGTATCATAACTGTTTTCACATGTCATTAAAAATTCTTCAAAATCATGATCTACAATGACTGTGGACTATTTCATCATGTAGATATATAATTTATTTAATCTTTTTCTATTGTCAGACTTTTTAATTTCCCCCTTTCACAGTGACTGCTCACACTGTTATGAACATCTTTCTACTTATGTCTCTCTGCACAGCTCTTTCTAGAATAAATCCCAGAATAGGAATTTTCAAGGTGCTTGATCCAATATTACAAATTGCTCACCAAAAAGTTTTTTCCAGTTCATACTTTTACAGCAGAGCATTGGAATGTATATCTCATCATACCCTACCAGCATGTACTGTGTTTTTAATCTCTGCCAATTTGAAAGGGGGAAAATTGATTTTTTATTTCTAAAAAGTTGGAAAAGAAATCTCTTTCCAAGTGTTTATTGTCCATTTCTTTTTTTTTTTTCCTTCCTAGAATCCCTTTTTAATGACATGGGTCCTACAGGATCATAGGCCTTTAACTTGGACATCTAGACTCACCAACTCCTTATAGTTTCCTCTCTAAAGCATACCCTTCTATTTGCACTCAGGAGCTATCTTAGCTCAGGCAACTAGAACAAATTACCATAGATTAAGTGGCTTAAAGAAAAAACAAAAAGATTTATTTTTCATAGTTCTGGAGGCTGGGAAGTCCAAGATAAAGATGCCAGGAGATCCGGTGTCTGGTGAGGGCCCACTTTCTGGCTGTCTTCTTGATGTGTTCTCACATGACAGAAAGACAGAGAGATCTCTCTCCTGCCACTTCTTGTAAGGGCACTAATCACATTCATGAGGGCTCCACTTTCCTGACCTGATAATCTCTCAGAGGCCACACCTCTTAATACTATCAGGTTGGGGGATAGCATTTTAACATATGAATTGGGAGGACACAAATAGTCACTCCATAGCAGGAGCTTATCCTTACTTCCTCCTCAGACTCTTACCCCCCAAATTATTCTGCCTTCTCCTGTTTTTGTCACTCTTCTTCTTGAAGTTATGCTTGCTTTGCCTCCCATCAGAATCAGGACTGCATGTTTGGTCCTCTTTCTTCTTCTGATTAATAGGACTGTGTCTCCTTATTTTGAGGAATTCTGCAAATGTGTACTCAGCATCTGACCCAGTCCCTGAAAGAGATCCCAAAAGACAAGCCCTCAACTTCGTTCTCTTGTGCCTCTCTACCGAGTTGGACGAATGCAGGCTTTTTTCTTTTTTTTTGAAAATGCTCGGTTTGCCTGGTATACACTTGTCACATTCTACTATGCTCCCTCTAGCTCTGCCTACTTCTGGCCCTCCTCCAAATGCTCCTTGGTCCCCTTACCTTCACCAGCTGTGCCTGTCATACACCTGCTACTGATTTAGCTTACTTCAGAAGACACATAGTCCTTTTAGGGATTGCCTTGTAATAATTGAATGTTGTCACCAGTGAGGCAGCTTAGACAGTAAATACTGGGAGCTGTGGGCTTTAGAACTATGTGTGGGACATTTCCTAGCCTGAGGAGAAGTGGAGAGGGATTTCCTATCTCCTTGCCAAAGTTAAATTTTCTTGCCAAAATGTGGTGCAAAACTGAATTATAATAAAACAATCTTGAAGTTAGTAACACGATGCAAACTATAAGTTATTGTCATAGTCTGTTTTGTGCTGCTATAACAAAATGCCTAAGGCTAGGTAATTTGCAAAGAACAGAAATTTATTTCTCACAGTTCTGGAGGCTAGGAAGTCCAAGCTCAAGGCACCAGCATCTTGTGAGGGCCTTCTTGCTGCATCAGCATATAGTGGAAGGCATGAGGGCAAAAGGGGACAAATGCTGTGTCCTCACATGTCAGAAGAACAGAACAGCACAAACCCACTCTAACAAACCCTTTTTATTTAATGGCATTAATCCATTAGGCTCTCATGACTTAAATATTGTCCAAAAGTTCCTATCTCCCAACGCTGTTGCAGTGGGGATTATATGCAACACATGAGCTTTGGGGAACACATTCAGTCCATAGCATTGCCCCTCTGGCCCACAAAATTAATGTCCTTCTCACATACAGAATACATTCATTTCATCCCAATATTCCCCAAAGATTTAACTTATGCTAACATCAACTCAAAAGTCTAAAATTCAGAATCTCATCCAAATCAGATTTATGTTACACACATCTGTGTGAAGAGACCATCAAACAGTCTTTGTGTGAACAATGAGGCTGTTTATTCACTTGGGTGCAAGTGGGCTGAGTCCGAGAAAGGAGTCAGTGAAGGTAGATGGGAGAGGGGCAGTCTTATAGGACTTGGGTAGGCAGTGGAAAATTACAGTTAAAGGTGGTTATCTATTGTTAGCAGGGGAGGGGGTCACAAGGTGCTCGGTGGGGAGCTCCTGAAACTCATTGTCTAGGGGAGGAATGTCACAAGGTCGATTGATTAATTAGGTTGGAGCAGGAACAAATCACTATGGTGGAATGTCATCAGTTAAGGCAGGAACTGGCTGTTTCACTTGTTTTGTGGTTCTTCAGTTGCTCCAGGCCATCTGGATGTATATGTGCAGGTCACAGGCGTTATGATGGCTTAGCTTGGGCTCAGAGGCCTGACATTCCTGTCTTCTTATATTAATAAGAAAAACAAAACAAAATAGTGGTGAAGTGTTGGGGCTGTGAAAACTTTTGGGGGTGGTATGGAGAGATAATGGGCAATGTTTCTCAGGGCTGCTTCGAGTGGGATTAGGGGTGGCGCGGGAACCTAAAGTGGGAGAGATTAAACTGAAGAAAGATTTTGGGGTAAGGGGTGATATTGTGGGGTTGTTAGAAGGAGCATTTGTCATATAGAATGATTGGTGATGGCCTGGATGCTGTTTTGTATGAACTGAGAAACTAAACGGAAGACACAAGGTCTGAATAAGAGAAGGAGAAAAACAGGTATTAGAGGACGAAGAATTGGGAGGACCAAGGACATCCAATTAGAGAGTGCCCAAGGGGGTTCAGTGTAATTATTTGCTTGGTTGGTGAGTTCTTGGGCTCTATCCTTGAGTTTTTCTATGTTGTCATATACCAGGCCAGTTTGATTTAGGTAAAACAAAACAAAACAAAACAAAACAAAAAAACGCTTCATTTAAAAATATACAGAGTCCTCCTTTTTTAGCAGTAAGTCGAGGTCTCAGCTGTTTTGGAGGACAACCACAGCTAAAGAGTCAACCTGGGCCTGAAGGACTGATAAAGTTTGTGATATGTCTGTGATGCTAGCAGAGAAGTCATTAGAGAGGCTATGGAAGGTTGTGACAGAGGTTGAAATGCCTGCTACTCCAGTTCCAAGAGCAATAGTGGAGGCAGAAAGTCCTAAACCGACAAGCAAGGGAATTAGTGGAATAACCCTTTTTTGTTGTGTCAGTGTCATGAAGGGAACAGGAAGCTGTTCGGTCCCATTTGCAAATTGAATTTTGGGAGTAAGGAAAACTGGTGTGCATGCGCCTGTCCAATTAACAGGAAAACACATGTAGGTGGATGAGCCACAGAGGAAAAAGAGACCTTGTGTAAGGCAAAACTGGAAGTGCAAAGTGAAGAGGTGAGAGGGTGTACTAAAAGAGATGTCTTCATATGGCTGGGAATGTGGAGTAGGCAAGAGAAGATTAGCAGTCTGGCGAATTTCCTGTCTAGCCTGCTGAAGGACTGGAAGATAGTCACCTAGAGGGCTGGTGTCTGGAAAAGTTTGGGGCTGAGCAAGAAAGTACGTCCACATAAAAGTTTAAATGGACTGTACCCTGTAGCATCTTAAGGGCAGGCTCTAATTCTGAGAAGGGCAAGTGGTAGAAGTACTGTCCAGTCCTTTTTAAGTTGGAGGCTGAGCTTGGTGAGGTGTGTTTTTAAAAGGCCATTAGTCCATTCTACCTTTCCTGAAGATTGAAGATGGTAAGGGGTATGAAGATTCCACTGAATACCAAGAGCCTGAGAAATTGCTTGGGTGATTTGACTAATAAAAGCCAGACCATTGTCAGATTGCACAGAAGTAGGGAGGCAAAATCGGGGAATTATATCTATTAGAAGGGAAGAGAAGACTGCAGTAGCCTTTTCTGAGCTACTGGGAAAGGCCTCGACCTACCCGGTGAAGGTGTTGACCCAAACCAGGAGATACTTAAATTTACGGACACAGGGCATATGAGTAAACTCAATCTGCCAATCTTGTGTCAGAGTAAATCCATGAGCCTGATGCATAGGAAAAGGAGGAGGCCTGAGAAAGCCTTGGAGGCTGGTGGTATGGCAGACAGAGCATTGAGAGGTGATGGTCTTAAGGATGGATTTCCATGAAGGGAAGGAGATGAGGGGCTGCAGGAGGATAGCCAGGCTTGTATCCCACATGGAAGTGGTCATGAAGGGAAGAAAGAATGGACTGAGCTTGTGAGGCAGGAAGAATGAATTTTCCATGCTCGAAGGACCACTTGCCCTGAGTTGGAAAAGACTGGTAGAGGAGGTTTTCAGAACCAGAGTAGGTGGGAGTGATAGAGGAGAAAGAAAAATACTGGTCCTCTGGAGTGGGGGCTGGAATATTAGCAGGTGTGGAAACATTGGCTGTTTCTTTTGCTGTCCTGTTGGCATAAGCATTTCCTTTTGCAATAAGATCAGTAGGTTTCTGGTGTCCTTTAAAATGAATGACTCTAGCCTTGGCTGGCAGGAGAGCAGCCTTAAGGAGGGCCTTTATGAGGGAGGCATTGATAATGGAAGAGCCTTATGTGGCAAGGAAGCCTTTTTTGGCCCAGATGGCAGCATGGTTATGGAGGATGTGGAAAGCATATTTGGAGTCAGCATAAATGTTAATGTGCATTCCTTTAGTGAGAGAGAGCACACAAGTTAAAGCAATCAGTTCAGCTTGTTGGGAAGTGGTGGAGGGAGGAAGTGCAGCAGCTTCGATAATAGAGGTGTGGGACATGACAGCATATCTCGCTTTAGCTGGTGAAAATTGATTGAGTTTAGAAGAACTGCCATCGATAAACCAAGTATGGTCTGGGTTTGGAATTGGAAGAATAGAAATATGAGGAAAAGGGGAAGATGCTAAGTGTATTAGGGAAATACAGTCATGTGGTTCAGGACTTGTTTTGGGTGCTAAGTGAGAAGCTGGGTTGAAATCAGGCCCATGTGTAATAGTTACTGTTGGAGTTTCAACAAAGAGTGAATATAGCTGGAGGAGTTGAGGGGCAGACAATAAATGTAAAAGGTGTGAGGAGGATATTAATGCTTGAAGGTTGTGAGAACTGTAAAGGGTAAGTGGAGCATAGCCTGTGATTTTGAAGGCCTCTAGAAGTATTAAAGTGGCAGCTGTCACCACACGCAGACATGAGGGCCAGCCCAGAACTGTGAGGTCAAGTTGTTTTGATAGAAAGACAACAGGTCGTGGGCCTGGCTCCTGTGTGAGGACTCCAGCAGCACAGCCTTGTATTTCAGCTGTGTGTAAGGAAAAAGGATGGGATGAGTTGGGGAGTGCTAGTGTGGGAGCTGTCTCCAGGGCCTTTCTGAGAGAGTGAAAGGAATAATGGGGTAAAGACTTAGGGTCTATGGGATCAGTTAAATTACCCTTTGTGAGCTTGTAAAGTGGTTTGGTTAAGATAGCAAAGCCTGGTATCCAGAGTTGGAAATATTCAACAATGCCTAAGAAGGAAAGGAGTTGTTGTTTGATGGTGGGGATTGGGGTCTGGGAGATGAACTGAACAATGTCTTCAGGAAGGGTGTGTGTATGTTGATGGAGGATTATACTGATATAGGTAATGCTAGGGGAAGAAATTTGTGCCTTGGAGGGGGATACTCGGTACCCCTTTGAGTAGAGATGTTGAAGAAGCAGAATAGTGTCCTGCTGGGAAGATTGGTAAGAGGGGCTGCAAAGAAGAAGATCAGCAATATATTGAATAAGGTGGGAGGCAGATGGGCAAAAAGAAAGCAGATCATGAGAAAGGGCCTGACCAAAGTAGTGTGGGCTGTCCCTGAAGCCCTGGGGCAGAACAATCCAGGTGAGTTGTTGGGATTGGTGGGTGTCAGGGTCAGTCCAAGTAAAGGCGAAAAGAGGCTGGGAGGAGGGATGCAAGGGGATAGTAAAGAAGGCACCTTTGAGGTCGATAATAGAATAGTGAGTTGTGGAAGGGGGTATTGAAGATAGGAGGGTGTGCGGGTTTGGCACTATAGGATGGATGGGAAGGACGATTTGATTAATAAGGCGAAGATCCTAAACCAACATGTAAGACTTGTCCGGTTTCTGGACGGGTAGGATAGGGGAGTTGTAAGGAGAATTTGTAGGCTTTAAGAGGCCATGTTGTAACAGGTGGGTGATAACAGGCTTTAACCCTTTTAAAGCCTGCTGTGGGATGGGATATTGGCACTGAGCAGGGTAAGGGTGGTTAGGTTTTAGTGGGATGATGAGGGGTGCATGATTGGTTGCCAAGGTAGGAGTAGAGGTATCCCATATTTGTGGATTAAGGTGGGAAGATACAAGAGGAGGATGTGAAAGAGGCCTTGAATTGGGTAAAAGTGCAGCAATGAGGTGTGGCTGTAGCCCAGGAATAGTCAGGGAAGCAGATAATTTGGTTAAAATATCTCAGCCTAATAAGGAAACTGGCAGGTGGGCGTAACTAAAAAAAGAGTGCATAAAATAATGTTGTCCAAGTTGGCACCAGAGTGGGGGAGTTTTAAGGGGTTTTGAATCTTGGCTGTCAATACCCACAACAGTTATGGGGGGCAAGGGAAACAGGCCCTTGAAAAGAAGGTAATGTGGAGTGAGTAGCCCCTGTATCAATTAAACAGGGGACGGACTTACCCTCCACTGTAAGAGTTACCTGAAGCTTGGCGTCTGTGATGGTCCAGGGGGCTTCTGAGATGATGGGGCAGCATCAGTATTCAGCCACTAAGCTGAGGAGATCTGGGAAAGAGTCAGCCAAGGAATATTGGGTTTGAGCTCCAGGAGCTTTAGGAGTGGCGGCGATGTGAGTTGGACAGTCTGATTTCCAGTGGGGGCCCACACAGACAGGGCATGTCTTAGGAGGAATCTTGGGCTGTGGGCATTCCGAGGCCCAGTGGCCAGGCTTTTGGCATTTGAAGCAAGGTCCACGAGGAGGTTTTGAAGGAGCCCCTGGGAGCCGTGGCTTGGATGTTCTGAAGGTTTTGTATGCTGGAGACGTGGTTGTGGGTTGTCTTACAGCGGAGGCAAGTAGTTGTAACTCAGAGATAAGTTGCTGCTTGGCAGCTTCTTCTCTGTTATTGAACACCTTGAAGGCAAGGTTGATTAAATCCTGTTGTGGGGTTTGAGGGCCAGAATCAAACTTTTGGGTTTTTTTTTTTTTTAATGTCAGGAGTGGATTGGGTGATAAAATGCATATTAAGGATAAGGCGGCCTTCTGGTCCCTCTGGGTCTAGGGTGGTAAAGAATCTAAGGGTTGTTGCCAAACGGGCCATGAACTGGGCTGGGTTTTTATATTTGATGAAAAAGATCCTAAACGCTAACTTATTTGGGAGAGGTCAGATAAAGAAAAAGTCACATGTACCCTGACTATGCCTTTAGCTCCAGCCACCTCTCTAGGAGGAAATTGTTGGGCAGGTGGGGGAGAGCTAGTCGGGGAATGAAACTGTAAGCAAGACTGAGTGTGAGGAGGGGGGGTAATAGCAGGGTTATAGGGTGGGGGAGCAGAGGCTGCGGAAGAATTGGGACCCGATTCAGCCTGGCGAGGAGCGGCCGGGGGAGGAGGAGAGAGGTCAGAAGGGTCAGTGGAAAAGGAGGATTCAGAGGACTCTGAGCTTGGGGTGGAGACTGAAGGAGCAGACGGGAGAGAAAGAAGGAAAATCTGAGACAAGTCGCACTGGGAGCAGAGACTAGGGAGGGAGCGAAGTGTAAAAAATGTTTGGACGTAAGGCACCTCAGACAATTTGCCCAATTTTTCACAAAAATTATCTAGGTTTTGTAGGATGGAGAAATCGAAAGTTACATTTTCTGGCCATTTGGAACCATTGTCAAGTTTATATTGGGGCCAAGCGGCATTGCAGAAGAAAATAAGACTTTTGGGTTTTAGATCAGGTGTTAGTTTAAGAGGTTTTAAGTTTTTAAGTACACAGGCTAAGGGGGAAGAGGGAGGAATGGAGGGTGTAAAGTTGCCCATAGTGAAGGAGGTGAAATTGAAGAGAAAGGTAGAGATGTAGAGAAGGGGAAGTGAGCAGCTACCAGGCTTTCATTAGGTGTCCCTGGCTGAGTCCTGGGCTGTAATGTGGGTGATCAGCCAAAGCAGGCATCCCCATAATTGGCTTGCCACGAGGGGAGTGTGGGTGAATGATCAAGGCAGGTGTCCCTGTGAAGATCAGACACCAAGGGACGACTGTCTTCCCAAATCTGTGACCGACGTCGGGGTTTCTGAATTCACAGATAAAATGTGTCTCCTTTGTCTCTACTAGAGAGGAAAAAGAACTGGAATTGGAAGGACAAGGAGATTGAAGGGTAGCAAGAGAGGCTGGAGAAGAGAGTGAAGAGACCACTTACCCAATTTGAAATTGGTGAGATGTTCCTGGGGCTTGTCTGAGGACTGGAGGTCATAGGTGGATCTCCTCATGGAGTGAGGGCAAGGACAGGGGACTGGTCTCCCAAAGGAATCCCCCTGTTCCGGGTTTTTCGGCACCAAATGTTACACACGTCCATGTGAACAGACCACCAAACAGGCTTTGTGTGAGCAGTGAGGCTGTTTATTCACTTTGGTGCAAGTGGGCTGAGTCCGAGAAAGGAGTCAGCAAAGGAAGATAGGAGAGGGGCAGTCTTAAAGGACTTGGGTAGGCAGTGGAAAATTACAGTTAAAGGTGTTTATCTATTGTTAGCAGGGGAGGGGGTCACAAGGTGCTCAGTGGGGAGCTCCTGAGACTCATTGTCCAGGGGAGGAATGTCACAAGGTCAATTGATTAGTTAAGGTGGGGCAGGAACAAATCACAATGGTGGAATGTCATCAGTTAAGGCAGGAACTGACTGTTTCACTTGTTTTGTGGTTCTTCAGTTGCTCCAGGCCATCTGGATGTATATGTGCAGGTCACAGGGGTTATGATGGCTTAGCTTGGGCTCAGAGGCCTGACAATATAGATGAGACTTAAGGTATGCTTCATCCTTAGGTAAATTTCTCTCCAGGTATGAGCCTGTGAAATCAAGCAAATTATGTACTTCCAATATACAATGGTAGGACTGGCATAGGATAAACATTCCCATCCCAAAAGGGAGAAATAGGAGCGAAGAAAGGAGTAATAGGCCACAAGCAAGTCCAAAACCCAACAGGGAAAACAACCATAAATCTTAAGGCTTGAAAATAATATTCTTTGACTCCATGTCCCACTTTCCGGACACACTGATGTGGGGGTGCAGTCTCCAAGGTTCTGAGCAGCCCTGTTCCCATGACTTTGCTGGGAACAGAGCATGTTTCAGCTCTCATGTATTGAAGTTGCATGCCTGTGGTTTTCCTAAGCCGGAGTTGCACTCTGGTGGCTCTACAGTTCTGAGATCTCAGGGGTGACCCCACTTCCACAGCTCCATTAGGCTTTGCCTTAGTGGGGGCTCTCTATGGTGGTTCCATGTGTTTGGCTGGTCCCTGCCTGAGCCCCAAGGCTGTTTGAGACATTCTATGGAATCTAGGTGGAGGACGTCATGCCTCCACAACTCTTATGCTGTGTGTGCCTGCAGAGTCACTTCCATGTCAACACTGTCAAGGCTCATTACTTGTCCCCTCTAGAGTGATGGCCTGAGTCATACATGGACATGCTTCAGCCACAGCTGGGGTGGCTTAGGTGCACCACACTGGAATTTGGGGAGCAGAGACCTGAGGCACCTCTGGACAGTGAGCCCTGAGGTTCCACAGGAGCCCGGGGCCCCTTGCTTTAAACCATTCTGCCCTCAATTGAGGCCCTGGTCCTCTGGGCCTGTGATTGGAGGGGCAGCTTTGAAAATCTCTGAAATGCCTTTGTGGTCATTCTCCCATTGTCATGATGAATAGTACCTGGATTCCTTCTATCCATACTAATCTCCTTATCAGTGGTTGCTTGGCCACACCCTAGAGTATGTAGCAGAAAGTCAACACCTCATTGTAACACTATATCTATGGCACCGCACACGGGGGACCTAAGAAGGAGTAGGCTAGAGCACGTGACCTGAAAGACTATCCAGACCAGAGCTGTGTTCTTCAGACTTTTGCAAGACCTAGGGTTACATGGAGGTAACACAGTGCCACAGTTGTTTGACTCAAATTGTATATACATGCTGCTGTTTACCAGTATCTCAGGAAGCAGAATTTCAGTGACATCCAGTGTAAAAAGGAAGGGCAAAGGGTAGATAAATAAGGGTTTTGTAAACCAAATTCCTGTGTGGGATGACAGCTAATGCTGTATCAGGGATGAAAGCTGTAGACCTAGCTAGAGGCACTGTGTGCCAGCATTAATACAGGTACAAAGAGAAAAGGAACTTTTGAATGACCTGTACCCAATAATTGATTGGAGTTATTGCTGAGGTGACAGAAGATGGTTACTTTCAACTTTGTGTGCTTCTGTGGGGTTTGAACATGTTTTTAACAATCCTGAATTACTCTGGTAATCAGGAAAATTTTATGAGATCGGGTGTAGGCTGAAGAAGGTTTGGTCCAGGTAAGGACAGGAAGGAGTCTTGTGGGAGGGAAGTCAATGGGGAAGTAGAGGAAGAGCTTGGCTTGGGTTGTCTTACCTTGACCCTATCTATGGACCTGGCTTGTAGGGGTGTTCCTCTTCTTTCCTTTCTGGTGTTGAGGGTTGGTTGTCTGGTAACAGTGCAAGTTGCTTTTGGTTTCCCTGTCACCATTGCCATGTCAAACCCTCCCATTGGTCTATACCAGGCCCCATGGCCTCCTTTTCTATACTCCTCACCTGGACAATGAGTAGCCACACACCCAGGGTCTGTTCTGTCAGCAAAACACACCCTAGGCCTACATTAGTGCTGGGGAGGGGACTTAGACATCACACAGGACCATCCTGACACGTTTATGGGGTGGGAGGTGGGCCAACCAAGTTGCTGCAGTTTTAGAAGGTGTCATTTCTTTAACCCCCTTAAAGAACTTTCCCAAGTGGACACGATTTCCCTCCTCATGCCCCCATGTTCAATTCTGGTGTAACACATGCCAGGGACAGGATGTTTCCTTTAAGCTTTTCTCCACATCCACCCCATTCAATGGTTGACTCTCTTCCCTCCCACACTTCGTAATCACCTAGTGTTTCCGCATCTTATCTACAATCCCTGGCAGGTCCCATGGATGTATTTATGTCTGTGGAGAAGTGAATCACCCACTTACAGCCTACAAATTTCTCTTATTTGTCTTGAAAAACTCTCTCTTGGACACTACCTGGGATCTTTTTCATCCCACCTGCTTTTACCAGGGTCCACATAGCTCTCCTGAATTTCCTGTTTTCCCATCTCCAACCACTGCCTTCTTGTTCTGTGCCCCCTTGGCATCCTGTCCTTTGTAGAGCACTACCTACATCAGAAGCTGGTAAACTCTTTAGGATGGTACCTAGCACAGTGCCTGTCACATAGTAGGCACTCAGTAGAGCTTTGTGAAATAAATGGATAGGATGAAGGATAGCTTGCTTTCAGAGGTCTACAGGAGTGACAGAGCATGGTGGCTTCCGGGGACAGCTGTGGAGGAGTGCGGTTCCAAATCACAAAGAATTAAGGAGACTATATTCAAGATTTGGGACTTGTGTCCCATAGGCAGTGTAGATGTTTGGAAGGCTTTGAAGCAGTTGTATGTCAACAAGATTTGCTTTTCTGAAGCCTCAGTGGTTGGGTGGAAAATAGGATTAGTGTGGGAGAAGGTAAATTCTGGGAGGTTCCTTGGGGCAATTAAAAGAATCTACACTGACTTGTCTGTGTTTCTTCCAGTTCATGAACATGGGATGCTGATATGGTTTGGCTGTGTCCCCACCCAAATCTCATCTTAAATTGTAGCTTCCATTTAAGTGTTGTGTTCCACTTATGTGCTGTGGGAGGAACCTGGTTGGGAGAAAATTGAATCATGGGGTCAGTTTTCCCCATTGTGTTCTCGTGGTAGTGAATAAGTCTCACGAGATCTGATGGTTTTATAAGGGGAAACCCCTTTCACTTGGATCTTTCATTCTTTCTTGCCTGCCACCGTGTAAGATGTGCCTTTCACCTTCTGCTGTGATTGTGAGGCCTCCCCACCTACATGGAACTGTGAGTCCATTAAACTTCTTCTTTATAAATTACCCAGTCTCAGGTATGTCTGTATTAACAGTGTGAAAATAGATGAAGACAGTAAATTGGTACTGGTAGAGTGGGGTGCTGCTGTAAAGATAACCAAAAATGTGGAAGTGACTTTGGAACTGGGTAACAGGCAGAGGTTGGAACAGTTTGGAGGGCTCAGAAGAAGACAGGGAAATGTGGGAAAGTTGGGAACTTCCTAGAGACTTGTTGAATGGCTTTGACCAAAATGCTGATAATGATATGGACAATGAAATCTGGGCTGGGGTGGTCTCAGATGGAGATGAGGAACTTGTTGGGAACTGGAGTAAAGGTAACTCTTGCTATATCTTAGCAAAGAGACTGGTGGCATTTTGCCCTACCCAAGAGATTTGTAGAACTTTGGACTTGAGGGAGATGATTTAGGGTATCTGCTGAAAGAAATTTCTAAGCAGCAAAGCATTCAAGGGGTGACTTGGGTGCTGTTAAAAGCATTCAGTTTTAAAAGGGAAACACAGCATAAAAGTTTGGAAAATTCGCAGCCTGATGATGCAATAGAAAAGAAAAACACATTTTCTGAGGAGAAGTTCAAGCTGGCTGCAGAAATTTGCATAAGTAACAAGGAGCCATATGTTAATCCCCAAGACAAGGGGGAATATGTCTCCAGTGCATGTCAGAGGTCTTCATGGAAGCCCCTCCCATCACTGGAGATAGTGAGGATGATAGGATGTGGATGGCAGTGCAAAGGAAAATGTTACAGATTACCCTACTGTTTCTAGCTTGGCACTTGGGTTGGAAGGTGCCACCAACAGAGACAGGGACTATGGGAGAAACCACATGGTGGAGGGATGAGTTGGTTTTCATCATGTTGGTGTTGAATTGTCATGGGGCTATTCAGGGAGTCTTTGGAACCATGAAACTGGAGCCCTCTTCTATGATCTTCTGAATATCAGTTTCTTGGCTATTCTATTTCTCTTTTTCCATGTTGCCACATGCCTCCTGCACCTGTTGTGATTCACAACAGAGGGTCATCTCTCTCAAGATAGAGAACTACAGGCTAGGCACAGTGGCTCATGCCTGTAATCCCAGCACTTTGGGAGGCCAAGGCAGGCGAATCATTTGAGGTCAGGGGTTAAGTGGCCCAGGGAGGCAAACTGCAATCTTGAAGAATCTCTCAGTAACTGGTTTCCTGGGCCACATAACCTTTCTAAGTCTCTCTCTCTCTCTCTCTCGATTTGTAAAACAGGAACAATAATACTTACCTTATATGTAAGTGACATGCGGGCAGGTACTTAAAGTAAAGCAGTATATGAAACCTTCTAAGATATGAGGAAGCAAGAAATGACACTCGTGGTTAACAATATTCACTAGAGTTGTGTCTGTGTGTGCATGTGTGTGTGTGTGCACATGGTTAAAACGGTAAATCTTGTGTTATGTGTAGTTCACTACAATTAAAAAAAAAAAGACAAGGAAGTCAGTCACAAAGGTTCACATATAACAGGAAGCCATTTCTATGAAACGCCCAGAGAGGTAAATCCATAGAGACAGAAAGTGCATTTGTGGTTTCCAGGGGCTGGGAGGAGGAGTAAATGGGGCGTGACTGCTAATGGGAGGAGGAGTCTTTGTGAGGATGATGAAATTCTTTTTGGAACTGGGTAGAGATGGTGGTTGCACAACATTGCAAATGTACTTAATGACACTGAGCTGTACACTTTAGAGTGGTTAAAATAGTAAATGTAATGTGATGTCTATTTCACCACAGTGAAAGCAACCCCCACCCCCGCAGTGTGCTGCAGATGTGCACCTGCAGGCAGGTGGTGTTTTCGTTCCCCGTTGCTGCCGTAACAAATTATCACAAACCCGCTGCTTCAAGCAACACAGATCTATCGTCTTACAGTTCTGGAGGTCAGAAGTCTAAAATAGGAAGTTCTAGGGGAAGAACCCTTTTCCTTGCCTTTCCTGTCACCTTGAGGCTGCCTGAATTCCTTGGCTCTTGACTCCTTCCGTCTTCAAAGCCAGCAACATCCGGTTGAGTCCTTCTCTGGCGGCATCATTCTGACACTGACTCTTCTTCCTCCCTCTCCCTCACTTAAGGACCCTTGTCCTTCAAGTGTAAAGACCTGGCCAATCCAGGATAATCTCCCCACCCATCTCACATCTGCCCAATCGCTATTGTCATGTAAGGTAACATATGTGCAGCTCCCAGGGGTTAGGCCACGAACATCTTTGGGGGCTGTTACTGTGCCACCACAGGCAGTAACGAGCTGAGTCTTGTGCACCCTGCTCAAGGGCTGGGTCCTGCAGATGAGGTGAGGAGATACTTCTGGCATCCTTATGGCTCCCTGTTTGATTCTGGGGGGGCCCCTAGGCAAAGGCCAGGCTCTGCTAATCTGGGCCAGGAGCTCTCCTCTCTGCTCTCCCTGACTTCTGTGCTCACTGGCCCTGCAGTGGCAAGGAAAAGGATTCGTCCCTTAGAACTTCCCGTTTTGGACTTCTGACCTCCAGAACTGTAAGGCAGGGCAGGGATATCAGAGAGTTCAGACCCAGGAGGTGCCCACAAGGGCACTGAGCATGCGAAGACTTCCAGGCAGTCAGCTCTTCATCCCCATCACATTCTTTCTAGCCGAGGGAAATCCTCCAGATGCAGCGAGTGTGGCAAAGCCTGCCGCCGCCTCTCGGGCTGGACTCCAAGGCAGAGGGCAACCCCTGAGAAGCACGGCCATGCACAAGCTGAGACAGGGCCAGGGTCATGGCTGAATTGTGCCCCCCCCACCTGCACCTCCCCCCCCCCAAAAAAAAAAACACACATGGCCTCATCCTCACCTTCTGATCTTGCAAATGTGACCTTATTTGGAAAAGGGGTCTTTGCAGAGATCATGAAGTTGAGCATTTTGAGAGGAGATGATCCTACATTACCCGAGTGGGCCTTAAATCCAATCACAAATGTCCTTATAGGAACCAAACAGAGGAGAAACGCAGACATGGAGACCCAGGGGAGAAAGCCACATGAAGAAGGAGGTGGAGATTAGGGCCAGGAGGCCACAGGCCAAGGGACACCTGGGGCCACTGGAAGCTGGGAGAGACGAGGAAGGATCATCCCCTGGAGCCTTCCCAGGGAGCACGGCCCTGCAGACAGCTTGGTTTTAGACTTCTGGCCTCCAGAACTGGGACAGAATCAGTTTCTGTGGAGTGATTGGGTCAACTGGTTTGTGGTGCTTTCTTACGGCAGCCGAGGGAAGCACACAGAGGCAGATGTATTTAGAGGGGTACCCCCTGCTGCAAGCCTCCTGGGGCAGGGGCCATGCCACTCTCCTTCTTGAACTCTGCTGGCCACATTGTGCTCGCTCAGGAAACGGGTGCTGAGTCTACTGCTGCTTGAGGCAGAGCTTACGGATTTGTAACTGCTTCTGTGTGGTGGCAGCTCCTCCTTGCCCAGCTCCTCCTTGCCCAGCTCATCCTATATCAATGATGCTGCCGCCACAAAACATCCCCCCAACCCAGCCAAACTCCTCCTGTCTGCCTGCACCTCTTATCTCTGCTCACCACGGGGCCCCTCCAAGGGGCCGTCTTTGCTTCCATCTCCCGCTGTGGGCTGGCAGACACTGGCACTCCTAAGGCTCTTTTGGCATCCCTAGAGGACCCAACAGACACCTCCCCACCAAAGAAGTGCACACCTAGATATGTCTAAATCACACACGTCACTGCTGTAATATGGTACTTACTATCCCATGAAACATCCACAAACTAGACACTCAGAAAGTGGTGTTGGAATAAGGGAGGTTCTATGGCCCTTCTTCTCCTGCCCCCCACCCATGCGCCGCCCACCATTCCTTTCCGTGGACCACTGACCTTCAAGTTTGAACACAGAACGGGCAAGTGGCCTTTGGAGCTGAGGGTGGGACGTGGCCTTTGGAGCTGAGGGTGGGTCATGGCCTGTTGAGAAGAGCAGGGCCAAGGAAGGATGGAAGCCTGAGAGACACTGGCAGGGGGTGGAGAAAGGCCTCCTCTCTGCCTGGCACCTCATTCATTCACTTATCCATTCATTCATTCTCCAGGCCCAGCCCCGCCTGTGGGCCTATGGTGCCACCTCCAGAGCATGGATCCTGCCCTCTGAGCTGTTGTTAATGACTTAGATTTATCTTCCGCTCGGGAGCTCTCTTCCTCTGGTGTAAGCATTATTCTTTTAGTATTTTTTCAGTGCCTGGCACTGTGCTAGGCACTAGGGATCCACATTACGGCTAAAGCATCGTCCCTGCCCCTGGGGGAGGCTCTTGAGGGAAACAGGCACTGCACAGGCCATTGCCCTGGAGCACAGAGGTGTGGCACTCAGCTCCTTGTGGGGTTTAAGAAAAGGGTCCCTGTAGGATGCAGAACTCATTGTCTCCCCTGCACCCCAATAAAAGAAGGAAGGAAAAGGAAGCCGTGCTCTTCTTTCTACATTCCATGGCTTCATCATGGACATCCACACAGTGACCCAGCTGGACAAGCCCAAAGCCTGGCCTGCTCCTGGACGGCACCCTCTCCCCATCACATAGCTCCACTCAGAAATGCTTCTTGGCCCGCCGCAACTTCCACACCCTGGTCCTGGCCACCAGCTGGTCTCTTTGGGGCCATTTCAGTCCCTTTCCAGTCCCTCCACCACCCTGTAGCCAGAATGAGCTTCATAAATAACATGGACCCATGACCGGGTCACTTCCTTGCTGAAAACACCTCCGTGTCAGCCCTCCACTGCCTTTAGGATCAAGTCCCTGTGTTATACAGGTAGCTAGCCATGAGTGGGGCAGGTGAGGGCTCTTCCCCCTACCCACTGGAAATGTCGGGTGACGGTTCAGCAGTTATCGCATCGCCTCTCTAAAAGTAGTGCCGGCGCCAGACAGAGGCCAGTTCCTGACGGTCCGTACCTGTTAACATTAAAGTGTTGATTAAAGGCAGGCCCCAAGGGAGAAGCAACTTCCTGGGCACGCACATTAAGAGACAAAAATGCTGAAGTATTTTATGATCTCGCGGACACACGCCACTGGAAAAAGGGAAAAAGCCTGAGGTGGGCATGCGTACAAATCCCACAACACACTGGGCAGGTGCAGTTCTCAAGGGTAAGGAGGACACGGTGCGTGCAGAAAGCCCACCCTAAGGGAAGAATCATCGGAAAGATGTGAGCCTATAAAGTCCCAGGGTCAAGGGGAAAGGCCCTTTTTTCTCTTTCTCTTTGACCTTCAGGTGCCCACTTGGATCTCTTCCAAGGGTTCTTTCCTATTCTAAAACCTTTTTTTAATAAACTTACACTCCTGCTCTGGAACTCACCTCGGTCCCCCTTTCTGCCCTATACCCCTCAGTTGAATGCTTTCTTCTGAGGAGGCGAGAATTGCAGTTACTGCAGACGCGTACAGATTCGCCACCAGTAACTCGGGGTAACGAGGATCTCTGCCACCGCTGACACCTGTTCCTTCATGAGATTTAGAAAGTCTCTTCTGTAACAGAAAGGTACAAAGCCGAGCCAAACCTTGTGAGTGGCAAAGCGATCCATCATCAGTGATGTAGTTTGGATCTGTGTCCCCTCCCAAATCTCCTATTGAATTATCATCTGCGGTATTGGAGGTGGGGCCTGGTGGGAGGTGATTGGATCCTGGGGGTGGATTTTCCATGAATGGTTTAACACCATCCCCCTGGTGCTGTCCTCGTGATAGTGAGGAGTTCTTGTGAGATCGGGCTGTTTTAAAGTGTGTGGCACCTCACACTCTCTCTCTTGCTCCCGCTCTGGCCAGGTGACGTGCCTGCTCCCCCTTTGCCTTCTGCCATGATTGCAAGCTTCCTGAGGCCTCCCCAGAAGCAGAGTAGATGCCAACACCATGCTTCCTGTACAGCCTGCGGAACCGTGAGCCAATTAAACCTCTTTTCTCTATAAATTACCCAGTCGTCTCAGGCATTTCTTTATAGCAATGTGAGAACAGACTAATACGATCAGCAAAGCCAAAGGACAAATGACACACTAGGGAAAACTGTCTCCAACTCCTATCTCAATACGCAAGGAACTCTTACAGAGAAAAGGATGAAGCACCCAGTGGGAAAAATGGGTAAAGGACGTGAACAGACAGTGAACAAGAAAGGAAATACAAGAGGCTCTTGAACCTATGAAAAGATGCACATCCCCAGACATGCACATCAAAAGACACTGAGATTATCCCTTTTGGTTTGTTGGTTTGTTTGTTTTTACTGATTCAATGGGCTAAATTCTAAATGTCAGATCACACAGTGTTGGTGAGCCTGATGGGACATAGATGCCCCCACTGGTTGTTGGCAGGAGTAGACATTGGCACAACTCCCATGGAGGGCAGTTTGGCAAGATCCATTAAAAATTCAGATGCACAGAACCTTTGATCCCTCCACTGTGTGGGAGGAATATCCAGCCGACAGATGAACCCTCTCATAGATGAAAGAAATATGTTTAAGATCTTCTTCAGTGCAGCATAGCTAGTGACAGCATAAGACTGGGAAAGTTCCAAGTGTCCAGCCCGGGGAGAGTAGTTAAATGACCAAAGGGAGAGTGGTATTATCTCAGGACAGGCAAGAGTGATGGGAAATGCAGATGCCACTGTCCAGGAATCAAGTCGCCATGATCCTTCATCTCTGTGTTGTGCCTGCGGGGTGGCTTTCGTGCCACGACCGCAGAGTTGAGGTGGCAAAGCTGAAAATATTGACCCTCCGGCCCTGCCCAGAAAATGTTTGCCATCCCCCGCCTTCCAATGACTCTGCTCCTTTTTGTCTGGAAGTGCTTGTCCCTGCCTGGTATTGCCTGCGCACCCCTGTCCTCAGCCTGGGTAACTCCTACTCGTAGTGCCTTTCTCGCTTAAACGGTTCCCATGGGACGCCTTCCCTGCCCACTCGGTAGGGGCAGGCGCCCTTGCCGTTGCCTCCTGTAGTCCCGTGGCTTCCCCCGTTTGGGATCTTAGCACACATCCCACTGACTTCCAGCTGCTGCTTTCGGGATCCCCTCTGGGGGGCTGTCATCTTTTGTGGCACACCTTGACCGGGGGTGTTTTGTAATCCCGGCTCCCAGCCGTCTTATTGGCGTAGCGTGGGTGCTCCCAAAGTGCTTCTTGAATGAATGAATGTGTCTCTGTGCTCACATTACACAGGCTTTCAGCTAGATAAACACCAGAACTCCATGTTGTGGCCGACTAGAGTAACTCAGTTTACGTTCCTGCTTCATCGTAGACTGGAAAAGAAATAGCAAATGCTCCTGCTTGTGCACACTCCGATTATTCTTCCCATCTAGCATGAGCCAATCCCTAGGACAAATATGGTTTTGGGCTCCACGTGCGTGTGTATATTTTTACTCAGCACCGAGCACCGTGTTGGGGGAAGGGGGACTTATGAACGCTGCAGCCAGTGGGAGAGCAGAGAGGAGTCCCCACAGGCCCACGCAGCAGCGGTGAGCCCCGCCGGGGAGACGAGACTGGGTGTGCGAGTTGGGGCTGCCAACAGAGCCAGTGTGCTTGTAGGTTCCAAATCCACATGCTGGGGCCGTGAGCCGGGCCAGGTCAGGTCAGATAGCTCAGCTGAGCATTCTGGGTACGCTAGAAGAAAATACTTTCTTTTCCGTGATTGCCAAGGAATGGATGTGCTCAAGTAACTTCTAGCAGGTCAGTGACGTGCCTATTTCCGAAGGCCCTCCCGCCTCTCTTGGTTCCTCCCTGTGGTTGCAGGAGGCTGGCTGCGGGCCACAGGTCGAGCTGGCCCTGGATACCGAGAGCCTCGCCTCTGGGATGGGCCGCGGGCCACAGACATTGGCGCCTGGTGACTCTCTCTGGTGGCCAGCGTCTTCAGGTTCTCGAATCCCGGTGGTGGAAGTCCCTCGTTCTGGCTGTGACATGGAGTGTCAGTGTGCCGAAACTAAGATGCTTGGCCAGCTTTTCTTTTCCTTTCTACAATTTTAATCGTGGTAAAATACACATCACATAAAGCATACCACTTTAATATACCACTTTAACCATTTTGAAATGGACAGTTAGGAGGCGTTCAGCACATTCACGGTGCTGTGCAGCCATCACCACCATCTGTCACCGGAGATCTTTGTCCTCCCAAACTGAAGCCCTGTCCCTGTTCAGCACCAACTCCCCGCACCCCTCAGCCCAAGGCAACCACCATTCTACTTCCTGTCTCTGAATTTGACTACTCTAAGGGCCTCATGGAAGTGGAATCTTACAGTATTTGTCTTTTTGTATCTGGCCGACTTCACTTAGCATAATGTCCTCAAGGGTCATCCACCTTGTAGCTTGGCTCAGAATTTCCTGCCTTTCGAAGGCTGAATCGTATTCTGTCATGTGCGTGGAGCACGTTTGCGTATCCATCCATGGATGGGAGCTTGGGCTGCTTTCACCTTTTGGCTACTGCGAATAGTGCTGCTATCGGCCAGGTGCGGTGGCTCACGCCTGTCATCCCAGCACTGTGGGAGGCTGGGGTGGGAGGATCCCTTGAGCCCAGGAGCTCAAGACCAGCCTGGGCAACATACTGAGACATCCTCTCTGCAAAAAATAAAACGGGTAGCTAGGTGTGGTGATGCGTGCCTGTAGTCCCAGCTACTTGAGAGGCTGAGGCAGGGGGATCACCTGAGCCCAGGAGGTGGAGGCTGCAATTAGCCATGACCACACCACTGCACTTGGGCCTGGGCAACAGAGTGAGAGCTTGTCTCAAATAATAATAAATAATAATAATAATAATAATAAAATGTTGTCAAAATGGATGTTCAAAAACCCCTTTGACTCTGCTTTCAATTTTGGGGGGTATTACCTAAAAGTGGGGTTGCTGGGTAATTTTATGTTTCATTTTGTGAGGAGCCATCATAATATTTGCTTGCTTTTTTAAAATAAAAATAAAAATAACCAAATCTCTCCCCAACTTTGAAATAGAAAATAAAATTATTTTACTAAACAAAGTGATTGATTGTTTTGCTCTGATTCTTCCCCAGGTCCTATTACAATGACAAAGTATCATCATGGAAATAACATAGAGCTCACCTTCGGAAGTCAGGCTCCAGCTGGGACCATGGATGGGGCCAGGGTGCCTGTGACTGCCCGGCCAGAGAAGGCACCCTTCTAGGGGTCTTGTGCATACATGTCTGTTTCCAGGGAAGGGCCCTTCCCCCTTCTGGTTCTCAAAGGGGTTCATGATCCCCAAGGCTGAGGACGTGCTGGGCTAAGGGACGCCTCCGTCAGGCCCAGGCTTGGGCTTGGAGGGATGTTATTCCGCTCCTTATTCTCTTCTTTCTTTTAGTAACTTTGTACGAAATTTGCCTTTGATCCTCTTGTCAACTGGTTTTCCCATGAAATCAGTCCTTCTGCACTTGTGGAAGGGTGGGAGAGGCTAGGTTTTCTGATTTCGCGTATGAAGGGCACTCTCTTCTGGTGACTGTGAGAACTGTGACCATCTGTCTGTTTACCTTCCATTGTACGTTCTCCGTTTGTTCTCCCTCTCCATTGTGATTCGGACTTTCTCTTTTCTTTGCCCCTATTGTGCCTGTCTTGCTTTACTTGTCTTCTATTCCCAGAAGTTTCTGCTCTGTGGGGGCCTTTGTCCTGGAGGGAAGATTTGAGAGTTAATTGGGTCCGGTCTGTTTCAGCGCCTTTAGACCTTCAGGGTGATGATGAGCCCTCCCTTGCGTCTCCTCTGGGAGACTGTGGGCTCCTGGATAGTGGGGGCATTGGCCCCTACCTCTCTGTGTGCCTGGTGGCTGGCACAGGGGCTGACTCCACCCTGAGATGTCTGTGAAGACACTGGCCCACCAGCCCCACTCACCACGTGCGTGTCTCCTGGAGCAAGGGCTCGTTCAAGCCAGGGGCCCCTCCTTGGTAACAAATGAGAGAAACAGGCCTCCCCCACCTCCCCGAGGTCTCCTTGACCCTCCGCACCCCCGACCCCTGAGCAGGTTTATCCAAGAGCCCTGGAAGGCCTTTTGTCACTAGGCCTGCTGGGGGCCCAAGTCACCATGGGGCCCACCTGCAGGCAGGGGAGTGTGGCACTTGCTTCTCCTTCCCGCCGTCTCTCTCCCTCTCTGCCCCCAGGCCCTTCTGACCTCTGCAGCTTCACCGTCCAGCCCCCACCACCCCCCAGCATTCCCCTCCCCTTCAGAAGCCACTTAGGCTGCTCTAGCCATTAGTGGGCCCAAGAGAGCTGCAGTGGGGACGACACAGTCAAGGCATGGAGGCAGGTGAAGGGCGCAGTGGAAGGTGACGATAGAGGCGTTTGTGGCTGGCAGGCTCTAGCATTTCCCAGCACACGCATGAGCAAGGGGCAGTGGGAATCTCAGCCAGATTAAGGGCAGCACGTGCGGTGCTTTATGCAGAAAAGAGTCTGGGTGATGAAGAACAGGCTGGGGGTGTTGGGTTTCTATGACGCCTGGGTATCTAACATACAATGATCTTAGCCTGAACCTTCTCCTGGAAGAGGTGGACAGCCAGTTGGATGTATCGCTTTCTGCTGTTGATGGGGTCAAGGGCCGGGAGAAGGGAGGTCTCTATGATTTACATGGTTTGAAAAAGAAGGAATGGTTGAGTTATACTGACTGGGCTCCAGTTCACAGACAGCATCCCGAGAGATGGCTCAAAACACAGGACTGGACAAAAAGTGGGTCCCATTTTCAACTCTGGTGCACGTCCTGAATGTTTCATTGCATCTGCAAAGTGGAGGCTGAACTAGGTGAGTAGAACCGTAAGGAGACGGGCAAGAGCCATCCATGCTCTGGGCTGAGGAGCCTGGCCTGCGTGAGGAGGGGCAGTGGTCATGCCCAGTTAAATTTGGAAATGCATGGGACCCCTTCTACTCAAGATAGCCATCCTTAATGGGATGTTTGAATTTAACTGGGCTTCCAGTGTTTTTATTTGCTAAATCTGGTAATCCTAGCAGTGTAGTCTGAGAGCATGCACTTCAAAGGGACTGGGTATTTTTCAGGGAGGATTGAGGGAGAATGATGTGGAAGCCACTGTGAGAAGCAAGGAGGTCACCTATGCCACCTCCAGGCCCTGTGCTCCAAGGAGGGTGGACAAGAATAGCCCTGCTGGAAAGGGCTCAGAGGATGCGGTATCCGGGGGTGGGGGTGGGGAAGTCCTGTTTCCATGACAGCATGCAAGGGAGGTACAGAAAGGAGTTTCCAGGAATGTTGGCGGGCGGCAAGGCTGGGGGGCCGTCTGTGGCAGGACACGGGGCTCTCAGCAACAGGATGCTGAGCTCTGTTGGGCTTCTCCAAAATGAGACTGGGAGGCTGTCCCATCTGGAGGATGCGTGGACTTCACTTCAGTTCAAGGAGGAGACCTATTCCTCCCCTGCAGCCTCAGGAGGGTGCCTACTCAAGACAGTGGCTACCAAATGTAGACAGGCTTCCACTGAATGTCATTGCCCTGCCCAGTGGCTTGCTCTGAAACCTTATTGCTCATCACACACCTAAACCCTTTGCCCCACTGGGTAGCCTTGCCAGCCTTACTGAAAATCAATGATCAAACATGGAGGTGTTTATTTCTGCACTCTCAATTCTATGCCATTGATTTGTATGCCTAGATTTGTGGCAGTACCACACTGTCTTGACTGCCATAGCCTCATAGTAAGTTTTGAAACTGGGAAGTGCGAGTCCTCCAACTTTGTTGTTTGTTTCCAAGATTGTTTTGGTTTCAGAGTCCCTTGCAATCCCATAGGAATTTGGGGTCTGCTTTTCCATTTCTGCAAAGGGCTGTTGGGATTTTGAGAGGGATTGCATGGAATAAGTAGGTAAATTGGGGGAGTATTTTCATCTCCCTAAACAATAACAATTTTATATTATAGCAACATTACATCTTCCAGTCCATGGACACAGTATGGCTTTCCATTTGTTTAGGTCTTTTATTTCTTTCAATAGTGTTTTGTGGTTTTCAGTGTACATCTCCCTGGCTAAATTTATTCCTGAGTATTTTGTTCTCTTTAAGGCTATCGTAAATAGAAGTGTTTTCTTAATTTCCTATTCAAATTGTTCATAATGTGTGGAAATGCAAATGGATCTTGCATATTGACCTGGTATCCTATAACTTTGCTGACTTTGTCATTAGCTCTGATGGCTTTGTTTGGTGGATTCTTTGGGAGTTTCTATATATAAGAACATGCCATCTATGGGTCTAGGTCATTCTATTTCTTCTTTTCCAAATTGGATGTCTTTTGTTTCTTTTTCTTTTCTTTTCTTTTTTTTTTTTTTTTGCCTAATTGCTTTGGCTACAACTTCAAGTAAACTGTTGACTAGAAGTGGTGAAAGTGAACATCTTGTCTTGGTCATGATCTTAGGGAGAAAGCTTTTATTTTTTCACCATCGAGCGTGATTTTAGCTGTGGATTTTTCATGAATGACCCTTTTCATGTTTAGGAAATTCTCTTCTTATTTTTCTGAGTGTCCTTATCATGAAAGAGTGTTTGATTTTCTCAGATGCTTTTTCCACACCATTTGAGATAATCACGTGGTTTGTTTCCTTCATTTTATTAATGTGGTGTATTACGTTGTCTGATTTTCGTGTTGGACCACCCTCACACTGATCTCACTTGCAATAAATCTCACTTGGTCGTGGTGCATAACCCTGTTACTATGCTGCCCAATTTTGTTTGCTATTACTTTTTTTTTCTTTGGAGATGGCATTTAACTCCATCACCCAGGCTGGACTGCAGTGGTACCATCATAGCTTACTGCAGTCTTAAACTCCTGGGCTCAGGATATCCCCCTGCCTCAGCCTCCTGTATTTGCTAGCATTTTTTTGAGGATTTTTAAACTTTGTTTTCATAAGGGTCATCGCCTGTAGTTTTCCTATGGTGTCTTTTTCTTCCTTTAGTGTCATGGTAATGTTGGCCTCATAGAAGGAGTTGGGAAGACTCCCCTCCTCTTTTATTTTTTGGAAGAGTTTGAGAAGGAGTTATGTTAATTCTTCTTTAAAGGTGTGGTAGAGTTTACTGGTGAAGCCACTTGGTGCTGGGCTTTTATTTGTTCTGAGATTTTTGATAACAAAACCAATCTCTTCACTTGTTATAGGTCTATAGAGAATTTCTCTTTGTTTATGAGCCAGTTTGTTAGTTGTGTGCTTCTAATAATTTGTCTGTTTCCTCTAGATTCATTCTTAATGTAAAATTGCTCATGATACACTCTTAGAGTCTTTTTTTTTAATCCCTGTAAGGTAAGTAGCAATGTCCTTGCTTTCATTTCTGATTTAGAAATTTGGGTCTTCTCTTCGTTTTCACTATAGAAGTGGTATTACTTCTTTGTTCCTGTATTGTAAAGAGGGAGCAGCTTAGTAGGCTCCCATATGTACCTTTCTATGTAATGTTGCTTGAACCAACATGAAGATGATGCAACATCCAAAGTACATCACTGACAACTAGGTCCTGAGGGAAACAAACTTGGGATGGGTCCAAAGAACTATCGGATCCCCGGTTAGAAGAACTTTAGACAGAACTGCATTATTTATGTTGGTAAATAGCCACAGGTTTTCTGGGAGAATGTGTGGCTGAGTGTTTCTGACCTCCACTTCCATCAATAAGCTCTGGGCCTATGAACTGACAGATCTGGACCCTCGGTGGGGGACCACAGTTTTCCACGGCAGCTGCTAACATCAGCCTTCTGCTTGCCAGCTCATGTTATTCTTTTAATAAAAATCAAGTAATAGTCCAGTCAGCTGTCCTTACATGCAGGCCCTGAGATACTACAATCTGTAACGTTGCCACAGGTCCCTGTTCATCAAATGAGCCTGACCCCACCCTGATTGTGCTGCCCAGTACGACAGTGGTGCCCACCTGAGCCCTGGTAATTTTGTGTCACCGTCTGGACCCTGCCATTTGAGAATCCTCTCATTGCCTGCCAGTTCCATGGCGGCGTCGCTTGCTTCCAACCATTGTTTTGAGAGGAGTCAAAGCAGAGGCTCTCAAAGATGCCGGGGCCACCCCACTAGCAAATTCCTCATTTTAGAGTGTCTTCTCAGCCCTCGAAGGGGACAACATTCACAGGTAGGGCCACTGGTCTCACATAATGAATCACATCTAATACTGCTCTCCGCTCAACCCTTTCACCAATTGGTCAATATTCTGCCAAGGCAGTTCCCATAACTCCATGTCATTTACTGTAGGCTGTTGTCCAAACGTGAAGCTGCCAGCCCAGCAGGATCTGAGGCCAGCCCCAAGACAGGGAACCCCACCTTATAGCTCCGTGCTCCCACGTAAATACACTCTCCCCTATATTGAACTGTATTCTGTCTGCTGTCTTGCTGGTTCCGCATGCCCAAAATCCATTCCCACCTATGCTGTCCCAGGTCATGCCAAGGCGAACTAGCCAGCTTCTGCAGCTTATCTGAATATGAGGTATTTCCCACCCAAACAGAAACCGTATTTCTCTTCTGTGCTGTGATCTTTCCTATTCAAACTTCGCGCTTGTCAGAGCGATGAAAGTTAGCGGGATGGATGTTAGGTAAGACAAGCAATTTTTTTTCTTAGAGACTGGGTCTTGCTCTGTCTCCCAGGCTGGAGTGCGAGGGTGCCATCATACCTCTCTGCAGCCTCAACCTCCTGAGCTCAAGCAATCCTCCCGCCTCAGCCTTCCGAGTAGCTGGGACTATAGGCACATACCACCACGCCTGTGTAGTTTTTAAATGTTTATTATTGTGGAGACAGAGTCTTACTATGTTGCCCAGACTGGTCTCCAACTCCTAGATCCAAGCGATGCTCCTGCTTCGGCCTCTCAGTGTGCTGGAATTACAGGCTCGAAGGCAACTTCCTTTACGGCAGCTCCCTTGGACGAGGTCTTTACAGAGCCTCCATGAATAAGGGGATTGCTCCCCAATTAGCAAGGGTTAGGTGGTTGCTAATGCCAGGGTGAGGGTTCAGGATATTCTAGGTATTCAAAATTCTCATGGGCATCACTCTTACAAATCTGAGGGTTCCCCTCTTTCCCCATCAGTTGCTTACTTGGATATAGAGACCTACGAATGTGGTGTGAGCCGTCTCTGTGTGTGCAGCTCTGCCAAGCAACAGTTAAGATCAGGGCCTGATGGGCAGCAGTCTTCCTTCTGACTGGAGAAGAGGAGGTCACCTTAACCTAGCGGGCCAGGGTGGGTGACAGGCTGGGCTCTGTCATCAAACACACAGGCACCTGTGATGGAGGTCCAGCTGAGGGCAATCATGGAGGGGCCGCAGCACCTGCTCAGGCTGGAAAGGATCTCAGAGTCTATATATCCTTCAACCCACACACGTGCCCCGGATGCCTTTCAGTGACCCTGATTCAAGGAGGAGGAGAATAGATGCATGTCCGAGGCATGTCTGCCTCTCTTCAGTGGATGCCCCAGGTGTCAGTGACATCCAAGAGAGACCAGGTCTCCTCCCTTCACCCCAAGCCAACAGGCACCTATGACCTCACATAGTTGGGTGAACCTGGGGCTGTGCTCTCAAAAACAGGCCGTCGGCCCATGACACTGGTGAGAATTTCTCACTGACAGAGGGAAGCAGTGCATCCTTGTTACCTTAAAGATTAGGTTGTCACCTGAGTCACCACATTCCCGTCTGTTTCTATGTCACCTGAAGTCGGTCTTCAGAGCAGAGCCTTCAACCACACCTCACTTGCTCTCCCGATCTAGCATGAGGTCAGGAATGAATGAATGGGGTAGGAAAGTAATATTAGAAGCTAGAGATAAACATGGCTCCATGAGAAAGCTGAACTCAGGTGATATGTTGGACTCGGGGAGACAGTGTTGTGGAGTAACTAAAGTGTGTTGTCTCGGTGTGTGAGGTCCACACACAGCACGGAGACGATCTGTTTCCAAATAATTGCCGGGGCCATGAGGATGTCACATGGACTGCCCAGGCAGTGTGCCCAGGAGTCTTGGTCACACTCAGGCAGAGTCTAGAGAGGGTTCCGTCGGGTCTGATGTATACACCACTTGGAAGGCTCTCTTCTAAAATTTCGTCAGAATTTCCAAGCTATTATTGCTTTGGAAGTGTGTCTATATATTTCCTAGACCTTCCACCTATGGATTTGGACAATCTCAAGCATGACACAGCTGAAGTTCAAGGTGGGAGACACAGTGGTTTTAAGGTGACTCCAAACAGCTCCTCTGCCAATGTCGCCCCAACACATGGCCATGTGAACACATAACATGGTCTCATGAGAACAGGTGACTTCCTCTAAGAACTAAAAAAGGACTCAGGTTCATGTGAAGGCCTTCACGTTTATTTTAGCATCAAGTTTGAAAAACAAACTGGCTTTTCCATAACACTTATCCTCAAAAACCATCTTGTTTCAAGTTAGCCTAGCAATCTGTGGGCTTCACAACTTAGGTCTGAATTGCATCTGTTTAATATTATTCCACCAAGGGCCGGCCCCACTTAGCGGAATGAAGGCTGCCCCTGTGACCCATTTTTCCAACTCCCAGCCCTGGCGCCTCTAGCAGCCGGGAATGGCTTACCAGCCTGTGTCTAGATTGTTGGGACCTGTTGGAGCCGGCCCGTGAATAAGTTGGAAGATGAAGCTTGGTGACATTGAGACAAATGGCCACGTCTTGGGGGATTCTGGATCCAGAACAAGGAGCTGGCTTTACTCCAGTTTACGGGCAGGTAGACGGGCTCCTAAGCAGTTGGGCCAGCCACACAGGTGGAGAGAAGCCAGGCCAAGAAGGAGATGGCTCTAGCTGCCCTCCACAGGGGACCGACAGTTAGAGGGAGAAGATCCATCACTGTCAGTTATGAAGACAGCCTGAAGCCTGTTCTAGGAAACAGTTCAGCCGTTGAAGGAGGGTGTGGAATTTCAGGGAAATGCAGAGCGACAATCTTGCATGAGGCTGACAAGACGCTCACTGCACACTGAGATTTCACTCAAGCACATATGGACTACGTGCAAGCCATTCGGTAACTTCATGTTTGGCCTGCAGTTTGCTTTTTGAAAAAGTATCGGAAGGTCGTGTTAACATAGGAGAAAATGACTCTCTCATGGGATTCAACTCTCGGGGCTACTTTTCAAAAAATAAACAAGCCTAGCAGGGAAAAGGCAGGAATTATCTGAAAGAGGAATCTGATGGTTTCTATCCACGTATCGCCAAAAGAATGAAAAGTCTCACTGACGTTTCCATAAAAATATACATTAGGCTTTAAAAATTATTGTTGTTTAAAAGCTGATACCAGTGGCTTTTTGTGTAAAAGAATATAGGTCCTAAGTGAAAGTACCAAGTCCAGTCAAAAGACACGTTATGAAAATCAATGCTCTTGTCTTTCAAACCTATCGGGACAACTACACATCCAAAGACGTTGAGGGAATCGCAAGGGGTTGCAATCGTTTAACAAAATAGCTCTTCACGAGTTTGCGATGAAGACCTGGTGATGAATGTGCCACCAGCACATGCGAGAGATGGGCCCCAAATGAATTCCTCACATTCCCAAAGTCTCGAATATCCAGAACATACTTACACGCGTTGGGGAAGGGAGGAGGCTTCCTCATTAATTCTAGAAAGGAGGCAGCTCCCTGGGAAGGTATGGGTGCGGGGGAGGCAGGCGGGAGCTAATTAGCTGTATGGGTGGTTGCTGGTTCTCTTCTTGCCTTCTTTAAGATATTTCTGTCAAACAGCTCTTTCTCCCGGTAATGCACAGGTGGTCCTCGCAGGTACTTCTCCTCTGCTGCCTTGTAATCCAGCCCATCAAGTGCGGCGATGGTACAAATCATGGCTTCCGGCAGAAGAACTTCCAGAACAAAATTGACTTTGTCATCCCTTATCAGAGTCAGCCTGGCCTTGTCAATTTGCTTGTAGATTTCTTGTAAATGCTTGGCCACGACTTCCAACTGATCGTCATCCTCCAGGTATGTTTCAATGCAGTGCAAATCCCTGTGTGGCTTCAGAAACGCGGTCAGCCACCTGGACTGCTTCCTGCCTTGCAAGATGTCCAGAAGGTGGGGGTCGGCCCCCTTTCTCCTCACGATGAAGTCCACGAGCTTCTGGTTGTCTCGGTCCCAAGAGGCCCTCATCCGGTCCGGGAGGATTTTCTTGCAAGGCCTCTTCCCGCCCAGGGAGGTCTCCTCCTCCCAGTCTTCCAGGTCGCCATAATTCACCTTTGGAAAGTCAATCTGCAGGTCTCCCTCTTGGATGGCTCTCCTGATTGGGTAGCTGATGTCTGCGGCATAATAGTCCAGGAAAGAGCCCCGGAAAGAACCCCGGACCAGTCCTTCTCTGTAGTGGGAGATCAGTGAGAAGCACCAGTTGACGCTTTGCTTGTAGGCCTTCTGGGCTCTCTTCAGCAGTTTCTCTTTCTCCTTACAATCCAGGTGCTTCAGCCTTCGAAGAGGAACTTGAATGCCCCGCTTTCCATGGTGCAGGTTGGCCTCAAGCAGGAGCACCCTCGCGGTCTTGTCTGTGTTGCTGACACTCTTGACCACTGCTGGCCAAAACGGATGATCTTGAAATTTGAACCAGACCATCGTTCCCCTTTCGATGGGATGTGGCTCCTGTGGAAAAGCAAGGCTGGGGGGCTGCCCATCCTGTTTACCGCCAGCCCTTTGAATGGTGGTGACAGGATTAGCAAGCTTAGCGTCACCAGGCGTCTGAGGTCCTTGAGGTCTCCTCTGAAAATCTGGACCTGGACGCTTCCTTTTTCTATTGGCAAGCCGGAGTGAAGAAGGCAGCCTGTGCTGACGGGACCCAGAGGATGCAGCCATACCTGCCCAGCCTGGCTTCCAGGCACCCTCTCCGGGGTCCTGAATGTTCCCCGAGAAGGGAGAACTTTCCGGGGATGCAGCCAGGGCCTTCTTCGGGCGGCTGTCCTGTGTCTCTTCCTTCAGAGCGGGGGGTGCAGGGCTGGTGAGACCTGGAGGCAGAGATGCACCCTCCTCCGTTACTGTGGGAGGCAGGGACATAAGAGTTGAGGCGTTTGCCCTTTTCTTCCCCTTTTTCTCACAAACATGCCGCGAAAGCGTCAGGGAATCCTGGCAGGCTCGGGGGCTTTGCAACACATGTGCTTGCATTCCAACTGGAGTAGGAGCAATGGCCATGAGCGCCTGTGACCTGTCCCTGCCCAGGGCACCTGGAGTAGGATCAATGGCCATGCACGCTGGTGAGCTGTCACTGCGCAGGACACTTGGAGTAGGATCGATGGCCGTATGTGTCTGTGACCTGTCACTGTGCAGGGCGCCTGGAGTAGGAGCAATGGCCATGCGTTCTCCTGAGCTGTCACCACACAGGGTGCCTGGAGTCTGAGAAATGGCTTCGCGTTTCCATGACCTGGTACCATGCAGGGCCCCTGGCATAGGTGCAATGGCTGTGTGAAATGGTGAGCTGTCACCGCGCAGAGGGCCTGGAGTAGAAGCAATAGCCTTGTGTGCCTGAGAGCCGACACGGTGCAGGGCGCCTAGAATAGGAGCAACGGCCCTGCTTTCTCTTGAGCTGTCACAGTGCAGGGCGCCTGAAGTAAGAGTAATGTCCTGGTGCGCTGGTGACCTGTCAGCATGCAGGGCGCCTGGAGTAGGAGCAAAGGCGGTGCACGTTCGTGAGCTGTCACAGTGCAGGGTGCCTGGAGTGGGAGCAATGGCCTTGCGTTTCCATGACTTGTCATCGCGCAGGGCGCCTGGAGTTGGAGCAATGGTCGTGTGCACCTGGGAGCTGTCACCATGCAGGGCTCCTGGAGTAGAAGCAATGGCCGTGTGTGCTGGTGACCTGTCACCATGCAGGGCACCTGGAGAAGGAGCGATGGCCTTGTGCGCTGATGAGCTGCCACCGCCCAGGTCACCTGGAGTAGGAGCAATGGCCTTGTGTGTCTGAGAGGTGTCACCGTGCAGGGCGCCTGGAGTAGAAGCAATGGCCGTGTTTGCTGGCGAACTGTCACCTCGCGGGGTCCCTGGAGTAGGGGCAATGGCCGTTGAGCTGTCATCACCCAGGGCGCCTGGAGTAGGAGCAATGGCCCTGCATGCTGGTGACCTGTCAATGCGCGGGGCACCTGGAGTAGGAGCAATGGCCTTGCGTTTCCGTGACCTGTCAGACCTGTTACCGAGCAGGGCACCTGGAGTAGAAGCAATGGCTTTGCGTTTCCGTGACCTGTCAGACCTGTTACCACGCAGGGCACCTGGAGTAGAAGCAATGGCCTTGCGTTTCCATGACCTGTCACCTCTCAGGGCCCCTGCAGATGGGGCAATGGCCATGCGAGCTGTTGAGCTGTCACCGCGCATGGTGCCTGGAGTAGGAGCAATGGCCGTGTGTGCCTGAGAGCTGTCACCGTGCAGGGCGCCTGGAGTAGAAGCAATGTCCAGGTGTGCTGGTGACCTGTCACCATGCAGGGCGCCTGGAGAAGGAATAATGGACGTGCGCCCTGGTGAGCTGTCACGGCCCAGGGTGCCTGGAGTTGGAACAATGGCCCTGAGTGCTGGTGACCTCTCAACGTGCAGGGTGCCTGGAGTAGAAGCAATGGCCTTGCATTTCCGTGACCTGTCAGACCTGTTACCATGCAGGGCACCTGGAGTAGAAGCAATGGCCTTGCGTTTCCATGACCTGTCACCTCGCAGGGCCCCTGGAGATGGGGCAGTGGCCGTGCGCGCTGTTGAGCTGTCACCGCGCATCGTGCCTGGAGTAGGAGCAATGGCCATGTGTGCGTGAGAGGCATCACCATGCAGGGTGCCTGGAGTAGAAGGAAAGGCCATGTGCGCTGGTGGCCCGTCACCATGCAGGGCGCCTGGAGAGGGAATAATGGACGTGTGGGCTGGTGAGCTGTCACCGTGCAGGGCACCTGGAGTAGGAGCAATGGCCATATAAGTCCATGACCCGTCACCGTGCAGGGCCTCTGGAGTAGGAGCAACGACCCTGCGTTTCTGTGACCTGCCACCACGCAGGGCGCCGGGAGTAATAGCAATGGCCCTGCATTTCCTTGATTTGCCACCAAGCAGGGCGCCTGGAGTAGGTGCAATGCCCATACCCACCCATGACCTGTCCCCGCACAGTAAACATGGAGTAGGGGCAATGCTCCTGCGTGCGCGGGACCTTTCACTGCACAAGGCGCCTGGAGCAGGGGCAGTGGCCTTGCTCACCCCTGACCTGTCGCCGGGCAGGGCTCCTGGAGTAGAACCAGTGGCCGTGCATTTTCGTGACCCGTCACAGTGCAGGGTGCCTGGAGTGGGAGCAACGGCCCTGCGCACCGGTGACCTGTCACGGTGCAGGGCACCTGCAGGAAGGGCAATGCCTGTGCCCACCCGTGACCCAACCCTGAACAGTGCGGATGGAGTAGGTGCAATGGCCCTGCCTGCCTGTGACCTGTCCCTGCGCAGTGCACCTGGAGTAGGGGCAACGCCCATGCCCACCTGTGACCCCTTCCCGCACAGTGCGCATGGAGTAGGGGCAATGGCCCTGCGCACCCGGGACCTTTCACTGCACAAAGTGCCTGGAGTGGGGGCAATGGCCCTGCTTGCCCCTGACCTGTCACTGCACAGAGCTCCTGGAGTAGGATCAATGGCTGTGAGCTCTCGTGACCTGTCACAGCGCAGGGCGCCTGGAGTAGGAGCAATGGCCCTGCGCACTGGTGGCCTGTCACGGCGCAGGGCATCTGCAATAGGGGCAATGCCTATGCCCACCCGTGACCATATCTCGCACAATGGGCATGTAGTAGGGACAATGGCCCTGCGTGCTCGTGAACCGTCACCGCGCAAAGCACCTGGGGCGGGGGCAAGGCTGGTGTGCGCCCGTGACTTTTCACCACGCAGGGTGGCTGGAGTAGAGGCAATGGCCCTGCGGGACCGTGGCCTGTAACCTCGCAGGGTGCCTGGAGTAGGGGCAATGGCCGTGCGTGCCCGTGACCTGTAACCGCTCAGAGTGCCTGGAGTAGGGGCAATGGCCCTGCGCACTGGTGACCTGTCACGGCGCAGGGCATCTGCAATAGGGGCAATGCCTATGCCCACCCGTGACTATATCTCGCACAATGGGCATGTAGTAGGGACAATGGCCCTGCGTGCTCGTGAACCGTCACCGCGCAAAGCACCTGGGGTGGGGGCAAGGCTGGTGTGCGCCCGTGACTTTTCACCACGCAGGGTGGCTGGAGTAGAGGCAATGGTCCTGCGGGACCGTGACCTGTAACTGCTCAGAGTGCCTGGAGTAGGGGCAATGGCCCTGCGCGTCCATGACCTGTAACCTCGCAGGGCGCCTGGAGTAGGGGCAATGTCCGTGCGTGCCGCTGACCTGTTGCCGCCCAGGGCGCCCAGATTAGGTGCAATGGCGGTGCCTGTCGTTGACCTGTAACCGCGCCAGGCACCTGGGTTAGGTGCAATGGCCCTGCGCGCCCATGACTTGTAACCTCGCAGGGCACCTGGAGTAGGGGCAATGGCCTTGCACGCAGATGACGTGTTTCCCCGCAGGGTCCCTGGAGTAGAAGCAATGGCGCTGCGGGCCCGTGACCTGTCCCTGTGAAGGGCGCCTGGAGTAGGGACAAAGGCCGTGCGCGCTGCTGACCTGTCTCCACGCAGGGCACCTGGAGCAGGGGCAATGGCCTTGGACACAGATGACCTGTTTCCCTGCAGGGTCCCTGGAGTAGAAGCAATGGCGCTGCGTGCCCGTGACCTGTCCCTGCCAAGGGCACCTGGAGTACGGACAATGGCCGTGCGTGCTGCTGACCTGTCTCCGCGCAGGGCACCTGGAGTAGGGGCAATGGCCCTGCACACCCATGACTTGTAACCTCGCAGGGCGCCTGGAGTAGGGGTAATGTCCTTTGGCACCCGTGACCTGACACCGCACAGGACACCTGGAGTAAGGGCAATGGCTCCGCAAGCCCGTGACCTGTTGCCGCACAGGGAGCCTGGAGTAGGGGCAATGGCTCTGTGGGCCCGTGACCTGCCACCGCGCCTGGCGCCTAAGGTAGGGTCAATGGCCCTGCTCGCCTGTGACCTGTCCCCGCACAGGGAGCCTGGTTTGGGGGCAATGGACCTGCATGCCCATGACCTGCCACCATGCTTGGTGCCTCGAGCAGGGGCAATGGCCCTGTGCGCCCGTGACCTGTCACTGTACAGGCAGCCTGGGGTAGGGGCAATGGCCCTGTGCGCCCAAGACCTGTAACCTCGCAGGGCGCTTGGTGTAGGGGCAATGGCCCTGCGTGCCCGTGACCTGCCACTGAGCATGGCTCCTGGAGTAGGGGCAATGGCCCTGGGCGCCCCTGACCTGTCCCCGGGCAGGGCGCCTGGAGTAGGGGCAATGGCTGTGGGCTCCTGCGACCTGTCATCCCGCAGGGCACGCTTACTCTCTGAAGGGACCGTCGGTGAGCTTGGGTTTTCCCTCTTCCCAAGACTCCTCCTTAGGTCGCCTTTGCATCTCCAGTCATCTTCACGAGGGACAGAACTGGCTGGCTTTTCGGGCACCTTTTGAGAAAGCTGAGAGGGTGTGGTGCTCTCTAGTTCATGTGGTTTCCTTCCTCCACCCAGATTTGTTCTCTCTTTCAGAATCTCCAGGGCCACCCGAAGGGTTCCTCTGTACCCCATCTTCTCTCTGAGTGGGGCACCGAGCTTCGTCTGTGCTGCTGCAGAGGCGGCAATGTCTTCCATCTCAAACTTAGTTGGGGTCTTCACGTCTGTGCTTTTCACCTTGATTTTTTCATCTACTGCGAGGATTTGAACTTCTAGAGAAATCGCCTTTTCAGGCTTCGTTTTTGGTGAAGTCCCACGTGTGCACAAAACCTTTGCTGGCCATAGTCGGCCTTTCCAAGAGCATAGGACGTACTCCGAGTCCATGATGAGCTGGGAAAAGGTAGCTAAGGGAGGCCGAGGGGTCTGCCTGCCACACCCTCTGCTACCGTAGGTCTCTCCTAAACCAAGCTACTCTTCAGAGCATCCTTTGCCTTCAGACTGCAAAGGGGGTGCAGTGTGGGTGGGCTGTGTTCCTCCTCCTGAATCTCCCTGAGGCACTTGAACTCGTGTTTCCAATGGACAATTCTGGAGTATGCTGCAACATGGTAAAGGGAGAGCGGAAATGTATCAGGAAAGCATCCTTTCGTGAAACGCGAAGCACCCTGCTCAGTGAGGTTGATAAAATAAGGAAACGTGACAAGTGAGTCTTAGACAGAGGGATAGACAGATGGCAAGTATTTGGGATCATACAGAAGGTCCACAGAAGCTTTATTACACAGCAAACCCAAGGCCTTCTCCTAATTTTAACAATTCCATCTTGAGGAGCACCTGCATGGGGAGGTGGGTGTACCAGCAGGGACCCCACATTTCTTACTGAGTATTCTGTGCCTTTGGGCTCCTTGGGCGGAAACCTGGGGAAATGCTTCATGTTTTTATTTCTAGGGTGCTAGTATGGACCTGTGCTTCCCAGGAAGCCCGAGGAGGTCTCCCACATGCAGATGCTGGGTGTCGGCACCATGTCATGTGCAAGAGCACCCAGAACCCAGAGCTGCGTGGCGATCATCCTGGTGATTACTGGCTACCATCGGTCGTGAGGATCGCTGCAGGCAGCGGTCACTGGCTGCCATCTGCACCTCTCTACCGTGGTTTTAAACTTTTGCCTGCCGACACCAAATCAGTGACTCTTATCCTGAAAACAAGTGTCTGTACAACGATGGGCAAGGAAAATTCCACTGTGAAATGTCAGCGTGAGGTGAATGCAAGTGAATGTTTAGTAAATGGGGAAATCTTACCCAGTGTCACATGGATCGCAGCAGGTTTGGTTCTGTGAGCTGGATCTCTTGCTGCTCACACTGCAAGCGCTGGTGTGCAGACCCTTCAACCCCACTCTGTGCCCCTGAAGTGCGCTGTTCTTCTGGCGACCCAGTGGCACCGCGTGTAGATGCTCAGGACCTATGCACTCCTAATGTCAACCTGGAAACACAAACACAGATAGGAAATTAAGCCAATCAAGTGATTTATCCTGTTCCCCTCCCCAACTCTTGAATGCATGCCCTTTTGAAACAGAACTGACGTCTTCATCTCAGGCATCACGTAGTTGTCATCTTTGTTTTCTGCCTTCTTTTGCATCTCAAACAATTTCCCTGTTATGCCACTTAGCGTATGCTAGTCTTTTTCCATTTCAGAACCTTGGGAACTAGTGCTTTCCCGAGAGCATCCCCCTAAGACAGAAGGATTCCATGTTAGCAGTCTCTCTCTCTCTCTCTCCTCTCTCTCTCTCTCTCTCTGTGTGTGTGTGTGAGAGAGAGAGAGAGAGAGAGAAATGAAATGTGCTCAACGAGATTGATAAAATGAGGAAACATGACAGGTGAGTCTTGTCATGTTACTGTGTTTTTCTGATTCTCAAATAACATGAAATGGGTTAGCATAGAATATGAGATGTGTAGACAGACATATGAAAGGACATCACGTCACAGAATCTCAGTCTACATGATAATGTGCCCGCTTCCAAGGCATTGCCGATGCGCCAATGTGCACACACACATGCACATATCATCTTCAACTGGAGCTCCTAACCTAAGAGCATAACTGGATACATTGTCCTGTGAATGCCCGTGTTCCTACCTCATTTGTGTGAACGTCTGTACAGTGAGGTTTCCCTGCTAGTTCCAAACTTTATTTAATGAAATGTCCCATATTATAGAAACGTGCACCGAAGATGCAACTCTTTTGTCAATCCTTCACTTCCCACCTTCCACATCGAAATACTCTGCTAGCCTGTTGTTGTTTTCTATAGCCATTGTACAATATTTGGTACTGTGCAACATTGGGTATCATAGCTCACTTACATATTTTAGCTCATGCATTGTGGACTTCAAATTACAGGTTTCATAGGCCAATAATTATTTTCTTAATAAATGCATGTATGTGTGTCTTTGTTCACGGGCACTGGTAGATGTAATATGAAATGTATAATGATGATGAGATATACATACTTTAGGGAAAAGTTGTACAAAACCTTTCTTAGACGAGGGTATATGAACGTACAGGTTTAATGCCCTCTTCTTTAGAGAACTCAGAGTACTGGGTTGTCAAGCACAAGTGTCAACTGAGGACCCCGAACAAAAGTGAGAAGGAATCACCAATGACCCTGGCACTTCAATCTCCCCTTAACTGGACCTGCCAGCCCATGTCACAAAACAGGTGTGACTGGGCACCCTCAAGCCCAAGTCAATGCCTACCCACATCCCCAAATGCAGAGTCTCTCCTCTCTTCCTCTCTCTCTTTCTCTCTCTCTCTCTCCACACACACACACACACACACACACACACACACACACACACACACACACACGTTGGAAACTCAAGGAGCCTGGCATTGATGCATAGAATCCATGCTCACTGCCTCTACACATTCCTGCAAATGTTTCTGCTTCCAGTACAAATGCTGTTTTCTTCTCCATTTAGTTTCTTATTTTAAACATAGACAGGGAAACATCTAAAGGGATGTCTAAAATTTCTAAATAGGAAATATAGTAAGCATCAGCAATCCCATCACCCAGAAATGCTTATTGCAAGTATATGAGTCCACACACTCCAGAATTTTTGTCCTGTTTATACATGTATATTTCTACAAGATATTTAAAAGCTTAAAGTTTGCACAGCCATTTGAATATTCTTCAGTATTGGCATCTGGCAACATCTTTACAGGTGTGAAACAGTTTAAGGGACTGCCTCCTACAGACCACCAAAATATCCATTGCAGCTAAGTTCGGATGGCCAAAGCCATGCCTCCTTAAGAGAGATCATCAGAAGGGAAGTGTGTGAAATCAAAATATGAAATGTTCTCTCACCACATGCGTTGGCCCATCGCCCAAATACCTTCTATCAAGGGTTTGCATATAGTCTTGCTGGTGACTTTCTCCCCATATTTTGTACTAAGGGAAACACAATTGTTTTCCCTCCCTCTAGAGAGAGAGAGAGAGGTAGGTAGGTAGGTAGGCAGGTAGATGGGGGATAGACAGATGGATAGACAGATAGATAGATGGATGCATACAGGTAGAGATGGATATAGATTGATGAGGTTGAATGACTCATAGGGATAGATAAAAATAGATGGATAAAAGATAGAGATAGATAAAGATATATATTAGCTAGAAGGTCTATAGATATTCAGAATAATAGAGAGCCAGAGATAGAGACATAGATGGTGGAGACAGATGATGAAGAGATATATAGAGAGAAAGACAGTTGGATATAGAGATAGATAAATATAATTTTATAGAAGATAGCGGCTTGATAGATATGAAGAATGATAAGAATAGATAGGTGATAGATGGATGGATAGAGATAAAGATAGAGATGGATGAAGACAGAGAGATGATGGATGGACAGCAGAGTGGCTAGAGATAGAGCAAGATAGCTAGACAGGTCTACATCTATGTCTGTCTAGGTTTACCTTTACCTGTCTATATTGCAGATCCAGCTAGATCACGATGTGCAAATATTGATCTACTTCCGCATACCGGGATCTATGAGATAAAAAGGGAACATTCACTAAGCCCAACTCAGTTTTGTGAGTGAACCCAAGTTCTCAGACTATTGAGTGAGTAGGACAATGTGTTGAATATTTTACTTCAAAATGAAATCAAACACCACCTGCACAATGAGACTAAGCAGATGAACATAAAAGGAAGACAGGATAAATAGTGAGTCTACAATCTATAACATCACAGTCCATTTTAGGTCCCTAAAGACATTATCAGTAGAGCATTTTCTATTTTTGGTATATAACTTTTATTCTATTCCATTTGCTCTTTAGTTGAGGGATGAAGGAACTAGAAGACCGTGAGCTTTTATTTCTCCCAACGACAGCCATGATTTGGGGGATAATTATTTTGGAAGCCCTGTGTTAATTCCTTTCTCAAGTGAGGGTTCATTTACTTTTTAGGAACAAGTAAAAGAACACAGTCCTCAGCAGCTCTTCTCAAAGTGGGGTCCGTTTCCTGACGTGGTCCCCCTCCCACCGAGAGGCATGCATCCTCCCTCCAGCACCCCTCCCTAGCATTACCAGAGCTTTGTGGAGCTCCCGTCGGCTGCTGGGTGTGTGATTTTAGACCTTCCCCCAAACAGGTGTTTCCTTCAAAGGATGAGCTGGCGGCATCCTTTAGTACAATAAAGGCACCGTGTATTAAATGGTTTCTCTAAAGGAAGTACATTCTTGTGTATTCCTACACCTTCCCTTTGCGCTGGTGAATTGCACATAAACTTTCAACGTAACTTTAGAGACAGGTCTACGCTTTCCTAGGGTTTGCAGTGCACTTGTAGCACCATTGGGTGAGAATTGGTATCGGTCCAGTTTTCCCCTTATTCTGTTCACTAATTGCATGCATCAGTAGAGGATGCAATTAGTGAACAATTGCACCGCTCTCCGACCTGGAGAGCAGAGCCGTTTGGTAGACAATAGGAACACAATGGCCCGCCCTGGTGAAGGAGCCTGTGTTTTTCGCTTCTGTCATCGAGAAGGGGCCCTCACTGATTTTCACTCAATTCACCTCATCGTAGTTAGCGGAGTGAGACCAGGAAATTCACCTTTTACAGAACATGGGTCTCAAGGGTCAGCTACGCAGGATGAGCCCAGCATGAGTCCCGGCCTGCTCAAAGTGACAGGAGGCCTTCCAGTCCTACCCATGGTAGCTCCTCATTTGCCGGCATCAGATTTCCCTCTCCTAATGTATGCATCGTACGTTCTTACAATGAGGAGGCGAGCAAATTTCCATCCTGAAGGAGACCTGCGACATTCCTTTGAGTTCAGAAATCCTTGTGGATCTCTGCTTTAAAGGACTGACTCGGGTGACAATGCTCTGGCTCAACAGGTGTCACCTCAGGACAGTGAGTCAGGACAGTCAACTCAATGCCACACACATTCACACACACACACAGAGACACATACTTCCTCACACACACACATCCATACACACACCCCCAAACACACACACATCCTCACACACACACATCCTCACACACACATCCTCACATACAAACACGCACACACATGCACACGCATCCACACACATCCACACACACACCCCCAAACACACACACATCCACACACACGCGCGCACACACATACACACATGTCCACACACATCCTCACACACACACACCCACACACATGCACACACCGTCACACACACACACACAGACACACATCCTCACACATACGCCCTCACCTCCCCCCCGCCCCCGACACAGTCACATCGATAGCAGACACCTACTAGTCTTGACGTTCCTACAGCTATTCCAGCTGTCCGCTCTGTAAATATCCTTGCGATGTGTGTCTGCCGCCAGGAAAGAAACGTTTACCTTGGTTGTCATAGAAACCGAAGTGTCGTCCCGAGGTTCTGCTGGATGACGACTTGCTACGGAGAGCAGGAAGCGCCAATACATCCCCCGAGGCTCAGCGTCGATCTGGAGCTCACTCAGTGGCACCCCGCTCAATCTCACGCGGGAACCAAGAAAGGATTCGCAACAGGGCTGGGAATTCTCCTTGGCCTAGGCGCTGGGGGCAGGGGAAGTTTCACAGAACGGGTCATGGAGGGAGGCAAGTGAAGGCGTCACAGGTTCTGTTCTCCCTTGAGGCACAGGGACGTGGGAGCCAGGTTCCCTGAGGGGCCACCTTTCCCACCGCCAGAACACACGAGATCAGGTACTTTTGTGTACCTATAGCTTAGCTCACACCGAGAACATGCGGTATTCGGTTTTCCGTTCCTGAGTTAGCTCACTTAGGATAATGGCCTGCAGTTGCATCCAAGTTGCCACAAAAGACACGATTTTGTTCTTTTTTTTACGCCTGACTAGCATTTCATGGTGTATATACACATTTTCTTCCTCCACTCATCAGTCGATGGGCACTTAGGTCGATGCCACACGTTGGCGATTGTGAATTGTGCTGCGATAAACATACATGTGCAGCTGTCTTTTTCACATAATGACTTCGTTTCCGTTGGGTAGATACCCAGTCGTGGTATTGCTGGATCGTATGGTGTATCGACTATTAGTTCTTTAAGGAGTCTCCATACTGTTGTCCATAGGGGTTGGACTAATTTTGATTCCCACCAGCAGCGTAAAAGCATTCTTTTCCACCACATTTGCACCAACATCTATTGTTTATTGAGTTTTTAATCGTGGTCATTCTGGCCGGGGTAAGGTGCTATCTCACCCTGGTGTTCATTGGTGTTTCCTTGATGATGAGCAATGTTGAACATTTTTTCAAATATGTCTTGTCCATTTGTATATCCTCTTTTGAGAAATGTCTGTCCACGTCATATGCCCACGTTTTAATGGGATTATTTGCTCTTTCTCCTTGCTGTTTTTGTAGAGTTCCTTGTAGATTCTGCATATTAGTTCTTTGTCGCAAGCACAGTTTGCAAATATTTTCTTCCATTCTTCAGGTTACCTTGTTACTCTGTTGATAATTTCTTTGGCATATTTCTTTCGATACTTGTGTTGTTGTCAAAAATGGACTTATTTTTCATGGACCATATTTGTATGTAAACATGAATGGGCTGAAGATTATTTTTAAATTGAAATTTTCATTTAATTGATAGCTCAGGTTTTTTCAAAACACTTGAACATATATTGCATGGGTCTAAGAATTGTTATTTTTGAAAGAAATATTTATTGAAGTGAAACTCAGATAACATAAAATTAGATATTTAAGCATACCGTTTGGTGGCATAAAGTAAATTCACAGTATTGCAAAATCATCACCTCTGTCTATTTACACAACATTTGCATCAATCCCAAAGAAAACCCTGTACCCATGAGGCAGTCACTACTGATTCCCGCCTCCCTCCTTCCCTGGCATCCACTCATCCGTTTTGTAATCAGATGACATGATAACAACCTGATTTCTAAGTATCGCTAATCCTTAACATTTGCTTCTTCTGGACATTCCATAGAAATGGAATCATAGGGTACGTGACCTTTTGTGTCTGGCCTATTTCACGTAACATGGTTTCCAAGTTCATCCCACGTCGTACCATGTATCAGAGCGTCATTCTTTCTCACAGCTACGGAGTATCCCGTTAGGTGGATCCATCATGTTGTGTTCATCCATTTATCTGTTGGTGGTAATGTGGGATGCTCCTATTTGGCTGTTGTCCATGGTGCTGTTAGGGACATTCATACACATGTATTTGCTTGAATGTCTGTTTTAAATTTTTCTGCATGTATCTAGGAGTGGAATGATGGTGTCATATGTTCATTACTTTTAACATCTTGAGGAAACACCAAACTGTTTTTCGTAGCAGCCACACACCATTTTACATTCCCGTCAGCAGTGTATAAGGCTTGCAGTTTCTCCACATCTTTAACAGCAGCAATTTTTGTCTTCCTCTTGAAAGTAAACAACCTGGGGGGTGGTTAGCTGGTAGGATTGTGGTGTGATTTGCATTTCCCTAAGAGTAATGACGTTGAGCCTATGTTCTCCGTCCCTGTACCCTTGCACATGCCTGGATCCTATTTTGCTTATTGCATGGGCCATCTTTTCCGTCCTCATTCATGTGTTAAACTCCTACCCACATCTCAATATCGATCAGCAATATTTAGTCTGCTGAGTGCTTCTCTAAAAGCCAGACTCTCACCTTGATTTCTTTGAGACTATGAACGAAACAACCAAGCGTGATATTTAGGCCGTCAAATGGCCTTGAGAAAATTCTACACCACGGGCTTCTAAAACAGTGAGAAAATGTTTTGTCACGAGTCTAGGTAATCAGAAGGAGTAAATTGGCAGTGATCAAGGTGGAGTAGTATTAGCAATGTGCTGTTCTTAGAATTAGCACTGAGATGAGTTATGAAATCTTGATGTATCTATGGTACGTAGACATCTATGTATTACCTCTTGGAGCACATGGTGAAATCTCCAGATATTTTCAGACTACTATATGCCTTTTCCAGTAGTAACGTGCCATTGTGACGGAGATCAATCTGAGGCAATGTTTAACATGAGTAAGTGAAACGAGAGATAATTTTCAGTAAAGTTACTGTAGGAAACCACATTCAATTATATGATCTCACAAAGAGTCTGTAGTACAGCAAGGGCTCTGGCAGCCTTTGCCCATTGTTCCTCACCCAACACGTTGGTGGCTTGCTATGAGCCAGTGAAATGCTGATGGTCACAAGCAAGTGAATTCAAAGGGAATAGGATACAGTAGCCTTACCTTTAACCTGTTACTCGCACAGGCAGTGGGAAAGCACGATGAGAGTGAATACAGTCTTGAAGACTTTGCTAAATGTAGATGAAAGAAGGAAAATGCATGATTACAAACAGAAAGAAACTTGCAGAGCTGGTAGCAAACAAAGACAGGTACGAAAGTTAAAGATAATTTTAGAAGACGTAAAGACAATCTATAGCTGTATCTATTTGAGTCCATAGCTATGTCTTTATGTATACCCACGCCTCTATCTATCTAGAGAGAGAAAAGGATGAAAGGAAATAATACCCGGGATTTTAAATGGAATATTATATCTGCTTGGTGGAATTATGTGTGCATTTCATTTCCTTTATAAATTATATTTTCATAACATTTTACAGTGAAGATGTATTACATTTTTAACTAGAACACAGACTTGAAAGTAGAATTTAAGTTACCTTAGAGAGCCTCATATTATAGTATTTCTTTATTTGTTATTAATTTTAATTTTTGTATTTTGTATATAAATTTATGGGTACATGTGAAATTTTGTTACATGTATACAATGTGTAGTGATTAAGTCAGGATATTTAGGGTGTCCGTCGCCTGAGTACAACACATTTTTGTGAAGGACCGTCACCCTACTCTGCTCTCAAACACGGAATTGATTGCTTCTATCTCACTGTAGGTTTGTTCCCTTCAACGCACTTCTCTGCATCCTTCTCCTGCTGACTCACTCTTCCCAGTCTCCATTCTCTACCTCTCCATTCTCTAGCTCCACGCGATCAGATGTTTTAGCTCCCACATATAATAGAGGACATGTGATATTTGTCTTTTTATGCCTACTTTATTTCACTGACGATAATGGCCTCTAGTTCCGTCCATGCGGCTGCAAATAACATGATTTCATTCTTCTTTTTAAAGGAATAATTTGTGTTCCACACACACACACACACACACAAATACACCTAGATATATGTATACATATATACACCATCTTGTTAAAAAACCATTCATCTGTTGATGCACACTGAAGTTGATTCCACGTCTTTGCTATTGTGAATAGTGCTATATAGTAAACATGCAAGAGCAGGTATTTTTTTAATATATTGATTTCTTTTCCTTTTGGTAGATACCCAGTCATGGGATTGCTGCATCGAATGGTAGTTCTGTTTTCAGTTTTGTTGAGAAGTCGCCATACTCTTTTCCACGGTGGCTGTAGTAGTTTACACTCTCACCAACAGGCTGTAAGATTTGCCTTTGCTTCTTATTCTTGCCAACCTCTGTTATTTTGTGTCTTTTTAAATAGTGGCCATTCTGACTGAGGAAAGATGATATGTCATTGCGGTTTTGGTTTGCATTTCTGTGGTGGTTAGTGAAATTAGGCCTGTGTCTCTCACCGTATACAAAAATGAACGCAAATAGATTAAGGAGTCACATAAAAGAGCTGAGGCCGGGTGTGGTGGCTCACGCCTGTAATCCCAGCACTTTGGGAGGCCGAGGCGGGCGGATCATGAGGTCAGGCGATCGAGGCCATCCTGGCTAACACGGTGAAACCCCGTCTCTACTAAAATTACAGAAAATTAACCGGGCGTGGTGGCACGTGCCTGTAGTCCCAGCTACTCGGGAGGCTGAGGCAGGAGAATCGCTTGAACCCAGGAGGTGGAGCTTGCAGTGAGCCGAGATGGCGCCACTGCAATCCAGCCTGGGAGACAGAGCGAGACTCCGTCTCAAAAACAAAACAAAACAAAACAAAGCAAAGCAAAACAAAACAAAGTAAAATAAAAGAAAACACAAAAAACAACCTGAAGCTATATAAATGCTAGGAGAAAACCTAGTGAAAACTCTCTTTGACACCGGTCTAGGCAAAGAATTCCTAAGACTTTGAAAGCACAGGCAGCAAAAACGACCAAAAATAGACAAATACAGTGCATACAGCTGAAAAGCTTCTGCACAACAAAAGGCACAATCAGCAGAGTAAAGAAATAACCTATTGAATGGGAGAAGATATTTGCAAACTAATCACCCGACAGGTGACTGATATCCAGAACATACGAGGAACTCAAACGACTCGACAGGAGAAAAAGGAGCCCCTTAAAAAGTGGGCCAAGGAACTGAATTGACATTTCCCAAAAGAAGACATACCAATGTCCCACAGGTGTATGAAAAAAGTGATTCACATCACTAATCATCGGAGAAATGGGAATCAAAACCCATATTAATTTATTAGTGGAAAGCAGAGGGTTCTTTATTAGCTAACTTCTGGAAGACTAACTTTACAAATTCATTAAATGCAGCATTCTTAGAAGTTAGAAACTTGGTGTAATGATCTGTAGAGGGGGAGTCATCCAATACCTGTGTTTTCCTGCCCTTAGATGAAAATGGAAATGTGTCCATTGGATTTACTCTCAAAACTGTAATATAGACAAGTTCTACTTTGTGCTAGACATGCCATAAAATGATGTAATTCAGTCTTGATTATTTGTGGAGTAGAGACTCCATTCATATCCTGTTTTTTTACTTCTTTCTCATTTTTCACATTTTCAATAGTTTCGTAATCTCCATGGACTGTATTTGCAAAAAGAAGACGATGGTGTCCAAAAGCCACCAGATGGAGGCGTTGAGCTGCCATTGTTAATGTCAGCCAGGCAGTCCCTGACGCATAGTGTGTGGGTATGAGAACAACCTGGATAACTTATTTCCAATGCAGATTTCACATTCCCTCCCACAGAGAGAGTTCATTTGGTAGGCCTGAAGAGGGCCATGAAATCCAAACTTTCCCAAATCCCTTTCACTGTGACCCTGATACAGGCTGGTCCACAAGTCACACTTTGAGAAACTTTGATTTCAATGGTAATGGTAGTTATGGCCATATATGAAAATAAATAGAGAAAGAGTATACAGCTGGAAGAGAATTGAGCAAGACCCAAATCCCTGGAAATTCCATCTTGAAAGGGCCCCGTGGAGAAGGTGCTGCTAGAAAAGATATTGAGACGTGGCCAAGATGAAGAGAATAACAGGAGAATGTGTTGTTATGGAAGACAAAGGAAGACAAAAGGAGGGCACTGAGAAAAAGAGGAGAGTGCTCAACAGTGTTGACCGCAGCTGAGAATCAACTGAGATGAGTGCCAGAGAATGTGCATTAGATCTAGTCACATGGAGGTCACCAGTGACTTTTGAGGGAGAATCCTTTTAGAAGAGATGTGCGGGCCCACGTTGGCTTCTAGTGGATTACAGAAAATGTGAGAGATGAGGCAATAGAGGCACCAAGCAGAGATAATCCTTTGGAAACTTTGACACAAAGAGTAAGAGAGTGGTGGGAATTACATTGGTGGTGAATAAGGCCCAGGGATTTTCAAGTTGAAGGAGATTCGAGTATGCGCAAATGGGAATAAGAAGGATGGCAAGAGAAAGACATGCAGAAGATAGAGGGAGGAGAAAGATAATGGATAAACTAATGGATAACACGAGGTTTCTGGAAGACAGGAGGCCATGGAACCTAGAACACAGGGGCAGGGACGTCTTTCCTCCTCTAACAGAGGGAGAGACAGGGCACAGATGCAGGTAGCTTGTAGGTTTGATGGCAGAAGTTTTGGGGGATTTCGTCTGAATTGTTCTGTCACAAAACCAGCAAGGGAGACAAATGGTGCGTGTGACAGGGAGTTGGGAGTGGAAGGAGCAAACCTGAAGGGTGAGTAGAGCAGAGAAGAGAGAGAAAGTGATGCTCCTATAAGACAGAGATAGGGAACCCAAAACAGAAGAGTCAGGTAACGGAAGGAGGAAATGTAGAGAGATGGAATGGGGAGTGAGCAAGTAAGAGAGATACTGGGAGAAAGCTGGCAGCTGTCATGAAGCTCTCCTAAGGGGACTTGGGGGGAAATAGAGCTCTGGTTAAAGGGGAGGATTTCCTCTGTGGCTGAAAATAAAAATCATCATGTAGTTTTTTGGGGGCTTAATGGAGGTGAGTCATCTGTGACCCAAGGATGCGACTTAGTGTTGCTCAAGTGGAGACTGGAGGATCCACGTTCAAAGATGGCTTGCTCTCATGGCTGGCAAGCTGCAGCTGGTTATTAGCTGGAAACTTAGCTGAGGCTGGGAGCCTCTGATGCTCTCCACGGGTTTCTCCACGGGCTGCTTGAGCTTCCTCAAAGCATAATGGGTGGGTTCCCAGATCAAGTGTCCTGAAGGAGCAAGGTGGGATTTCATGGCATTTTTGTGTCCTAGTCTCCACAGACAGAAATCCTCACTTGTGTGGTCCTCTCTCACACTCAGCAGCTTCATACACTGCCTGAGTCCAAGAGAAGGACATATAGGCTGCACTCCTTGATAGGAGCAGGGCCCCAGGTCACATGGAAAGAAGAGCTTGTGGGAAAGAAGGTGGTACTGTGACCATCTTCAGAAAATGCAATTTGCCACAACCAGTTAAATGGTTAAAAAGGAATAACAGTGTAACATAAAAAATTTTTTTAATTTTAGCTTTAAAATTTTTATGTATACATAGTAGGTGTATATATTTATGGGGTACATGAGATTTGTTTGTTTCTGTTTGAGACAGAGTCTGGCTCTGATTTCCCAGTGTCACTGCCACTGTGGGTTCATGACTCACAGAAGCCTTGATTTCCCAGACTCACATGATCCTCCTGTCTCAGCCTCCTGAGTCACTGGGACTACCAGGACATGCCGTCATGCCTAGCTAATCTTCTTATTTTTGGTAGAAACAGGATCTCTCTGTGGTACTAAGTCTGGTCTTGAGCTCCTGGGCTTAAGTGATCCTCCCATCTCAGCCCCGCAAAGTGCTGGGACTACAAGGGTGAGCCACTGCACACAGCCCACTGTAACACTTTAAACATATTTGAAAAGGTAGAACTAATGTACATGTATTGAAACTACAACATGATACTGGAAAATATACCTTCTCAGGTTTACAAAGAACATTTACAGAAATTGATCATATGTGAGGTCACGAAGAAAACATTAGTAAGCTCCACATATAGAGATATCACAAACTACTGCTGTGGTCGTAGTACAATACAACTAAAAGCTGTAAATAAGCTCACGTGCCCCAGAACTCATAAAAATCAACTGTTAAAGAACTACTGGGTGCCGGCCTAGATATGAGGAGGAATTATCTACTTTCTGATAAATTATAATAAACCCTATAGATTTGAATCTATGACATATATTTAAAGAGGTGATCAGAGAAAAGTAGACCGCTTTGAATACTCATAACCATGACAATGGGAGTATAAAAATGAATCAGTGACATTTCTAGCTCAAGGGCTAGACATAAAACAAAGTTAAAAGAAAGCACGAACAAGTAATAATGTTAATATATAAAGCAGACATTAATGAGGGAGAAACAGAAATAGGAGACACAAATATTGAAGAGTGTCTTTTTAAATCAATGAGGCAGATGAAGCAGTAGCTAACTGAATCAAAGAAGCAGAGATAGTGTTTCTGTATATATATAATAGGTACACAGACAGGTAGATAGGTAGGCAGGTAGATAGATAGCTAGATAGATAGACAGGCATAGAGATAGATAGATAGATAGATAGATAGATAGATAGATAGATAGATAGATAGATAGATTAGATAGATAGATAGATAGATGATAGATAGATGTTTGCACAGGAGACACACAACTACCAGCATACTTTGTTTGATTGTGCTTTATTGCACTTTGCAGATGCAGCTTGTTTTGGAAGGTTCCTAATGACCCTGATTTGAATAATCCGTGGGCACCATTTTTCACAGCATGTGCTCACCTCGTGTCTCTGTGTCACATTTTGGTAATTCTTACAACATCTCAAATTTTCAGTAGGACTATATCTGTTTTGGTGATCCGTGATCAGTGCTCTTTGATTTTGCTATTGTAATCACATTGGGAAGCCACAAAATGCACCCTAGAAGAAGCAAGCTTAATCAATCAATGTTGTGTGTGTTTTGACTGCTCCACTGACTGGCCTCTCCCCATCTCTCTCACTCTGCTCTGGTCTCTCTACTCCCTGTGACACGACAGAATTGAAATTAGGCCAAATAATAACCCTACGATGGCCTCTAAAGGTTCAAGTGAAAGGAGGAATTGCAGATCTCTCACTTTAAATCAAAAGGGAGAAATTATTAAGCTCAGTGAGGAGGGCACGTTGCAAGCTGAGATAGGCCCCAAACTAGACCACCTGTGCCAAAGTCTTAGCCAGGTGGTGAAAGAAATGAAAAGTGCCACTCCGGCGAACACATGAATGATAAGGAAGCGAAACAGATTTCGTGCTGATATGCAGAGAGTTTTAGTGGACATATCATCAAACCAGCCACCAGATGCCCTTAAGCCAAGGCCTAATCCAGAGCACAGCCCTATCTTTCCTCACTTCTCTGAGGCCGAGAGAGATGAGGAAGCTGCAGAAAAAAGACAAAAAACAAAAAACAAAACAAAACAAGACAAAAAACAAAAACAAAAAAAAGGAGAAGCTAGCAGATACTGGTTCATGGAGTGTAAGGAGAGAGGCCATCTCCATCACATAAAAGTGCAAGATGGATCATCAAGTGCTGATGGAGGCACTGCAGGAAGTTCTCCAGAAGATCTAGCTGAGATCATGGGTGAAGGTGGCTGTGCTCACGACAGGTTTTCCTTCTAGATGAAACGGCCTTCTACTGGAAGAAGATACCATCTAGGACTTTTGTAGGTAGAGAGGAGAAGTCAATGCCTGGCTTCAAACTTTCAAAGGACAGGCTGACTCTCTTGTTAGGGGGCTAATGCAGCTGGTGACTGTAAGTTGAAGCCGATGCTAATTTATCGCTTTGAAAATCCTAGGGCCTTTAAGAATGATGCTAAAGCTACTCTGCCTGTGCTCTAGAAATGAAACAACAAAGCCTGGACGACAGCACATCTGTTTACATCGTGACTTACTGAAGATTTTAAGCCCACTCTTGAGACCTACTGCTCAGAAATAAAAAGATTCCCTTCCAAATATTACCACTCATTCACAGTGTGTCTGGTCACTCAAGAGCTGTCATGAAGATGTACAAGGAGGTTTTTTTTTTTTATTTTTATGCCTGCTAGCATGCATGAAACATTCACTCTGCAGCCCATGGATCAAGAAATGATTTTAACTTTCAAGTCTTCCTGTTTAGCAAACAGATTCCATAAGGCTGTAGCTGCTATAGATAGTGATTCCTCTGAAGGATCTGAAAAAAGGAAATTGAAAACCTTCTGGAAATGATTCCCCTTTCTGCATGCCACTAAGAACATTCGTGATTCATGGGAGGAAGTCAAAATATCAACATTAAAGGATGAAGTTGATTCCAACCCTCACAAATCACTTTGAGGGGTTCACAATGTCAGTGGGGGAAGTACCTGCAGATGTGATGGAAATAGCAAGAGAACCAGAAAGAGTAGTGGAGCCTGAAGAAGAAACTGAATCACTGCAATCTCATGATCAAACTGGAAGGGACAAGGAGTTGCTTCTTACGGAAGAACAAAGAAAGTGATTTCTTGAAATGGAATGGAATCCATTCCTGGAGAAGATGCTGTGAACGTAGTAGTAGTTGAAATGACAGTACGGGATTTAGAGTATTGCATAAACTTAGTTGATACAGCAGTGGCAGGGTTTAAGAGGGTTCGTTACAACTTTGAAGGATATTCAACTATGGGTGAGTAAAATGCTATAAACAGCATCGTATGCTATGGAGACAGGTTTCATGAAAAGAAGAGTCAATCTATGTGTCAAACTTCATTGATGTCTAATTTTAAGAAATTGCCACAGCCACCCCAACTTTCACCAACCACCCCACCGATCACTCAGCAGCCATGAACATTGAGGCAACACTTCACACCAGCTAAGAGTGTATGACTCACTGACGGCTCAGGTGATATTGAGCATTTGTTATAATAAACTCTTTTTAAGTTAAGGCATGTATATATTTTTGCCATAGTGCTATTGCACATCTAATAGACTATAATATACTGTAAACTTAACTTTTACATGCAAGAAACACCAAAAAATTCATGTCACTTGCTTTATTGTGATGGTCTGGAACTAAACCCACAATATCTTTGAGGTATGCCTGTAAATAACAATAAAGAGGAAATTTTTAAAAATCAGAGGGGCCTCTTTACACATCTCTATGCCGATAACCTTGTAAAACTATATGAACTATGTAATTTCTTGTGAAAATACACTCACTATATAATTGACCCCAATAGCGCCCAAAAGGATAAAAGAACATTTGTACAGAGGAAATAGCCTTACGAAGGAAATCTCCCATATGAGACCACCAGGCACAGACTGTTTCATAGGCACTTTCTCCAAACCAAAGCCTACTCTTGAGAGCTACTGCTCAGATCAAAAGGCTCCACGCCCACCAAAACATAACCAGGTAGGGGATACAATTACAAATAAAACAATCATTTACAAAAGCAACAAAAATGATGAAAATATTTAGGCATAAAATTAAGACATATTGAAAGCACTATACGGTGCCTTTTAAAAAGACACAAAAGCAGACTTGGGCAAGTGGGTAGAAATCGTTTGTTCAGTGTTAGGACATTACGGCATCATCAAGATGTTGGTTCTCCCTAAGTGAGTTTATAAGTTTAATACAATTCCATAAAAATACCAACACCATTCCCTTTTTCCTGGAGAGAAGAAGATGGTATCATAATGCCCATTTCAAAAGGCAAGAATAGCTACAAAGTCACGGGAAAGGAAGAGCTATATGGGAAAACTGGCCCCAAACACATTACAGTATACACCCAGCCTCCATAATTAAAACACTGTGGTATTCACTGGCATGGGAATAGAGAGACAGACCAAGGCAACATTCTAGAAAGTGATAAGACGACCCAGTAATATTTGCAAATTGGGAGTATGATAAAGGTAGCATTTCAAATCAGCAGGAACAAAGAGGGACTTTGCAGTAAATAAGCTGATAATGGGGAAAGTGTATGCTCTTCAACTAATGAGGACAAGAAAACCGAATTTCTGCACGGGAAGGAAAAAAAGGAATTGGTTCTCCACCTGACATCAGGCACAAAAATCAATTGTAGGTAAGTCAGGAAAAATAACTAATGGGTACTAAGCTTAATAAGTGGGTGATGAAATAATCTGTACAACAAAGCCCCATGACACAAGTTTACCCTATAACAAACCTGCACATATACCTCTGAACTTAAAGGTTAAAAAGAACATGAAAAATTAAATCTCACAATCTTTATTAGAAAATAGAGGGGAAATTTTTATGACTTCAGAGAAAAGATAAATTTATTACAAAAGGCACAGGTAAACACAGTTATAAAGCTTAGCCTCACAATATATAAGAACTGGAAGAAAAACATCTTATTAAAGTGAAAAATGGTTAATTCACCAACATGGATATTGTACTGTAAAAGGATATGCAAACAGCCGAGAAAAAGAACCCAGTCTTATTAGTAACTGGAGAAATGCAAGATCCCAAATCCATGCCATTTCACACCCACTAGAATGACAGCATTAAGCAAAAGGCCTATTCCACCAGCGAGTCTGTGTAACAGTGGGAACACACTCTTCTGGTGGGGGATGCCTCTTGGAAACAATTGAGCACTGGGGAATATTCCCTGAGTCTATGATCCAGGAATTCCACTCTCTGATACCGTGTAAACCTTTGGCACGTATGCCAGACATCTCACTCTTCATAGCATCCTTGCTTAGAAGGGACTGACACTGGAAAGAACTGACATGTCCATAGACAGAGAACTAAGCGGATTTTTTGTAGATTAGCCCCACAGAGGTAGGTGATGGAATAGGGGAAATGAAAGCAGCATGTCTACAGGTAACCACAACATTTAATCAAAGTCAGAGCGGCCCTCTTTCACAACAGCCCTAGCCACAACAATAGAGCAGCCCTCTTTCACAACAGCCCTGCCCAGAGGTGAATGGACAGGAAATGGACGCATGCGGGGTGGAGTGGCCCCACACGGGTACCTGATGCAACAGGGGAGATGAGGGCAGGACGGCACCTGCCACCCCATAGGCACCCTAAGTGACTCAACGGTGAGCTAAGGAGGAAGGGGCAGAATCCCACAGAGATAAGGAAGCAGGTCTTGTGATGTGGTGGGTGCACGGGACGCACAGCAGGAATGCCTGGGATGCAGCTGGGCGTGTTGGAAGCACACAGGGCATGGGAGGGAGCCTGGGCCCCACTTCCAGGGTGATGGCCATTTCTCCCAAAGGAGAAGGGTGGCTGGAAGGAGTCCAGGTACAAGGTCCTAGGCCACAGCCACATGGCCTCCACCTCTCAGGGCAGGGTCAGTAGCTGCTCCCCACTCCACTCCCAGGTCCTTCTGTCCTTCCCCAGGATGAGGAGCTGGAGGACCGTAGGGGTGGAAGTCCAGTCCACAGCAGCCATGGGCCATCCCTCAGGGGAAGGCGTGCCCAGTGGGGGGGGGGGGCGTGGCTCCACATAGCCCCACCTCCCACATGCACTGAGCCAGCCAATCAGGAAAGGGCACCCACAGTCAGGCCAGCTGCTCTCGCGAGGACCAAGGACCCAGGCCCTCAGAGGAGCATCAAGGTGCCAGGTCCTGGAGGTCCTGTGAGGAGGAGAGGTCGAGGGTACCTCAGGAGAGGACCTGGCCGGAGGGGAGACTGGGACCGTGTAGTCCGAGGTCCTCAGAGGACGAGAGTGTGGATCTTGGGGCAGCTCAGGCTGACCTGTGAGGAAATCTCCCCAGCGTCACCTGGGGCCTGGGTCAGGGAGAGTCCCCTAGGGGCAGGCTGGCATGGGCCAGGGAAGGGAGATCGAGGGGTCCAGGTGGTCCCCAGTGCCCGGGAGCATCACTGGGTTCTGTGCATGTGCTGGAGGCTGGGGGAGAGTCCGCGTGTGTCCCTCTTGCTCGGCCACCCATCTGGATGGGACCCTTGGTCACCGGGGGTCTGCTGGGCGTCCAGGCAGGTGAGAGGGCAGATGCCAGCACCTGACTGTCGAGGACGGGTACACAGAGGTTCATTCCCATGCAGATGGCTGGGGAGGTCCTGTGTCACCCTACAGCTCTCCCGACCAACACGGGGTCACTTGGGGACCCGGGGCAGGGGCAATCTCTGTCCCAAGGGCACGGCAAGAATTCAGCAGAGGACCTGGAGTTCAGGTGTGCGGAGCAGGTGTGAGCTCTGCAGGCAGCCCCAGGGAAGGGCTGGATGGGACATAACGGGACAGGTGGGGACGCTGGCCTCTTCTCCCTTGTCCTTTGCTCCTTCAGCAGTAGACACGGAGCATGCCAGCCCCACTCTTCTTCAACCTGGGGACCTCCCCGTTGGCTCTCATTTAACACACCTGGGTTCCTTAGTGTGTCTTTGCACTCACAAGGTTCAGGAGTCGTCTCTAGCCTCCCAGGACGGCCAGCCATGGTGCGTATGGACGGGAAGTGCGTCAGGGAGGCTGACAAGGCCCTGCTGTAAACTCAGTTTATGGTAGCCCAGGAAACGGGGCATGGACGTAAAACTGGAATGAAGGGTCAAGGAAACAGGTGCCCGCCCAAGGGGACGGTCTGTCTTATCTCCTTGCACCGGGTCGTGGGGAGCACATGGGCAGCCCGTGGCACCCTCGTTACTTTGGTGCCCACCTTGCATATGCTAAGAAGCCCTAGGTTTCTAAAGCAGTTTCAAGGGCTTTAGGTTTCCCATGGGAAGCTCCTGCCCCACGGCAGAGTTACAGATGCCCTTAGAGCTGCTCTTCTGGATGTGTGCAGTCCGTGACGTCCAAGGAGTCTGATCCGCAGTGCATGGTTATCTATGACTTCAGTCCTGGAGGGCTTGCAAAAATGTCTCTGTAAAATGGTCAGGGCTCAAGGGACTCCATGTATATAGGTCTGCTTTAAAGCTTTAATTGGCAAACAGCCATACAAATCCACAAATAGTACATTTCCATGTGAAAAAATGTCCACAATAGCATCCTTCCTCTAAAAACGTTTGCCTTTTCAAATTTTCAGTGCAGCACGGAATTCAGGAATGCACAGCCATCCCGAAAGTAGTCATTTTGCAGAAACAGATGAGGAAGACATGTGGTAATGTGTTTAATGTAATTGTGCCTCCTAGTAAAGTAAGTTCAGAAAAATCAACTTTGACTCGTGGCACATTTTGTGTTTAAAACACTGGGCATCAGGCATGCCCTACAACACAAGCGTGGTATCTTATTCACACCTAGTGAAAAAAAAAAGTAATTTCTTCCAGGAATGAATTTCAAAATATGTGGGAAAGCTTTGTAGGTGTCTGGGAGATACTTGTAATTCAAGAACATTGTTGTCAGCCATATATCTTTTATAGCAAGAAATGCTAATGAGGGGGCTGCATTAGTGTTATTTAATGCTTTGTTCTCCTATCCAGGATGCCACATAAGGATTGAGTGTGATTCAGCTCCATCGATTTCCTTCCTTACCCTTTTAAGCTGTTGAGTGAAGTGGATGGTACACACAGTGGTTAGGCAGAGTAATGCTTTTACTTTATTCACTGTGGAATATTAGAAAATAATTTACTAATAATATATATTCCACATTGTGTCAGATAGTAAGTGATATATCTGTTTTTCATATCCATTGCTGTTTTCTTATTCTAGTTATTTTATAAGACTTTCCCATTTCTTTCTTGGGGTGGGCAGTGCAAACTGAGGCCTCTAAAATAGCCTCTTATTGTTATGTTTACATTAATAACCTCTGTAGTGGAGAACTCAGACAACTTTGCTGGCATGTGAGAGACGTGTGATCACAACCAAAAACATCTAAGTTTTAAATGGATACCTCAGCTATCAAGCATCTAAGTTTTAAATGGATACCTCAGCTATCAGTTAAATTAACTATGTAAAAGGACAAACTCTTAACCGTGTCATTCTCAAGTTTTATCTCCTCTATTTGGATCATATATGTGAGCAGATACATGTTGAAAGCTTTGTTGTATTTTGTGGTGAAAATGTGCTTGATGTGCGAGCTGTCTTATTAATTGGTTGTTATAGACGGTAAACTGCATTTATAAAATATTTTTATAGTAATACAGCTCCCTCCTGAACACTGGAAAATAACCACTGACGGTAGGTCCATAACATAGAATCAATCATATGGTTAGCAAGGAATTGTTTGAAATACTTAAAAAATGTACAGTGTTACAGATTGTAAATTTTACAATTTTGCAAACTTACAATCTGCAGCAATTTGGGGAGAAATGATATATGAAAACCTGCATGAAAGTATCCAGGAAGTGTTCTTGAATAAATATTAATTTCCTTAAACTATCTGTGGTCATTTTTCTTAGTCAAATTGATTTAAAAGCTTCCCGGGCTAAATTTTAAAAATACTATTCTTAGTTTATCATTTATTTATTTTTATTCCTTTGAAAATGGAATAATTGTAGTTGGTTAATATAATGTGTTCTAACCATGGTCGGTCTAAACATATCCTTGAGTTAGAGTACATTTTATTAATTTATTAAGAATTATTTTTCAGAAAAGTTTTCTCATAAAAAATTATAGGCTCTCCTTGAGACCCTTTTTACAAGTTTTAGAAAACAGACAGCTTTTCTCTTTAACTCCTTATTACATCTTCGAAACAATGTTTTCCATATTGAGGTATCTGTCACTGTAAGTTTTCACAGACGAAAATGAGGCAAATAATCTTTTATTTTGAAATGATGCCAATTTGTTCATGCTAGGTGTCTTTTTAATACTGCTGAACCAACATTACCTTTATGGACGTGAATATGTGGGAGCAAAATAATTTTAAACAAAATTTTAATGAGTGTTTTCCATATAGGGCACTTTAAAAATGTTCCTAAAGCATCGATAAAACATTTCAAAATGAATATCAATGCTTCCACGAAAATCATTCAGCAGGAAATTGAACTTGCTTGGCATACCCGGGAAGAACAATGGTAAGATTGTTGGTTATGTTGGAGCCAGATGCTTTGTTTCATTTCTTAGCATTCGTGGATACAAACTACTTTGGAAAAATGCTATGATCGTCCATGTGCTGGAAGTCCAATGAAAAAATATATTTAGCTGGATTTTTCTCTAAAGAAATAATTCCTTAATTAAGAATTAATTAATACTTAATTTAAATAATCTAAGTGCTATGATGCCACATCATAATGAAATGAGATGTGTATCCTCGAGTTCACTAAACATGACCTGTTTTCTCTTTCAAATTACAGTCGATTTTGCTTATCATGAAAATTTGTATTCATTCCATGAATGTGCTTGCTGAATTAAAGTTAAAAGTCTTAAACATTTAGTCTTGTAATAGTTATTTGTATTCAATTACACAGACAAAGATTAATGTTATATTGTAAATAATTTGTAAGCTTCACTGAACTGGGTTCAGTATATTTTTTTTTGTACAGAATTCTTATTGTCAGAAAGTGAGGAAAATGAAATATTCCTGTTTGGAAATCATAGATGATAAAGGAGTGTAATATCCAAATTAAGTCTATTTGTGATATCTCAACTTATATACTACTCAAAAAGAGAAAATAAAAACTAAAACACTTGCAGAGAAAAATGCATTTTTTTTCTGGAAAATTTATAATACAATAAATCTTCCTTAATTTATATTAGCTAAGGCATGTTAAGATAGCTTCCGTCTTACATTTACTAGCCTTCTTTTTTCACCCATGCCTTGACTGTACCATGGTCACACATTTCTTATCCAAAAGCAAAGGGATTGTTCATATAAAGAAATTATGAGTGTTGGTTGATCAGCTCAGTTTTGGAAATGTTAAAGTTGAGGTGCATATGAAGCACCTGAGGGCGGATGTCAAGTGGGGATAAGCAATATACCCTGGATATATGAGCCTCATGTTCAGGAGAGTGGTAGGAGCTGAGGACACCAGAGCGGGAATTAATATCACACAGATTGCGTTTAATCAAGGAGACTAGGAGAGATCACCTAGGGAATGACTGTAAACAAAAAAGGGAAGTCTAAAGACTGATTCCGCGTTCCTTCAATACTTTGAGCTACCGCAGAACTGGGGCATCAGTAATGAAGCCGAAGAATGAGTGAACAAATAAGTAAAAGAAAACCAGCTGAAACACAGTAAAGAAGACCTTTTAGAAGGAGAGAGGACCACCTCATCACATGCTGCTGATAGGCTGAAGGAGGGGGACTTGGTATATGGAGGCCCTTTGATATCCTTAGTAAGAGTGGTTTGGTGGAATGGTGGGTGCAAAGGACTGATTGGAAAAGACAAGAGACAACTGGGAAGAAAGAACTGGGGTAGTAACCTGAGGCAAAAAGGAGTAGCTAGAGGTTTTTGTGGTTTTCTTAGTGATTACAGAAGGACCGGCATGTTGTATGCTGATAGGAACAATATAGAGGGAAACCTTGGAAATGTTGGAAAGAGGAGGGGAAAGTGCTGAACGATGTTCTTGAGAAGCAGTGGGCTCTAGTGGACAGGGGAGCAAGTTGACTTCAGGAAGGAGTAGTAGTTCATGCATTTAAACAGGAGAGAAGGTCGAGTGCGTAAGCACTGATGGACAAAGGTGGGTGAAGATGTGATGCTCGGACGCTGAATGTGCCCTGTGGGTTGCTTCTGTCTCTGTAGTGAGATAAAAGATCATCAGTGACAAGTAGAGATGGGGCAGGAGGGCAGAGAAGAAGGACTATACTTTTTTTCCTGAGACTGGGCCAGTGAGTGGACTAGGGGAATATAATTGTCAAGCAGCATTGGGAGTGCAAATTAGATTAGTGTCATCATAAACACGACTTTGAGATCTGTTGGCATGGTTGTGTTAGGGCAGCTGGAGAGTTGGATTTTTCTGGGTTGGCATTTGGCTGAGCACTGTGACAGAGGGAGAAGCTGGCAGGGCACATACACAAGGATGGAGTTATGGTGAGTGACCATGGAACTTAATCTGGGAACGAAGAAAGGGAGTGTTGGGCACTCCAGTGTTGGACAGTGAAAGGTGCTCTATTCAATGGGCTTCAGTTCCTGATAGACTCCTGAGCTGTAGTGCTTAGAGTGACCTACAGTGTGAGGGCATTAGTTGTTGCATGTTGGATACATGGGGAAATAGCATAGTGTAGTGGTCAAAAGCCCGGACTCAACCCCCACTGTTTAGAATCTAAGTCTGGTTCGACCATTGCTGCCTGGGAAACCATGAGCAAATTCTTTCTGTGTCCCAGCTTGCTCCATTAATATTGTGGGCATAATGTGAGTACCTACCTCACAGAGTTGTTTTGAGTGTTAAATGAATTTTTCTATAATAAGGTATTTAAAATGGTTCAGAACAGGATCTGACATATGGTTCCTATAGTACAACTTTGCTTTTATTAATGTTATGTAGATATTGTAGATTCTCAGGAATGTCAAAATCTAGGATGTGGCTATGTGAGTGTTTAATTTGCAGGAAATGTCAAGATCATTGGTGGTGGAACAGAAAGACCAGTTTTATTGGAAGGATTACGTGTGTGGGCTTTGAAAGCATCAAGGACTAAAACATATTTGTAGAATATTATTAAAAAGGAACATTTCCATAAAAAATGCATGATAGGATTATTATATAGTTTTTGTATATTATTGTTGGACACAAATTTCATAAACTTGGTCATAGTATTTGTTAATAAGAAAAAATATTTTCAAATGATAATTTCAAAATTGTTAGCTTTAAGTTAACAAAGAATTGTTTTTTTGATAAATTTTAAATTTTACTCGAATTGTTATCGAGTTTTCTTTGTATATTTGTAGAGCATATTTCTCAACAGCAACAAAAGACTTTTTCAAGAATCTGAAATTGTTGAGGGCCAGAGAACAAAAGCATTTAATGCATTATGTGAGGAATTCTTACAGGTCAGTGGTATTTGGTTACACAACATATTCTCGTAAGACTTTACATGTATATTGAAAATTTAAAAAACTGTTTTCCTTTCCAAAATAGTGTTAAAAATACTTTGATTATAAAATTCTTAAGCATTTTCCATGTTAATGTCATTGTTTTAAAGTAAGAACTAAATGTATTTTTACTTTTAGAATTCATTAATTGTTTTTGGTGTAATCCAAAACAGGAAACGGTAACTTGGCAATTTCACCCAGAAATATACATACCGTGTTGGCTATTCACACTTTATTTACATGACTAAACACCATGACTCTTTTGCTCGACAGTTTTTACTGGTGCAGCAATAGATGAAAGCAAGAAGTTTCTACATCATTTCTAGATGTGGTTTAATAGTCTTTCTAGTGCCAGTGTTTCTCAAAGAGAAGGCACCCAATTGTAACAAATGGGTATTTTTTATTTCAAATTTATTTCCTGATTATTTCATGACATATTTGCTTGCACTATTATTGAAGTGACTACAAATTGATTTCTCTGCCAAGTTACTATCACAAGACAGGGCCCAGATGCGTTCAGAATGAAAAAGCCAGGAAAGAATTAACAGTTTGTGACTGAGAATTGTCTCCCGTCACATTTGTACTTTTGCAAGTTGTCCTCAGTGATATTGACCTCTTAACCATGCAGGTATATATCTATTTAGGTTTCTATGGAATGGTGTACATTCCTATTCATTTTATAAATTTGGAGTGTTTTTAAAACAATCTTGTTCAAATTCTTGTTAAAAATTCACTCTTCTAAACTGAGGGGATTGTTTCAGGAAAACGAGTTTCAGGATAGTCATTCTTTACATTGTTTACTATGATACATATACTACATGTGTGTATACATATATGTAATATGTACACTCAGTTGTTATTCAAGTGTTTCTAAGTAGAGGATGTGTTGTTTAATGGTCTCTGAGAACCATGTACCAATTGTTACACATGTTTGGGAAATAAGATCTTCTCAATGTTAGTGCTAAATGTCACCACTTATGGTGGGAACTTCATGATGATTTAGTCTTCTGCATTTCCTTTTCCTTCCCATCCAGCTATCTATCACTAGGCCCTGCCATTTTTACCACCTCAACGTTATTTTAAGTTTTTTGTTTAGATTCTCACTGCTGCTGTCCTAGCTCAGGACCTCATCCTTCCTCACTTACGCTATTAAAATTTCATCTGAGTTCTCTCTTCCTCTTTCCATCCTTCATAGATCTGCAATCTTATCTTCCTAAGACATCGCCCTTCCCTCTTCCCAACCTGTCACGAGCTTTCCATTCTAAATTCATGGATATTCAGAGACACCTCTGCCTTGACATGACCTCCTTTTAAAACTTCATTTGCTTTTGTCCTTGCGATAGTTTGCTGAGAATGATGGTTTCCAGCTTCAAAAAACCAAACACTGCATGTTCTCACTCATAGGTGGGAATTGAACAATGAGAACACATGGACACAGGAAGGGGAACATCACACACCGGGGCCTGTTGTGGGGTGGGGGGAGGGGGGAGGGATAGCATTAGGAGATATACCTAATGTTAAATGAAGAGTTAATGGGTGCAGCACACCAACATGGCACATGTATACATACGTAACAAACCTGCAGGTTGTGCACATGTACCCTAAAAACTTAAAGTATATTAAAAAAAAAACCACTTCATTTGCTACATTCTTTCCTTCCTGTCATCCCTCCAGGTTGATAGCCTTCTGTGAAATAATTCACCATTATTTCCAGGCTTTATTTAAGCCCTTCCACCATAAAAATTTTATCTCCTTTTGCTAACCTATCGAAATCTAATTCTTTTGCCAACTAAGTAGGCATTGATCTCCATTGTCCACTGTACAGTGCCAGCAAGTTGCCCTTCCATGTCTATTGTAACATTTTTGTATGACTTCAGTTTACATGTTTCCTGAAGTCACTGGAATATGGAAAAGATCATGTGTTCATCTTCTAATGCCACCATAGCACATGACATCCTAACTTTTCTGTAGCAGGCATTATTTCACTGTTTGTTGAATGAAGAATAAAGATTTAAAATTCAAATTGTATTTTTCGTAACTCGAGATCATACTACTGAGCATTTTATTCCCTCTATCTATGGAAACCATGTTACATGCAATATCAGGGATAATAAATGGTCGAATACCTGGTGTTTGGGAAGCTTATGAATGAAATTAGCGCATGGATTTACATGGAACTTCCATTCTTTTTGCTATATCTTCACCTGAACATTTCAATATCCCATTGTTTGGAGCAAATTGTGATATTGTCGTGCCTCCTACTGTAATCATAATTGACTAAATTCACACATTTCTATGTTTCTTAAGTGAGTATTTTGGTCTTCGGGTAGCTCTTAGAGTGCTTTTTAAATCTGGAATAGATAATAACCATCATTGGAATTTTAAAGTGTTTTGCTTTTGAAATGTAGTTATACACAGTTATAAGGTGATGAAGAGTGGTTGGTTATAACTGAACTTGGTTTTTTGTTGTAGCACGTGGAGGACCTGGAGGAGAATCATACAGTTTGTCTTACTGGTGAACAAAGTGAACTTAGAAAAGAAATGGGGCCGGGCGTGGTGGCTCACGCCTGTAATCTCAGTGGGCAGATCACCTGAGGTCAGGAGTTCAAGACCAGCCTGGCCAACATGGCGAAACCCTGTCTCTACTAAAAATACAAAAAAAATTAGCGGGACGTGGTGGCGGGCACCTGTAATCCCAGCTACTAGGGAGGCTGAGGCAGGAGAATTGTTTGAACCTGGGAGGCAGATGTTGCAGTGAGCTGAGATTGCGCCATTGCACTCCAGCCTGGGCGACAAGAGCGAAACTCTGTCTCAAAAAAACAAAATGGAAAAAAAAAAGAAATAGCAGTGTTGTAAACAGAATTTATGAAGGAAATTGGTAAAATTGAAGATTGATTTAAGCAGTAAAATATTTTGTTCGCTGAATTTTTCTAATATTTACCTAAATATTCAATAAATGATTAATATCACTTTTCATGTAACAGCATCTGCAAGAGGTGTCTGGTGTTCTCCTATCGCAGTTATTCTGATGACACTTCAAAGAACAAAGCTAAACCTAGGTGATAGCATACAGCCATAAAATTAGCTCCATGAAACCGATGTGGCCTGAAATTCCTAGTTTAAATTGTTGCATACTGTTTGTTTTCATGGTGGATCCCTTTTCTGCTAAAACCCATGTAAATCCTAAACAGTTATGTGAGCAGTAGTAGCCAATCCAAAGTTGTATGTAGCGGGCTTTCAGTCCTTTCCCTAATAATGGTCACCTAGTCTCCCAAACATTGTCAATGAACTTTTAGCAATAAAGATGATCTGATTTTACATTTGGCCTCAGTGGATCTATATCAGTCTCAAATGGTAGAAATCACAAGTATTTAAGCTTACATTGTTATTCCTAAGGAGAAAAAACATAAGACAAAATCTATTTTATGAACTTATTTTTGTGTATCCTTACTAAATTATGAAACCAATTTTCATGAAATAAAATTTGAGAGGAAATATGAAAACTTAAAAGCAACATAAGTTTGTACCCCAGAATAAATTAAACTGCTAAAAACCATTAAGACCATTGAACAAGACATGTAAGTATACATTGTGAGTCATGGATTCATGAATATGGCATTTTCACAAACACATCAAAATGTCATTTAATTGATTTGGTCCACTATTAAATGATGCTTGTCTTTAGCACTGACTAGAAGTGTTTCCTAAATATACAAGTATGCATAATTATTTATGGTTTACATGTTTCAAGGCTTTCTGTAGAGATAAATTATCTACAGAATTTTTTTCAAGTGCAATATTCAGTTAGTATATGCAAAGTCATTTGTATATTTATTTGAATATGAGAACAATTAATGCCTATATGTTATTTTAATGCACTTAAAAAATATAATAACACTTGAAATCTTCCTTTGGAAACATTTGATCTAACAAATGAAATTGTTTCAAATTTGGTTAGAATAAGTCAGTTAAATGTATTCTTTTGCTGCATTACAGAAATTGGCTTCATGCCATTCAAAATCATCAATATTTCCTTTTGAAGGAGAGGGGAACTTTCTTCTGTATTTGTGCAGCTTTGGAGAGGGAGATGTACGAAACGGAATTAGCTGTCTTGTAGTGATTGGAGCTGTGTGATGAAAATGTAGTGATCGCTATAGTAGTCTTTCCAGTTTGGTGCATGTTTGACAAGTTTCAAGATCCCCCCACTGTGTAGAATTGTCAGAAACTACTCCAGCCACATCGACGGACCTGAGAACATTATGCTTAAGTTAAACAAGCAATTTCCAGAAGGACAAATGCTTCAGATTCCACTTTTATGAGATATCTACAATAGTGAAACTCACAGAAGCAGAAAGTAGCATGGTGATTGCCAGGGGCTAGGAGGAGGGGAAAACGGGGAATTGGATTGCAATCGGCATAGAGTTGTAGTCATAGAAGATGAGAAAGTTCTAAGGATCCACTGTCAAACAATGGGCATATACTTCATTATACTGTGTTATATGCCTAAACATTTGTTAAGAGTATATATGTCACGCACTGTGTTTTTACCACAATTTAAATAATACTCCTAATTCCCTTATTTCATCTATTCAACACCTTAAATTTAAATAATACTGCTAATTCCCTTATTCCATCTATTCAACACCTTAGAAAAACTGTTAGTGGCCAAGCGTGGTGGCTCACACCTGTAATCCCAGCAGTTTGGGAGGCTGAGGCGGGTGGATCACCTGAGGTGGGGAGTTCGAGACCAGTCTGGCCAAGATGGAGAAACCCCATCTCTACTAAAAATACAAAATTAGCCAGGCCTGGTGGTGCACGCCTGTAATCCCAGCTACTTGGGAGTCTGAGGCAGGGGAACCGCTTGAACCCAGGAGGCAGAGGTTTCGGTGAGCCGAGATCCTGCCATTGCACTCCAGCCTGGGCAACAAGAGTGAAACTCTGTTGAAAGAAAGAAAAAAGAAAGGAAGGAAGGAAGGAAGGAAGGAAAGGAGGGAGGGAGGAAAGAAAGAAAGAAAGAAAAAAGAAAGAAAGAAAGAGAAAGAAAAAGAAAGGAAAGAAACGAAAGAAAGGAAAGTAAGAAAATAAAGGAAAGAAAGAAAAGAAAGGAAAAAGAAAAGAAAACCTGTTAGTACTTCACTGGCCTTGTCTGGCCGCATGGTGTATGAGGGAATGTGTGGGCTCTGGAGTCAGACAAGCTCGGTACAACTGCTGGGTTATCTCGAACAGGTTATTAACCTTGCTGGTCCTCAGTGTCATCTTTTCTAAAATAAGGATGAAATAAGATGGGCCCATCTATCTTCCAGCACCATTGTATGGATTCGTCCTGTGAGTTGCTCAGTCATGACAGTCATTATTATTTATTATTATTATTATTATTTTGAGACAGTCTCGCTTTGTCGCCCAGGCTGGAGTGCAGTGGCGCGATCTCGGCTCACTACAAACTCCGCCTCCCAGGTTCACGCCATTCTCCTGCCTCAGCCTCCCGAGTAGCTGGGATTACTGGCGTGTGCCACCACACCTGGCTAATTTTTTTGTATTTTTAGTAGAGATGGGGTTTCATCGTATTAGCCAGGATGGTCTTGATCTCCTGACCTTGTGATCCGCCCGCCTCGACCTCCCAAAGTGCTGGGGTTACAGGCATGAGCCACCACGCCCGGCCTATTATTTTTTGATTAGCATCTGGCCTTTCACCGGGATCATAGTAGTTATCCAGTAATTATTTGTTGAAGTAATAATTTAATTCAACCTTAATGAATTTTTTTATTTTACCCAGAATTCACACACTTCTCCATTTTTTACTGCAACAATTCTTAAGTAATTATGGGTTGTATTCAAAGTTCTCAGTCTAGATAAGATTGAAAATTATGTATCAGCTTACTAGTCGAGCTCTTTTTGTTATTACGCTTCCTGAAGGGTCTTCAACTCTGTTTCTATTCTGACTGTGTGTACTCTTTCCCACTTTCCTGGACCTGTGCCTAGGACCCTTCTCCAACAGCCCTACAAGTAGTTAATCCCCAGCACAACACTTTTCTGCCAACAGTAGTCTTCTATTTCTTTCAGGAAAACATTGGCTAAAAGCTCACATTTTCCATAAAAATATCCCTGTATGAATTGACCCTACATCGATCTTGCTCTCACTGAGGGTTTCTTCTGAGCTCATACAAACCTAAAGCAGGTCATTTCACACTTGGCTATTGGGTCTATAGCAGAGTCACAGAAATATGACTCCTGTCCCTAATATAAGGTAAGATGTGGTCCCTAAAGCAGGGGACTTTTCTTGAGTGTCTTTTCTCCCTTGCACAGTATCTAATACAGTGCTGCTCACAGCACTGAGCAGCAGTCTTTAAGACGGTGGTTTGGAATTTGATCTTTGCAGACTTGAGTTTTCATCCTGGCCTTGTAAACTACAGGCACTGTAAGAAAGTGTCCCAAACGCTCTGCCACATTTGTACAGGGGAGATACTATGCATTTTATAGGGCGTGATGGTTAATTTTAGGTAACCAAAATGTGACTGCGTTCAGGAATACATAGAGAACTGGTAAAGCAGTATTTCAGGGTGAGCTTCTGTAGGCATTCCAGATAAGATTGGGGTGAGTTGGTGGGCAGAGTGAGGAAGTTACCTTCAATCTGGGCGGGCCACATCCAATTCGTTCAGGACCTTGATAGAAGAAAGAAGGCAAGGCAGATGAAATGCACTTTGCTCCCTTTCTCTGCTGAAGCTGAGATTCTTCTCTTTCTTTTCAGATGGAGTCTTGCTCTGTCACCCAGGCTGGAGTGCAGTGGGACCATTTCGGCTCACTGCAATCTCTGCCTCCTGGGTTCAAGCCATTCTCCTGTCTCAGCCTCCCGAAGAGCTGGGACTACAGGCGCATGCCACCAAGCCAGCTAACTTTTGTATTTTTAGTAGAGATGGGGTTTCACCATATTGGCCAGGCTGGTCTCAAACTCCTGACCTCGTGATCCGCCTGCCTTGGCCTCCCAAAGTGCTGGGATTACAGGCGTGAGCCACTGCGCCTGGCCGCTGGGACTCTTATTATCTGGCCATTGGACACCAGAACTCTTGGCTCTTTGGCCTTCAGACTCCGGGACTTACACGCCCATTCCCTGGCCTGCCCAGGTTCTCAGGCCTTTGGCCTTATATTGAGAGTTATAGCATTGGCTTCTCTGGTACTGAGGCTTTTGGATGTGGACTGAGTCACATTCCTGGCCTCCCAGGGTCTCCAGCTTGCAGACAGCCTGACCTTAGACGTTTCACCCTCCAACTCCCCGAATCAATCCCCTCTGATCTGTCTATGTATCTTTGTCTATATCCTGTTGATGGTGTCTCTTAAGAGTCCTGACTATTCCACAGGGGTAATGTGGGGGAGAAATGAGGTCATGCATGCAGAGCATTTCACACCCTGCCTGACACATGCCCTTGCCCAGTAGACTGCAGCTACAGTTATTCTAGAGCTTACAATCAGTGTTCAAAACAGTGGAAGGCCTTCTATCTGGTACCTAGCCATCACATTGAGCTTCTCCTGTCATTTATCAATTTCAGACTTGTTTTGAGAGCAAGTCCCTGTTCTATGCAGCACTGATGTGGGGCTAAAACATTTTTAGGCATGAGATACTCAAGCTGGGAATGAACAAAGGCCAGAATGTTCTTCAGAGTTGGGAGCAGAGGAAGCTACATGGTCAAGAGACATGGACATGAGCCTTCCTGCAATATGTTTTATTTCCAGGGGTCTAATGAGAAAGACATGCACATATGTATATATCATCTCATGCTTAGCTCCTTAATATGCCCAAGGTGTTTTCATATTTTTTCAGCAATTGTCTACCACAGCTGAGAGTCACATGATTACCTGTTGTTGGTGGCTGTTGGCAAGGGGGTTTTTTCTTTAGGGACACAGGAAGATTTGCCTAAAAAGGTCAGAAAGCTTTGACATCCATTATTTTATTATAAAGGTCCTCTACAGCTTTGGTGGTATAATATTTCGGGCCTTTACTTTTCTCATTCCACTCTTTATTTTAAGCCTGAGCTTGTGGGTCCTTGGAGAAGGAGAGAAAATATTTAAACTCTGATCAACTAATTTAACTATGTATATAACATGTAGAATAAATAAAGACTTAAATGAAAGCATAGCATTTACGAAAGCTCCAACAAATTAAAAGGTAATTTAAACGATTGATTTCTGGTTTTAGTGACTTGTTGTTAACAAATTAAAGCAGTTTGTGAAAATAAACTCAGTTACATTTTTTGCTTGTATAAGTTCAAAATCGTAATTCCTTTCCAAAGCTGAACATGCCTGAAATGGGTCTGCCAATCATCACAATAAAACAGGAAGCCCGAATGCAAGAGCTAGTTAAGATGGGTTCCCAAGCAAATAGTAGTTGAAGCTCCAACGGCCGTAAAATGATGAAAGAAACATGGTTTAAGAGCCATGGATAATTTTTTTGAATGCCAAAAGAGTTATCATAGACTGATTTGACATAGAGATTTTAATGGAAATGTCATGGCATCAAAATAAGGTGCCAGTAAGCAAATCAGTTCTTGAATGTAATTTTGAAACACACTGTGCAAAATTGCTCAGTGCAATGATGTACACTGATCCAAAAAGTGACCACTGACAAGACATGGTTTATTTCGGTTTTTAATCTATTATGGAAAAAACGAATTTCTCTTTGGAAAGAGCTATACGACCATGTCCAACGTGATTTCCTAAAAAGACAGCAGGATGTTTTCCTTCTGACCAGCTTCCCACCCATAAATGCAAATATTATTGTTCAGGGTTGATGGAGCATTTGCAAATCAAGAGGCTTTGATTTACATCCAGCATGCTCATTCTTCGATGGTAGATCCATATAAGAACTACAAAAGACATAGAAGATACTAGAATACATTGTTGGAGTTCAGGATGTGGGACAATGCCCTGTGTCTGTTGTACAGTGTCCCAGATTTTTCAGGATTTCATAGGAGGCAGCTACAACGTACACATGCAAAGCCCTGAAATGCCTTCCTTAGCTAATGAAGTGGAGCCCTGACGTCACCTAGGAAAGGGATGCAACAGAACTCATTTATAGTTTCTCAAATGATGCTCCCATTTCTTCAAAGCCACCATTAATCTTAACACCTTTAAAGCTATAATAACAATCTATGTAACAAGTGGAAAATGCTTATAGAATCAGTGCTTTCCATCACAAACCCTTATTGTATGGAAATTCACATTTCCATAATCACATAAAGGTAAAAAATGTTATTCATTATGAAGCTAAAAGGTATGAATTTCTCTGTCATAATACTTACTGAAAACTGGAAACTGAATTGTGAAAATTTTGTACTTTATTCTTCTTAAAATGATAGTTTCCTTTCTCTGTTTGCCTGTGAAGCACGCTTCAACAATAACACCTTACCTTCCAATACAAATGATGGTACACAAAACACACACAGGCACACACACACACACACACACACACATATATATATACACACATATATACATATATATGCATAGTAGAAAAGACCTATGTGTTTCTAATGTATGGAAATGGGAAATGTACATCCAGTCTTCTCAGTTGCAAAAATAAAGCAGTTTTTAAGTAGATAGTTTTGGCTTTACTTTGAATAGATTTGTATCAACTTTGAATTTTTTTCTTAATTATATTAGATTGTAGGGAGGGGACTCTGTAAGGAAGGATGATGCAAAGGATTCTTCCACCAGTTTATATGAACCAAAAGGTTTTGTGACAGTGAAACATAAGTAGTGTATTAGAGTTCTCTAGAGGGACAGAACTAGTAAGATAAATGTGTGTGTGTGTGTGTGTGTGTGTGTATACATTTCATATATCTATAGATTTCATAGATATATGTATATATATGAATGTATAGATATTTTATATATATATATATATATATGAGAAAGGGAATTTATTAAGGATAATTGACTCACAGGATGACAACATAAAGTCCCACCATAAGCTGTCTGCAAGTTGAGGAGCAAGGAAGCCAGTAGTGGATCAGTCCAAGTCCCAAAACCTCAAAACCTCAAAAGTAGGGAAGCCAACAGTGCAGCCTTCAGTCTGTGGTGGAAGGCCCGAGAGCCCCAGGAAAACCACTAGCATAAGACCAAGAGTCCAAAAGCCAAAGCAGTTGGAGTCTAATGTTGGAGAGCAGGAAGCATCCAGCATGGGGAAAGATGAAGGCCAGAAGACGCAGCAAGTCTGCTCATTCCACCTTCTTCTGCCTGCTTTTGTCTAGCTGTGTTGGCAGGCAAGGGGATGGTGCCCACCCAGATTAAGGGTTGGTCTGCCTCTCACAGTCCACTGGCTCAAATGTTAATCTCCTCTAGCAACACCCTCGCAGACACATCTAGAAACCACACTTTGCATCCTTCAATCCAATCAAGTTGACACTTAATATTATCCATCACAAGTAGGTAGAATCCAGTTCTTGGTACTTGATTTAAGCACCATCAAGATCCCATAAAGGCGGAAACCTTACAAGAAGCCAAGTCATCCTGTTAAGGGGAAATTTGTCTCCAGTGCTCAATCCTGACCTAATCCTCATCCTCCATGTCTGGTTAACTGAGGACTTGTCCATCTGACCCCAACCCCGCAACACCCACCTTCCTCCCTTCCCACACACCACGTCTTCCCTCCTTCCTCTCTTCCCACCATCCGAGAAGGAGCAGACCCACACATCATTTTACAACAAGTTCATTTTATTTTCATCACCATGGGGCATACCCTGTGGGATCTAAAATGTACTCTAGACCCCATTGACTATTTATCTGGGGCCAGATCTCTGGAGACTTCTCAAATAGATCTGAGGTCTCTGGCCTTGCCCTGAAATTAATGGCTGCCCAGGGAGAAGCTTCAGGTGGTGGAGGTCTCCTGGCTCTTTTGGTGTTGCTGTGGCTCATTTTGATTGAGTTTCTCATTCAGCTGGTCACAGTGTCTGGATTGCATTGGCCCTCTCTCATGCTCAGCTTTTCTTGAAGTGGTGATCATTCTGGAGAAGCTTTTTCCCTGGAACTCCCTCGAAGTCTTCCTTTTCCCTTTCAGATTGTCTTGGGACCCAGAAGGACAGCAGAGAGATCACAGAAAGGCACTGGTTTTGGGGAAGGGGATAGAGGATGAGTGGGACCAGGGGTTTCATGTGAAGGTTACAGGCTGGGTTGGGCGGTTGTGCCAGGCAAGGACAGGGTAGGAGTCTTGGGAGGGAGGAGTCAAGGGGAAGACAAGGAGGAGCTTGGGTGTGTCACTCACCTTGATAGGGCTTCTGGGCCTGGGTTAAGAGGGGGACTTTGTCTTCCTTGACTCTTTGGTGTTGGTGGGTGGGGGTTCTACAACTGGTCTGATTGCTTGGTTTCCTGGTTATCTTCACCACCTCGGGGTCTCTCAGTGGTCTACTCCAGGCCTCCTGGCTTCCCTATATATACCCTTCCAGGACAGGGCGGGGCCACACCACTGAGCTTTGATTGGTCAGCAAACCACTACCCAGCCAATAGTGGCTCTGCTGGGGTGTGAGGGCCTTAGATAGCAGAAACCATCATCAGAGCATTGTCATGGTGGGAGGAGAGAAGGAGAGTGGGGAGGGTGATCTGACGAGGAAGCCAGTATGCTCTGGTTGAAGAATGGGGGACATTTGTTTGGCATGCCTAAAGAGCCTTCCCAAACTGATTAGTGCTGCTCCTTTCCTCCAATGTTCAGCTTTGGGGGGGTCACATAGCAGAAGAGAGTGTATTTCCTCCAAGCCTTTCCCCAGAGTCACCCTATTTCAGTGCTTCCTTCTGTTTTCTCCCACCACCCACCATTATCTAGTTTTCCCACACCTTACCAGAAAGCTCTGCAAGGTAATCTGGCTGTAATTAAGTTTATATGGAGGTGTGAATCATCCTACTTCCCCCCTAAAAATTTCTCTTATGCATCTTGAAGCCCACTCAGTCGGCTACTATCCAGGAATTTTTCTACCCTACTTCCTGTTCCCAGTGTCCTCAGAAGTCTCCTGGTGTTGCAGGAAGTCAGGGACCCTGAACGGAGGGACCAGTTGAAGCCATGGCAGAAGAACGTGGATTGTGAAGATTTCATGGACATTTATTAGTTCCCCAAATTAATACTTTTATAATTTCTTATGCCTGTCTTTACTGCAGTCTCTGAACATAAATTGTGAAGACTTCATGGACACTTATCACTTCCCCAATCAATACCCCTGTGATTTCCTATGCCTGTCTTTACTTTAATCTCTTAATCCCATCACCTTCCTAAACTGAGGAGGATGTATGTCGCCTCAGGACCCTGTGATGATTGCGTTAACTGCACAAATTGTTTGTAGAGCAAGTGTGTTTGAACAATATGAAATCTGGGCACCTTGAGAAAAGAACAGGATAACAGCAATGTTCAGGGAACAAGAGAGATAACCTTTAACTCAGACCGCTGGTGAGCCGGGCGGAACAGAGCCATATTTCTCTTCTTTCAAAAGCAAATGGGAGAAATATCGCTGAATTCTTTTTCTCAGCAAGGAACATCCCTGAGAAACAGAGTGCATCCCTGAGGGTAGGCCTCTGAAATGGCCACTTCGGGGAGCAGCCATCTTTTATGGTGGAAACTGTAGGGATGAAATAAGCCCCAGTCTCCCATAGTGCTCCCAGGCTTATTAGGATGAAGAAATTCCCGCCTAATCAATTTTGGTCAGACCAGTTGTCTGCTCTCAAATCCTGTCTCCTGATAAGATGTTATCAACCATAATGCATGCCCAAAACTTCATTAGCAATTTTAATTTCGCCCGGGTCCTGTGGTCCTGTGGTCCTGTGATCTCACCCTGCCTCCATTTGCCTTGTGATATTCTATTACCTTGTGAAGCACGTGATCTCTGTGACCCACACCCTATTGGTACTCCCTCCCCTTTTGAAAATCACTAATAAAAACTTGCTGGTTTTGCAGCTTGTGGGGCATCACGGAACCTGCTGACATGTGATGTCTCCCCCGGACACCCAACTTTAAAATTTCTCTCTTTGGACTCTGTCCCTTCATTTCTCAGACTGGCTGACACTTAGGGAAAACAGAAAACAGAAAATTTTTGCCTGATATCTGGCTGAATTTCGCCCGACATCTGGCTGAATTTCCCCTGATATCCTGGGGTTTCAGTTTTCCCCTGTCTGAAATCACTGCTTTCAAGCTGTCAAATTTCAGTGAATACATTTGCTCCACTGGATATCACATGAGTATTCCATCAACTGTGAGGTCATGACCCTCTCAGTAGGTGTAGTACCCATACTCAGTAGGTGTAGTACCGGGGCTTGGATTTTAGCAGTGTAGGGAGGATGAGGCAGATTTTCTCATGCCAGAAATCACGCAGGATGTTTACATGTAGGAAACTACAACCTAACACTGATGAGTTCATGGAGCAGGGTGGGATTGTGTAGGATAGTTCATCACTGTGCCTGAGGTTCTCTCCAGTGTAACAAAGTTTTTTCAAAAGACCTTACAATTGGAAAGGAACAAATACAAAAAAAACCTCCTCATTTACATAATATAAGAGTATATGCAGACAATCCTATCAATGTAAAAATGCTTCTAGAATGAATACAACTTTAGCAATGTTGGTGGATTTAAGACCATTATACTTGTATTTTAATAATAGCAATAAACAATTGGCAATTGAGACAAACATAGTACAATTTAAATTAACATTAGAAAATATAAATTGAAAGGGATAAATATGACAGAAGATGTAGAAGATCTGTCCATTGAAAACTATAAAGCATTACAAAGATAAATTCAATGAGGATATATGTAAATAGAGATACAAACTTTATTCATGAGTCAGAAAACTGAATATTAAGATGTCATTTATTTTTCCTCAACTTTTTTGATAGATTCAATGCAATCAAAATCCAAATTCCAGATTTTTTAAAATAGAAATTGGGAGGCTAGCACTAACATTGATATAGAAATGTAAAGGTCCTAGAATAGCCAAAGAAAACATTAAAAAATAAACATTAGACCTAAAACCATAAAAACCCTAGAAGAAAACCTAGGCATTACCATTCAGGACATAGGCATGGGCAAGGACTTCATGTCTAAAACACCAAAAGCAATGGCAACAAAAGCCAAAATTGACAAATGGGATCTAATTAAACTAAAGAGCTTCTGCACAGCAAAAGAAACTACCATCAGAGTGAACAAGCAACCCACAAAATGGGAGAAAATTTTTGCAACCTACTCATCTGACAAAGGGCTAATATCCAGAATCTACAATGAACTCAAACAAATTTACAAGAAAAAAACAAACAACCCCATCAAAAAGTGGGCAAAGGACATGAACAGACACTTCTCAAAAGAAGACATTTATGCAGCCAAAAAACATATGAAAAAATGCTCACCATCACTGGCCATCAGAGAAATGCAAATCAAAACCACAATGAGATACCATTTCACACCAGTTAGAATGGCAATCATTAAAAAGTCAGGAAACAACAGGTGCTGGAGAGGATGTGGAGAAATAGGAACACTTTTACACTGTTGGTGGGACTGTAAACTAGTTCAACCATTGTGGAAGTCAGTGTGGCTATTCCTCAGGGATCTAGAACTAGAAATATCATTTGACCCAGCCATCCCATTACTGGGTATATACCCAAAGGACTATAAATCATGCTGCTATAAAGACACATGCACATGTATGTTTATTGCGGCATTATTCACAATAGCAAAGACTTGGAACCAACCCAAATGTCCAACAGTGGATAGACTGGATTAAGAAAATGTGGCACATATACACCATGGAATACTATGCAGCCATAAAAAATGATGAGTTCATGTCCTTTGTAGGGACATGGATGAAATTGGAAATCATCGTTCTCAGTAAACTATCGCAAGAACAAAAAACCAAACACCGCATATTCTCACTCATAGGTGGGAATTGAACAATGAGAACACATGGACACAGGAAGGGGAACATCACACTCTGGGGACTGTTGTGGGGTGGGGGAAGCGGGGAGGGATAGCATTGGGAGATATACCTAATGCTAGATGACGAGTTAGTGGGTGCAGCGCACCAGCATGGCACATGTATACATGTGTAACTAACCTGCACATTGTGCACATGTACCCTAAAACTTAAAGTATAATAATAATAAATAAATAAATAAATAAATAAATAAATAAATAAATAAAAAATAGAACAAATGTGGTGGGGTTACCCTACTTCATTTCAAGGCTTATAAACTAACAATGATCAGTGTAGTCGGAATTATCATTATTATAAGAATATATCAATGGAAGGGAATAAAGCCCAATAGTATATACACATGTATATGCATATATAGACAACTAATTATTAATAAAGATGCAAATGAAGGTGAGAGGAGAGAAATGGCAGTGTATTCAACAATTGGGTCTGGAACAATTGGATAGCTCATATGGTTTGGCTCTGTGTCCCCACCCAAATCTCACCTGGAATTATAATTCCCATAATCTCCGTATGTCAAGGGCAGGACAAGCTGAAGGTAATTGGATCATGAGGGCAGTTTCCCCAGGGCTGTTCTCATGACAGTGAGTGAGTTTCACGAGATCTGATGGTTTTATAAGCATCTGGCATTTCCCTTGCTTGCACTCACTCCATCCTGCCACCCTGTAAAGCTGCCGGCTTCTCCTTTGACTTCCTCCATGATTGTAAGTTTCCTGAGGCCTCCCCAGTAATGTGGGAACTATCAGTCAATTAAACCTCTTTCCTTTATAAATTACCCAGTCTTAGGTATTTCTTCATACCCAAGTGTGAGAATGGACTAATACACTAAATTGGTACTGAGGTAGTGTGGGGCATTGTTATAAGATACCTGAGAATGTGGAAACGCCTTTGGAACTGGGTAATGGGCAGATATTGGAACACTTTGGAGGGCTCAGAAGAAGACAGGAAAATATGGAAAAGTTTGAATCTTCTTAGAGATTGTTGAATGGCTTTGACCAAAATGTTGATAGTGATATGGACAATGAAGTCCAGGCTGAGGTGGTCTCAGATGGAAATGAGGAACCTGTTGTGAATTGAAATAAAGGTGACTCTTGCTATGCTTTAGCAAAGAGACTGGCAACATTTTGCCCCTGCCCTAGAGATCTGTGGAACTTTGAACTTGAGAGAGATGATTTAGGGTTTTTGGTGGAAGAAATTTCTAAGCAGCAGAGCATTCGAGAGGCCTGGATAACTACGAAAGCATTCAGTTTTATGCATCCACAGAGACGGTTTGAAATTGGAACTTTTGTTTAAAAGGAAAGTGGAGCTTAAACGTTTAGGAAATTTGCAGCCCAATGATGTGACAGAATAGAAAAATCTCGTTTTCTGAGAAGAAATTCAAGCTGGCTGAAGAAATTTGTATAAGTAACTAGGAGCCAAATGTTAATCACCAAGACAATGGGGAAAATGTCTCAAGGGTATGTCAGGTCCTCCTGTCACAGGCCCAGAGGCCTAGGAGCAAAAAGTGGTTTCTTGGGCCAGGCTGAGGGTCTTGCTGCTTTGTGCAATCTCAGTACTTGGTGCCCTGTGTCCCAGCCATGGCTAAAAGCGGCCAATGTACAGCTGAGGCCATTGTTTCATAGGGTGCAAGCCCCAAGCCTTGGTGGCTTACATGTGGTGCTGGTCCTGCCAGTGCACAGAAGTCAAGAATTGAGTTTTGGGAACTTCTGCCTAGATTTCAGAGGATGTATGGAAATGTCTGGAAGTCCAAGCAGATGTTTGCTGCAGGGGTGGAGCCCTTAGGGAGAACCTCTGCTAGGGCAGTACAGAAGGAAAACAGAGTCCCCACTGGGGCATTGCCCAATGGAGCTGTGAGAAGAGGGCCACTGTCCTCCAGATCCCAGAATGGTCGATCCACCGACAGCTTTTGCTGTGTGCCTGGAAAAGCTGCAGACACTCAATGCTAGCACATAAAGGCAACTGGGAGGGGGACTGTACCCTGCAAAGCAAAAGGAGTGGAGCTGCCGAGGCCATGAGAGCCCACCTCTTGTATCAGTGTGACCTGGATGTGAGACATGGAGTCAAAGGAGATCATTTTGGAACTTTAAGGTTTAATGACTGCCCTGTTGGATTTCAGACTTGCATGGGGCCTGTAGCCCCTTTGTTTTGGCCCAGTTCTCCCATTTGGGATGGGTGTATTTATGTAATGTTGGTACCCCCATTGTATCTAGGAAGTAACTAATTTGCTTTTGATTTTACTGGCTCATAGGCAGAAGGGACTTGCCTTGTCTTAGATGAGACTTTGGATTTGGACTTTTGGGTTAATTTGAGAATGAGTTAAGACTTTGTGGGGCTGTTGGAAAGGCAAGATTGTGTTTTGAAATGTGACAACGTGAGATTTGGAAGTGAACAGTGGCAGAATGATACAGTTTGGCTGTGTGTCCCCACCCAAATCTCCTCTTGAATTGCAATCCCCATAATCCACACAGGTCAAGGGCAGGACCAGGTGGAGGTAATTGGATCACAGGGACAGTTTGCTCCATGTTGTTCTCACGATAATGGGTGAGTGTCACAAGATCTGATGGTTTTATATGCATCTGACATTTCCCCTGCTTGCACTCTCTCCATCCTGCTGCCCTGTGAAGAAGGTGCCTGCTTCTCCTTTGCCTTCTGCCATGATTGTAAGTTTCCTGAGGCCTCCCCAGCAATGTGGAACTGTGAGTCTATTAAGCCTGTTTTCTTTTAAATTACCCAGTCTTGGATATTTCTTCATAGCAGTGTGAGAACAGACTAATACAATATCTATATGCAAACCCGAATTTCAATGCATACTCTATCTATTTATCTATCTAGCTAAAAAGGGAGAGACAGAAAACAGAAAGATATATACGGAATTATCTCACGGGATTATGAGGTCTAGTACATTAAAAATCTGTAAAGTGCACCAGCAGGCTAGAAATTCACACAGCATTTTTATATTACAGTCTTGTGTTAGAATACCTTTTCCAGGAATACTTGTTTTTTTCTCTTGAGACATTCAACTAGTTGGATGAGGCCCACCAACATTATGGAGGGTAAACTGCTTTACTTAAATTCAACCAATTGCAGATGTTGATCATATCTACAAAATACCTTCACAGAAACATCTAGACTAGTGTTTGACCACACAACTGAGTACTATAGCCTAGACAAGTTGACACATAAAGCTAACCACCAAACATATCTTGCACCATATAAAAATGTAACTCAAGGAGAACACATGGACACAGGGAGGGGAACATCACACACCAGAGCCTGTTGCGGGGTGGGGGGATAGGGGAGGGGGAACATTCAGAAAAATACCTAATGTATGCAGAGCTTAAAATCTAGATAACAGGTTGATAGGTGGAGCAAATCACCATGGCACATGTATATCTTCGTAACAAACCTGCAAGTTCAACACATTTATCCCAGAACTTAAAGTAAAATTTAAAAAAAGATATACACAATAAAAAAATGTAACTCAAAATGAACCATAGACCTAAACGTCAGCATCATTTTATTTCTAGGAGAAAACAGAAGAAGTATTCTGTTATCTGGGGCTATGTCTTAGTCAGCTTTGGCTGCCGTAACAAAATGCCATGGAGTCAGTAGATGAAACAACAGAGATTTATTTTTTTAACAGTTGTGGAGGCTAGAAATCCCAGGTCAAGGACTGGTATTGTCATTTACTGGTGATGGGCTTATTCCTGGCTTGTAGATGCCCTTTGTTCATTATGTCCTTCATTGGCCTTTCCTCTGTGCATGTGCATGGAGAGGGGGTGGGGAGTGCTCATGTAGGCACAAGAATGCTTTCTTGTGTCCCTTCTTATAAGCTCACTAATTCTATGAGATCAAGGTGCCACCCTTGTGATATCCTTTAACATTAATTAAATCCTTAGAGGCCTCATCTCCAAATATGGACACCCTTGAAAACGGGCTTCAAAATATGAATGTGGTGGAGGACATAAGCATTAACAAAGAATAGACACATAGATCAGAATAGAGCTAGGAAATAGACCTACATATATATAGTCAGGTGATTTACAACAAAGGCAATAATGGTGAATGTATATTTTTTCTAACAAATGGAGCTTGAATAATTGGACATCTATACAAAAACAATAATAATTGGACATCTATACAAAAACAATAATAATGTTAATTATAATTGTAATAATAATAATGTAATAATTGCATAATTGTAATAATAATAATGATAATTATAATTATAAACAAATCCTTAGGTATTTCACGAAAATTAACCAAAGATACATCATAGAGATAATGCAAATGCAAAAACTATACAACTTCTCTAAGAAAACATAAGAGAATATCTACGTAAGCTTAAGTTTGGTGATGTGTTTTTAAATTCAACACCAAAATCATGATCAATGAAAGAAAAAATTGCCAAATTGGAGTGTATTAAAATAAAAGTCTTATGCTCTTCAAAAGACACTGTAAACAGAATGAAAACAAAAGCTGCGGACTAAGAGAAAACATCTGTAGTACACATTTCTGATAAACAACATGTATCTATAATATACACGGATTCTTAAAACTCAACAACAGAAAAATAACTGAAAACAGTCAAAAGATCTGAACAGATGTTTCACCAAAGAAGATATACAGATGACAAGTAAACATATTGAAGGTGCTGAAAGTCCTTTGTCATTAGAGAATTGTGTGCTAAAATGAGACACCACTACATACCTTCTAGAATGTCTGAAATCCCTCCCCCCACCAAAAAAATACAAGACCAATTGCTAGTGAAAACGTGGAACAACAGAAACTTTCATTCATTACTGGTAGAAATGCAAAACGACTTTGGAAGTTAATCTGACATTTTCTTTAAAAAACTAAACATAGTCTTACCATAAGATTCAGCAATCATACTCCTAGGCATTTTATCTAGCTGATTTTAAAATTTATTTCTACATAAAAACTTGTATATGAATGTATACAATAACTTATTTTATAATCACTATTTTATAAAAATAGAGGCATCCAAGATATATTGCATTAGGTGAATGGATAACAAAACATGGCACAACCATAAAATGAGCTACCATTAGTCAATAAAAGGATATGTTACAAGCCACACAAAGACATGGGTGAGTCTTATGCTCATATTGCTGTATGAAAGAATACAGTCTGAAAAGCCTAGATAGGGTAAGATTTCACTTATATGACATTCTGGAAAAGGCAAAATTATAGATATCATAAACCTATCAGTGGGAGCCAAGGGGGCTATAAGAGGAGCACAGGCTACTTATTAGTGCAGTGAAACTACTATGCATGATACTGCAATGGTGGATACAACGTTGTCTGGGTCTCAATGTTTGTCTTTCCAGAAAATTCATATGTTGAAATCCTAACACCAAGGTGATGGTATTAGGTATGAGGTGGGTCATTTGGGGGCTGATTAAATCATGACAGCAGAGCCGTCATGAATAGCATTAGTGTCTTTATTAAACAGATCCCACAGAGATCCCTTGCCCCGTCTTCCATGTGAGGACATGGGAAAGAGAGCTGTCTATGAACTGGGAAGCAGGTTCCTGCCAGACACAAAATTTGTCAGCAAATGTTGAACCTGATCTTGGACTTCCCAGCCACCAGAAGCATGAGAAATAAAATTCTGTCATTTATATGCCACCCAGTCTATGGTATTTTTGTTCGGGCAGCCCGAATGGACCAAGACAAGGGCAGCAGACATTTTTCAAAACCCACAGATGCTTACAGCACAAAAAGTGAAGCTTAAAGTGTGCAAATTTTAAAAATAAGAGGTTGGAAAAATCATAGGACAGAATGCAGAATGTTGCACGTGTGCGCACGCACACACACACATAAACCTAGATGTATTATAAATGTATGAAATTACCTCAGTGAAGCAAGTGGGGGGAATTATGAGGTCGTTATTACTGTCTTAATAATGTTGAAAATTAGTGGAGTCTGTAAGACTAAAGGCCAAAGGAGCTACACAGAAGTACTGCACTGTAACTGATACAAGGTTTGTTTGTTTGTTTGTTTGTTTTTCTTATGGAGGCACAACGTTATGGGTTACCAAATCCAAATCTGCTGTATGCACATGCTGGTATTAAACTATTAACTAAATGGTTAGTGGATGATGGGAGACAGGTTTCTCACGGATGGAGTGATAGACTATAGAAAAACAAGAAGAGAAAGCTAGAATGATCCTTGTGGTAACGGATTAGAGTTGAAGACCTCAGTATAAAATTGTATTTAATTTAATATATAGGCAAATGTTTACATATATAAATTCAACAGATGTGTATATACGTGGTATATACAAACATATATTTCATTGTTCTCAGCAGAGAAGCCTATGACTAAAAACTACTCTGTAGCAACGAGCACACCTAGAACCCAGATGTCGATTCCCACCTAGAACCATTTCCCAATGAAGCGAACCAGACCTCTGGAGAAATAGCTTAGTTTAGCACTGGGGCAGGGCATAAACAAGATGAACCAGGAGCATCTTGTAGCCCTAGAAATGAAGGGCTGAAGAATATGATAAAGGACATCACAGTGTTGCATTCAGCAAAACCCAGACTATGGAAAACTGCAGAGAGCGCAAGATCTGTTTCTTTCCAAAAACAACAAAACAATGGCAGGGAAAGAGGTCCAGTGGAGGGGACCTACAGATGACGAAAGAGTTAAGGGTTATAACGACAAAAAAAATCACTGTATAATACCGTGTTTGGGCTCTCATTCAAATAAACATACTTTTACAAAGTGTAAGTCTGCCAGATAAGTGTGTAAATCAGTTAAACATCTGATAACCATTTATTTAATTTTTTTAGAAATGAAAACTGTATTGGGATTTTAGTTAACATAAAGTTCTTAACTTTTAGAAAAACATATTGAAGTATTTAGAGATGAAATGGAATGATGTCTTAGATTTGCTCCACATTATTCCAGCAGCTGAGATACAAGTAGGTGAGCCTCAAACTGGAACCAGATATGACATGTATTGAAGGTTGTTGATGCTGAGTGACAGGTGTTCTGGTTTCATTATGTTATTCTATTATTCAAGGTTTTTGAGGCGCTCCCTAAGAAAAAGTTTTTATCGCAAATTTCACACCGTTTAAAGTGAAATCCTATGTGAAACTGAACACTTTGCAGAAATAAAATAAATACATTTCCAAATTGGTCCAAAAAGGAAAAGAAAACTTAAACTATACAAACAGAAATGGTACAATATTCATAGCTCAAGCCACCCTCAAATGTTCCAGTCTAGGCAGTCTTGGAGGCCGATTGAACAAAATGATCAGGAAAAACTAACTACCATCTTACCTCAACTCTTCCAAGGCATACAAAATATAGACTATCGTTCAATTCCTTCTCCCAGACTTGCCCTCTTGGATACAAAAACCAGATGAGGACCACCCCCACCCATGGACAAAAACACATCAAGGAAGCTCTCATACATAACACCACATATCCTACATAAGTTAGTAGCATATTAAATGAACAAACAGGCTCTGCCCAAGGAAAGAAAATATGATTTATTGTTACAAAAAAGAAACGTATTTCATTGTAATTCCTTACATACAAAATGGAGAAGAAAAAGATAAGTGCTCATATCACTGGGTATAGGAAAAGCTTTTGAAGGAAATTCAATATGAGTTCAAAGTAAACATATTTAGTTAACTTCTTTTGAAAGAGAATTTCCATTTACTAAAATCAACAGCAAACATACATAAATGCTAAATGTTCGAGGACTTATTATTAAAGAGAGGAAAAATAATTAGATGTAAGGTATTATCTCCAGCTTTTAAATCAGTATTGAGACACAAAGTCAGAGCTATAAATATCAACATAAATAAGGAGTATGAATAGTGGAAAAAATATATAATGTTTAGTGATAACATGATCAGTCTTGAAAATTCAAAGGAGTAGGCATGTGGAAGATTCAAGTGAATGGGCCTTCAGAATGAGGTATACAACAGATTATAATAGCAAAATCAAAATCTTTGCCAGATGAAAGCAATCAGTAACTAGAACACTTAATATACAATATGCCTTTTTCAATAGCATCAAAATCCAAGAATTACCTGAAAAGAAGCCTAGTAAAAATGCAGAAGGTCTTTATAGAGGCAACAATCACAGTATACTGACAGATTCAAGTAAAAGGAGTTTGAAATTAATACATGAGGCTGGGTGCGATGGCTCATGCCTGTAATCCCAGTATTTTGGGAGGCTGAGGCGGGCAGATCACCTGAGGTCAGGAGTTCCAGACACACCTGGCCAATATGTTGAAACCCCATCTCTACTAAAAATACAAAAATTAGCTGGGTATGGTGCCATGCACCTGTAATCCCAGCTACTCAGTAGGCTAAGGTAGGAGAATCACTTGAACTTGGGAGGTGGAGATTACAGTGAGCCGAGATAGTGCCACTGCACTCCAGCCTGGTAGACAGAGGGAGATGCCATCTTTCTCTCTCTCTCTCTCTCTCTCTATATATATATATATATATATACACACACTCACACACACATATTATAGAGGAGCATAGCATATTCATTGATGAGAAAGAGAACACTGTAAAAATGTCAAATGTGCTTCAATTATGTACAATTATGTACAAATTATGTCTTACCTGTGGCTGCCAACGTGACAATCAAATTTGGGCTGCTGTTCTCTGCTTCACAAATCAACCCTGGAAAATTATAGAAGGGAAAAAGAAGGAGAAAGACACAATATCAGCAACAAAGTCTAAGCAACAAAATAGAGAAAGCCCTGGGTGATGCTGAAGATGGTTGAACTGGTAATTGTGTTTGACACTTGCAGTCTCGGTTGGAGGGGGGGTGGCAGCAGGGATACTGGGGAGGTCTGTACCCTGCCTAGACTGCAGTTGACAAAATGGTTACAATGAAAGTTTTCAAATTTCCACTTCACATCATTACACAGTCTGAGGCAGCTCCTCAAAACATGATGCTAGTAGCCCTAGGGCAACAGCAGGACACCAGTTAAACAGGGCTGGTTAAGACAGTATGGATCAAGAGTTCCACTAATAACAACCAGACACCAACATAGTGGGTGAGAAATTGTGTTTCAAAAAAAATTATTTCAACAGAACGTAAAGAATGGAAAAGAAGTAGAATAGGATATAAGAGTGAATCATGCATACTACTGGTAGGTATTCTTTCCTAGAAATAAATACATATATATATACAGCTACCTACATATATCCTTGGAAGATACGAAAAGTGTATTTCTTTTTCATTTTTTAAATTTTTTGAGACAGAGTGTCACTCTGTCGCGAGGCCCACGCTAGAGTTCAATGGCACGATCTCGCCTCACTGCAAACTCCGCCTCCAGGTGCAAGCGATTCTCACGCCTCAGCCTCCTGAGCACTACCACACCCAGCTAATTTTTGTATTTTGTGTAGAGACGGGGTTTCACCATGTTGGCCAGGCTGGTCTTGAACCCCTGACCTCAAGTGATCTGCCCGCCTCGGCCTCTCAAACTGTTGGGATTACAGGCGTGAACCACCGTGCCTGGGAGTAAAACATATTACTTTGAGGACAAAAGGTTTGCCAAGTGTAGCTCTGGCTGGAGAGAAGCCCCCGTGGGAAGGTGTGCGTCTTCTCCCAGAGGTCACTACAATCGCGGGAGCTGCCACTCTGCAGGGAGCACCTGGCCTGGGACCTGCAGCCATTCTCTGCAATGGGTGCAGCTGGGCAAATGCTCAGAGATGGCAGAAACAGCATCTCCCGCCCATGACTTCAACAAAGTGCCAGGAGCCGGGAGGAGGACCTTCCTGAGTGGGGACAGAGGGTCCACTCTCCCGACGTAGATGGGCCACAGAATGCAGCTCAGCCCCTCCTGTCAGCCCTGGAAGACCCTGGCAATGTTACCACGACCACACCCCCCCTCCCATTGCCACCTCATGGGACTGGGGGCCAGAGACTTGGTGGGAGAGAAGCAGACACAATCGGCAGAGAATATGGGTGTCCAGATTCTGCCAGGCATGAAAGTCAGGACCCTGAGGGGTGACCGAGGGTCCCCCAACCCCACGCCCAACCCCACTACCACCAACACGACGACTTAAGCCCCGGGGCACCACTGGCATCCCTCCCCCTACCACCCCCAATCCCTCCCTTTACGCCACCCATCCAAACATCTTCACGCTCACCCCCAGCCCAAGCCAGGCAGAATCCGGTTCCACCCCTGCTCTCAACCCAGGGAAGCCCAGGTGCCCAGATGTGACGCCACTGACTTGAGCATTAGTGGTTAGAGAGAAGCGAGGTTTTCGGTCTGAGGGGCGGCTTGAGATCGGTGGAGGGAAGCGGGCCCAGGCTCTGTAAGGAGGCAAGGTGACATGCTGAGGGAGGACTGAGGACCCACTTACCCCAGATAGAGGACCCCAAATAATCCCTTCATGCCAGTCCTGGACCATCTGGTGGTGGACTTCTCAGGCTGGGCCACCCCCAGCCCCCTTGCTGCTTAAACCACTGGGGACTCTGAAGTCAGAGCTCGTGTGATCAGGGAAGGGCTGCTTAGGAGAGGGCAGCGTCCAGGCTCTGCCAGACATCATGCTCAGGATTCTCAAGGAGGGCTGAGGGTCCCTAAGACCCCACTCCCGTGACCCAACCCCCACTCCAATGCTCACTCCCGTGACCCAACCCCCTCTTCATTGTCATTCCAACCCCCACCCCACATCCCCCACCCCATCCCTCAACCCTGATGCCCATCCGCCCAGCCATTCCACCCTCACCCCCACCCCCACCCCCACGCCCACTCCCACCCCCACCCAGGCAGGATCCGGTTCCCGCCAGGAAACATCCGGGTGCCCGGATGTGACGCCACTGACTTGCGCATTGTGGGGCAGAGAGAAGCGAGGTTTCCATTCTGAGGGACGGCGTAGAGTTCGGCCGAAGGAACCTGACCCAGGCTCTGTGAGGAGGCAAGGTGAGAGGCTGAGGGAGGACTGAGGACCCCGCCACTCCAAATAGAGAGCCCCAAATATTCCAGCGCCGCCCTTGCTGCCAGCCCTGGCCCACCCGCGGGAAGACGTCTCAGCCTGGGCTGCCCCCAGACCCCTGCTCCAAAAGCCTTGAGAGACACCAGGTTCTTCTCCCCAAGCTCTGGAATCAGAGGTTGCTGTGACCAGGGCAGGACTGGTTAGGAGAGGGCAGGGCACAGGCTCTGCCAGGCATCAAGATCAGCACCCAAGAGGGAGGGCTGTGGGCCCCCAAGACTGCACTCCAATCCCCACTCCCACCCCATTCGCATTCCCATTCCCCACCCAACCCCCATCTCCTCAGCTACACCTCCACCCCCATCCCTACTCCTACTCCGTCACCTGACCACCACCCTCCAGCCCCAGCACCAGCCCCAACCCTTCTGCCACCTCACCCTCACTGCCCCCAACCCCACCCTCATCTCTCTCATGTGCCCCACTCCCATCGCCTCCCCCATTCTGGCAGAATCCGGTTTGCCCCTGCTCTCAACCCAGGGAAGCCCTGGATGGCCCGATGTGAAACCACTGACTTGAACCTCACAGATCTGAGAGAAGCCAGGTTCATTTAATGGTTCTGAGGGGCGGCTTGAGATCCACTGAGGGGAGTGGTTTTAGGCTCTGTGAGGAGGCAAGGTGAGATGCTGAGGGAGGACTGAGGAGGCACACACCCCAGGTAGATGGCCCCAAAATGATCCAGTACCACCCCTGCTGCCAGCCCTGGACCACCCGGCCAGGACAGATGTCTCAGCTGGACCACCCCCCGTCCCGTCCCACTGCCACTTAACCCACAGGGCAATCTGTAGTCATAGCTTATGTGACCGGGGCAGGGTTGGTCAGGAGAGGGCAGGGCCCAGGCATCAAGGTCCAGGCATCCGCCCGGCATTAGGGTCAGGACCCTGGGAGGGAACTGAGGGTTCCCCACCCACACCTGTCTCCTCATCTCCACCGCCACCCCACTCACATTCCCATACCTACCCCCTACCCCCAACCTCATCTTGTCAGAATCCCTGCTGTCAACCCACGGAAGCCACGGGAATGGCGGCCAGGCACTCGGATCTTGACGTCCCCATCCAGGGCTGATGGAGGGAAGGGGCTTGAACAGGGCCTCAGGGGAGCAGAGGGAGGGCCCTACTGCGAGATGAGGGAGGCCTCAGAGGACCCAGCACCCTAGGACACCGCACCCCTGTCTGAGACTGAGGCTGCCACTTCTGGCCTCAAGAATCAGAATGATGGGGACTCAGATTAGCATGGGGGTGGGACCCAGGCCTGCAAGGCTTACGCGGAGGAAGAGGAGGGAGGACTCAGGGGACCTTGGAATCCAGATCAGTGTGGACCTCGGCCCTGAGAGGTCCAGGGCACGGTGGCCACATATGGCCCATATTTCCTGCATCTTTGAGGTGACAGGACAGAGCTGTGGTCTGAGAAGTGGGGCCTCAGGTCAACAGAGGGAGGAGTTCCAGGATCCATATGGCCCAAGATGTGCCCCCTTCATGAGGACTGGGGATATCCCCGGCTCAGAAAGAAGGGACTCCACACAGTCTGGCTGTCCCCTTTTAGTAGCTCTAGGGGGACCAGATCAGGGATGGCGGTATGTTCCATTCTCACTTGTACCACAGGCAGGAAGTTGGGGGGCCCTCAGGGAGATGGGGTCTTGGGGTAAAGGGGGGATGTCTACTCATGTCAGGGAATTGGGGGTTGAGGAAGCACAGGCGCTGGCAGGAATAAAGATGAGTGAGACAGACAAGGCTATTGGAATCCTCACCCCAGAACCAAAGGGGTCAGCCCTGGACACCTCACCCAGGATGTGGCTTCTTTTCACTCCTGTTTCCAGATCTGGGGCAGGTGAGGACCTCATTCTCAGAGGGTGACTCAGGTCAACGTAGGGACCCCCATCTGGTCTAAAGACAGAGCGGTCCCAGGATCTGCCATGCGTTCGGGTGAGGAACATGAGGGAGGACTGAGGGTACCCCAGGACCAGAACACTGAGGGAGACTGCACAGAAATCAGCCCTGCCCCTGCTGTCACCCCAGAGAGCATGGGCTGGGCCGTCTGCCGAGGTCCTTCCGTTATCCTGGGATCATTGATGTCAGGGACGGGGAGGCCTTGGTCTGAGAAGGCTGCGCTCAGGTCAGTAGAGGGAGCGTCCCAGGCCCTGCCAGGAGTCAAGGTGAGGACCAAGCGGGCACCTCACCCAGGACACATTAATTCCAATGAATTTTGATATCTCTTGCTGCCCTTCCCCAAGGACCTAGGCACGTGTGGCCAGATGTTTGTCCCCTCCTGTCCTTCCATTCCTTATCATGGATGTGAACTCTTGATTTGGATTTCTCAGACCAGCAAAAGGGCAGGATCCAGGCCCTGCCAGGAAAAATATAAGGGCCCTGCGTGAGAACAGAGGGGGTCATCCACTGCATGAGAGTGGGGATGTCACAGAGTCCAGCCCACCCTCCTGGTAGCACTGAGAAGCCAGGGCTGTGCTTGCGGTCTGCACCCTGAGGGCCCGTGGATTCCTCTTCCTGGAGCTCCAGGAACCAGGCAGTGAGGCCTTGGTCTGAGACAGTATCCTCAGGTCACAGAGCAGAGGATGCACAGGGTGTGCCAGCAGTGAATGTTTGCCCTGAATGCACACCAAGGGCCCCACCTGCCACAGGACACATAGGACTCCACAGAGTCTGGCCTCACCTCCCTACTGTCAGTCCTGTAGAATCGACCTCTGCTGGCCGGCTGTACCCTGAGTACCCTCTCACTTCCTCCTTCAGGTTTTCAGGGGACAGGCCAACCCAGAGGACAGGATTCCCTGGAGGCCACAGAGGAGCACCAAGGAGAAGATCTGTAAGTAGGCCTTTGTTAGAGTCTCCAAGGTTCAGTTCTCAGCTGAGGCCTCTCACACACTCCCTCTCTCCCCAGGCCTGTGGGTCTTCATTGCCCAGCTCCTGCCCACACTCCTGCCTGCTGCCCTGACGAGAGTCATCATGTCTCTTGAGCAGAGGAGTCTGCACTGCAAGCCTGAGGAAGCCCTTGAGGCCCAACAAGAGGCCCTGGGCCTGGTGTGTGTGCAGGCTGCCACCTCCTCCTCCTCTCCTCTGGTCCTGGGCACCCTGGAGGAGGTGCCCACTGCTGGGTCAACAGATCCTCCCCAGAGTCCTCAGGGAGCCTCCGCCTTTCCCACTACCATCAACTTCACTCGACAGAGGCAACCCAGTGAGGGTTCCAGCAGCCGTGAAGAGGAGGGGCCAAGCACCTCTTGTATCCTGGAGTCCTTGTTCCGAGCAGTAATCACTAAGAAGGTGGCTGATTTGGTTGGTTTTCTGCTCCTCAAATATCGAGCCAGGGAGCCAGTCACAAAGGCAGAAATGCTGGAGAGTGTCATCAAAAATTACAAGCACTGTTTTCCTGAGATCTTCGGCAAAGCCTCTGAGTCCTTGCAGCTGGTCTTTGGCATTGACGTGAAGGAAGCAGACCCCACCGGCCACTCCTATGTCCTTGTCACCTGCCTAGGTCTCTCCTATGATGGCCTGCTGGGTGATAATCAGATCATGCCCAAGACAGGCTTCCTGATAATTGTCCTGGTCATGATTGCAATGGAGGGCGGCCATGCTCCTGAGGAGGAAATCTGGGAGGAGCTGAGTGTGATGGAGGTGTATGATGGGAGGGAGCACAGTGCCTATGGGGAGCCCAGGAAGCTGCTCACCCAAGATTTGGTGCAGGAAAAGTACCTGGAGTACCGGCAGGTGCCGGACAGTGATCCCGCACGCTATGAGTTCCTGTGGGGTCCAAGGGCCCTCGCTGAAACCAGCTATGTGAAAGTCCTTGAGTATGTGATCAAGGTCAGTGCAAGAGTTCGCTTTTTCTTCCCATCCCTGCGTGAAGCAGCTTTGAGAGAGGAGGAAGAGGGAGTCTGAGCATGAGTTGCAGCCAAGGCCAGTGGGAGGGGGACTGGGCCAGTGCACCTTCCAGGGCCGCGTCCAGCAGCTTCCCCTGCCTCGTGTGACATGAGGCCCATTCTTCACTCTGAAGAGAGCGGTCAGTGTTCTCAGTAGTAGGTTTCTGTTCTATTGGGTGACTTGGAGATTTATCTTTGTTCTCTTTTGGAATTGTTCAAATGTTTTTTTTTAAGGGATGGTTGAATGAACTTCAGCATCCAAGTTTATGAATGACAGCAGTCACACAGTTCTGTGTATATAGTTTAAGGGTAAGAGTCTTGTGTTTTATTCAGATTGGGAAATCCATTCTATTTTGTGAATTGGGATAATAACAGCAGTGGAATAAGTACTTAGAAATGTGAAAAATGAGCAGTAAAATAGATGAGATAAAGAACTAAAGAAATTAAGAGATAGTCAATTCTTGCCTTATACCTCAGTCTATTCTGTAAAATTTTTAAAGATATATGCATACCTGGATTTCCTTGGCTTCTTTGAGAATGTAAGAGAAATTAAATCTGAATAAAGAATTCTTCCTGTTCACTGGCTCTTTTCTTCTCCATGCACTGAGCATCTGCTTTTTGGAAGGCCCTGGGTTAGTAGTGGAGATGCTAAGGTAAGCCAGACTCATACCCACCCATAGGGTCGTAGAGTCTAGGAGCTGCAGTCACGTAATCGAGGTGGCAAGATGTCCTCTAAAGATGTAGGGAAAAGTGAGAGAGGGGTGAGGGTGTGGGGCTCCGGGTGAGAGTGGTGGAGTGTCAATGCCCTGAGCTGGGGCATTTTGGGCTTTGGGAAACTGCAGTTCCTTCTGGGGGAGCTGATTGTAATGATCTTGGGTGGATCCAGGGCCAGATTCTCAGACGGTGAGAGAAAAGCCTGGAATGGAAAGCTGCTCTGAGGAGTTTCTTTCGGATGGTGGATGAACAGAGGAGTCTCCACCTGAGCAGGATTGGAAAGTGTCCTATGCTTTTGTGCCAGTGCTTCTGAACACAGCGCAAGAGCTGCGTGATGGACACTCATCATCCGAAAGCATTTCCTGAGAGAGAAGCGTGAATCTCCCCGGAAGGGAGACCCAGAAGCCACTGGCCAGGCACTTTTCTGCCTGGCTGGGAGGACCAGGGCTGACTCTATTAAAAAGGCATCCTAATGAGGTTATCTCACGTGCAATTTGGCCAGTCGTAAGCAAGATTTCGTGTGGTGACAAAATGAATGAAAATAGTGGTTTGGATGGAAAGGTCTGTGGGAGAGAGGAAAGGAGTTGGTTTTTGACTCAAATTCTACGATCTTTGAGCTGCATCTGGCTAGGGAAACTCACATACCCAAATTTTGAAGTTCATTCTCTAAGAGGAAATACTTTACTGAATTTTATGGATGAAACTTCCCTCTTTGGTTAATTATTCCATGTCCTATTAAGTTGTATATTCTCTGATAAGTCCTGGAGAACAACAACAACAAAATCCCAGAGTGGTAGAGTCTGGGCTCAAATAATATTAGCAATAACAGCCACCTGCTAGCCATTAAACTTGTAATTTACTCCAGGCCCTGAGCCAGGTGCTTCACTTGCATGGCACACACTCCACCAGTCCTAGCGGAAGGGTCTAATCACACCTACTACACAGATGTAGAACCAGAGGCACGCAAGGCTTGGGTATTTCCCAGGATCACACGCCTAGTAAGGGACAGGGCTGGAACCGGATCCTGGACCTGAATTCCTGCAGAGCCCATGTTGTTCCCACTCCTCCCAGCCCGTGGCCCACCTCCTGAGTAATACTTCCTTTCTCTTCTCAACACTGTGCCGTATGTCTCTGGTGACAAAAAGAAGGACCCCGAGGCCAGCGTACTAAAAACAGGCCTGGGGAAGGTGACAGTGAGAATGAAACACCATTTGAGGCTGGTGTGCACTGGGTTCCTTGACAGCTGACTCTGCCAAGGTGTGGGCATTTCTGTCAGTCCCAGCACTTTCCCGAATTGCAGTGAGTTTCCCCTGGCCACTTCCATGTGTCCTGTCTCACTCTGGAACACGGGTTGCTGACCAGCTTGTCACTAGTCCCCACAGAACAGCCCAGAATCACCTGCTCACCCCATGACAGGCCACATTCCTTTTCCTTGTAGAAGTCCTCTGGATGTCCCATCTCTCACCCAGGAAGCTATGTGATATCAACACCCCTTTTGAATTCCCATGGGATAGTGATGTTTACACACCTGGTTACCACTCTGCTTATCTTCAGTACACTGTCCAAGTGCTTTATGAATGTGCTGAGTAGAGTCTGATTCGCCATATTATCTAAGCGTTCTTGGGATGTCGCCATGAAATTAGAAGGTTTTGGAACCACCTTGATACTTGAAATTGGACTTTATCAGGGTGTCTTATTTGGAGTTTACCTCTGAGCACATACACAGATGAATGCTTTAAAACCAAAGCCTCCCTCATGAGTATTAGATGAGGGGAAGCTTTGGAAATCAGTGGAACAAACATCTACTTACTGAACTCCTAAATCCCTGGAGGCCCTGATTCCTTGAAGACACTTCTGCTCTGATGGAAAACGAATAATTAAGCAGCTTTCTACTGCTGCTTGTCTGTTTAACTGCCTCGCAGGAAAATACTGGCTTTCAGTGTGCCTAGAGACACCTGACACGAGTTCAGACATGTGGAGGGTAGCAGAAACTCACAGGTTAAGATTTTGACCTGGAATCAAATGGACAAAAAAATTGCAGTCTACTCAGGATTCAAAGGGTCATGCAAAGGGAAGGCTTCCTGCTGAGACTTTCAAGATTCTTGGACAGTTAGTTGTGATCCTATATTTGAAAGCATTGTTCACATATTAGGCACTGGAAACAAGTTGGAGAACTTCAAGCCAAATGTGGCCTTTTCCGAAACTCCTTTGAGAAATGAGAAGGGTAGTGTAATGCCAAATACTACCAAATAATCATAATTGCTTTATTTATTTACTTATGAGGGATTCTCGCTCTGTTGCCCCGGTTGGAGTGCAGTGGCATGATCTCAGCTCACTGCAACCTCCGCCTCCTGGGTTCTAGCAATTCTCCTGCCTCAGCCTCCTGAGTAGCTGGGATTATAGGCACCCGCCACCATGCCCACCTAATTTTTGTATTTTAGTAGAGATGGGGTTTCGCCATGTTGACCAGGCTGGTCTCGAACTCCTGACCTCAAGTGATCCACCTGCCTTAGCTTTTCGTTGTGCAGCTACTAAGTAACAGTTTATGGGGGAGACTATAATGCTCACCCACATCTTGTCTCCTTCCCCTTTCTGGACACATGGGAACAGTAAGGCCCACTTACAGTTAGGAAGGGTCACGTGACTTTTCCTTGCCACCAAAACATGAACAGAGGTGTTTGTCACATCCCGGCATGTGAGAGCCAGTGTGCCATTTCCACACTTTCTCCCTCCTTTCAATGGTAAACAGGGCAGCTTCATTTTGACATGATGGAATCATAAGGTGGAAGCAGCCCGGATCCCTGGGTCATGTGAGAGTGAGGAGCCCCTGCCAAACCGCATCAGAACTTAGGTGCGCATATAATACACTTGAGTTGTGTCAGGCTATTCACATTTCAGGACTTGTCTGTTGCATTAACTAGTAGTTACTTAAACTGACAGAGCTACTCTTTCTGTTGTTAGGTATAAATATTTTTACTTAAAAGGTTGTACTGTGTATATTCTTAGGGCAAAAAATATAGAAATATAGATAATACACAAATTTCCCCTTTACAAAGTTCCTCCACAGTTTAACCCGCTCCTCAGAGGTCACCACAATGATCAGTCTTGTGTATTATTTTACAGCTGACTACAGGCTTTTCATGGACAGATAAAGTACAGCAATATGTCGTTTTTATTTAACATGCAAGAAGAGTGATGTACATATTGAACTGCAACTAACCTTTGTCAGTTTATAAAATGGATGCGGGATCTTTCTAAACAATACATATATAGATCTATCTCACTTTTCAAATTACATTCTATAATTCTAAAGTAGGCATACACCATAATTAATTAAACTCTTTCTGAAAGACACATAAGTTGTTTCTCATTTGCTATATGATGACTAGAATAAGATCAACATCTTTGAGTATAAATTTTTGGGCAAGCATGAGTGTTTTCTTATAAGAAAGATGTATAACATGGACATCGGGTTAAAGTGAAAAGGGTGGCAGACTGAACAGGTGCCAGGGAAGGACAGCAGACAGGAGATCCTCAGCCCGTGAGGGGCACTGGGAGGATCCAGGGGAGAGCAATTGCCAGCGTCCATGAGAGAGACCACATGTGAAACCAAGTCCACAGAGCCCCAGGCAGGCTGGCATTCACAGCTGTGAATCCAGAGTTCAGCCCAGTGGGGGCAGGGACCTGAGGAAGGCAAGGCGGAAGGGAGGAGGGAGGACAGGACAATGAACAGAAATAGTCTTGGGAAATCCAGGCACCATCATCACCAGCTGGAGGGGGTCGTGTGATCCGAATGGGCAGGCCTATTGGCTGAATGCACCAGCGGCATGCTGGACACCCCACCCTGCCTCAGACTCCCCTTCCTTCTCTCAGCAAGAGCTTGGCTGGCTCCCTGCATCATCCTGGGCTAGCTCCCTCTCCTGACCCCTCCAGTGGTCCTGTGCACCTTTGCCAGCGTTCCAGGGCTGGAAGCTGTCTTCATGCCTGCTGGGGGCTGGAGTTTTATCCCCTGGGGACCGTCCATAGAGGCTGGGCTATGTGAGTGGGTTGCTGACTGATGACCAACTGCCGAGATGGGCCAGGAATGCCAATGAGCCGTTGAAGGGGGCATGTGGCCACATGGAGGGGAAATTGGAGGAAGAGTGCCCTGAGACTAATCAGTCGAGACTCTGCAGATGAAGGGCTGGGTGTGGACGTGCGCTGAAAATGATCCAGGTGGTGACCCTGCCTCAGATGGACTCCTGTGGCTTCTGAGCTCTTGGCGCACAAGGGAGCAGGTGTCCCGGCGCTGTGATTGCTGGCCTGTGTTGCCCTCACACACTGGCTGGGATAGAGGGCTGGCCCAAGGTGTGGACATAGGCAGGTTGGATGGAAACCCAGTGGAGTTGGCACCTTCCCTTGTTAAACTGATGGGGATGTGCAGGGTTCAATGCAGGGAGCATCATGCACCATCCTGCTGGGAACATCCTCACCTCCATGACAGTGTTTGGGCCTGGTGAGGAGGCGTCCGTAGTAGCCCTCTCAATAGAAGTTTCCACGGGAACTGTGAACTCAGGTGAGCACAGGTGAGGGAACTGTGCATTTCTTTATGGAGGCAGGAGGCCCAGATGGGGCAGACTCCAAGATTTGAATCAGTGAATTCCCATCCCTGGTAATTTCATTCATTCATTCATTCATTCACTCACTCACTTACTCATTCATCCATTGATTCATCCATTTATTGAACATATGCTGAGGAAACACCAAGTCATGAAAACAAAAGAAAGTGGCAATGTTCTTAGTTCAGTCTGTCAGGGTGGGGGCAGATGGTGAGGTGGAAAGCCACGTGAGTGTTTTAGGAAGTGAGGGACTGTGAACTGATGGAGACAATCTCTATTGATCTGACTTCTGAGGCTGCTGACTAGGTGAAGTTGTCCCCTTAGTTGAGAGTGAAGGAGGAAAAGTTGGTGGTGATTTGATGAGGAAGAGTGTGGAGGACGGGGTCCATGTGCAGTATGTAGATGAGGAGGTGCTGTGCCTGTCCAGATGGAGCCTTTGCGTGAGCAGTAGGAAAATGGGTCTGTCAATTTGGATGGGGGCCAGGGCAGGACATTAGGTTTGGCTGCATCAGTAAGGGTGGTCTGAGGCCGTAGGTTTAGATTAAACAGACTGTTGTGCAGATTGTGGCCCACATGCTTGTATTAGTCAGGGTTCTCCAGAGAAATAGAAGCAATACGTTATGTTTTTATATAATACATAACCTATATAATAGGGACTAGGAAAGGAGCCACTGGTGTAAGTCCTGGAGCCTGAAGGCACAAGAACCAGGAGTTCCAATGTCTGAGGGCAGGTGAAGATGGATATTGCAGCTCAGAAATAGCTCAGAAATAGAGCTCATCCACCCTTCCTCCACCTTTTGCTACTCTCTGGGTCCTTAATGGATTGGATGAGGCCTGCTTACATTGGTGAGGGCAATTTTCTTTACTCAAGTGTACTGATTGGAATGCTAATCTCATTCAGAAATACCCTCTCAGCCACACCAGAAATAATGCTTTGTCAGCTATCTGGGCATCCTTTAGCCCAGGGCTTCCCAACCCATGGGCCGTGGACCAGTACTGGTTGGTGGTGGCCTGTTAGGAACCAGCACACAGGAGGAGATGAGCAGCAGGCAAGGGAGCATTGCTGCCTGAGCTTCACCTCCTGTCAGATCAGCAGTGGCGTTAGATTCTCACAGGATTATGAACTCTATTGTGAACTGTGCATGCCGGGGAACTAGGTTTCTCACTCCTTATGAGAATCTAACTAATGCCTGATGATCTGAGGTGGAACAGTTTCATTCTGATACCATCTCCCCACACCCACCCACCTCCCTACTCACCCCACCCCCAGTCCTTGGAAAAATTGTCTTCCAGGAAACCGGTTCCTGGTGCCAAACATGTGGGGGACCCCTGCTGCCTCAGCCTACCCAAGTTCACACATACAATTCATCATCACAACTCTACCCCATGTCACCTTATGTCACCTTGGCACCCATGTGCAGCTTCTTAAACCATAGTTACTCATCAAACAAAGACCATACCAACATCATAATTCTGTCTAACATGATACAACTATCCTGCCTACAACCAATACCAATCCTTTTCTCAGGAGAGGAAGTAAAATCCTTAAATGATGTTTTTTTCAGCTGATATCGCATAACATGAACATAGCATCATGTAAAATTAATAATACTTAAATACCGATGAAAAGTCACTGCGTCTTACGTTACCTGATAAGGAAATATGAGAGGAAAGAAAACAAAGATCTTTGCTTAACGTCACACACACACACACACACACACACACACACTCATAATAAAATAACAGTGAAATGACATTTTGAAGTCACAGTGACTGCCCCAGCTAGCTGATAATACTTTGCAGAGCTGGAGCAAAGTCCTCTTGAAGGCTGTATGTGCTCTGAATCAGCATTCAACATATGATGTCGTCTCTATCATAGCCAGGATTCACTGGTCCAGGAATCCAGGGGTGGAAATTGGAGTGGCAACATTCAGCATCACCCCTAGAGGCTCACTAGTAAATGTTTTGCTTCCTGTTTCCACAACAACTTTATGCTCTGCTGGCTAGAGGTCTTAGTTCTAGAGGAAGGAATGTTGCCACCAGGAGACACAACAGTGATTTCATGGAACTAGAAATTAAGACTGACACCCAGCCACTTTGGGCTTCTGGTGCCTCTGAGTCAAGAGGGTAAGAAGGGAGTAAGTGTGTTGCATGCAGTCATTGATGTCGACTAAACGGGGGACATTGGAGGATGACTCCACGATGAAGGTAAGGAAGAATATGTCTGGAAAACAGGGGATGCCTTAGGGTGTCTCTTAGTATTACTATACCCTGTGATTAAACTAAATGAGAAATTACCACAACCCAATCCAGGCAGAACTGTGAATGGCTAGACCCTTTAGGAATGAAGGTTTGTGTTACCCTACCAAGTACAGAACCCCGACCAGCTGAGGTGCTTGCTGAGGGCTAAAGGTATACAGAATGTGTAGCAGAAGAGGATGCTTATAAAACCCAGCTACCATATTGTGACCAGTGATAGAAATGAGAATTATAATAATCATGAGTATTTCCTCGCTATTTTATTGTGAATACGCTTGTCAGCAAAACCTAGAGTTTGATCCAAGTTGTGTGTATTAGTATGTTCTTCTTCTTTTTGTTGCTGAGCAGTATACCATTGTAAGATGCAGCACAGTTTAACCAACACCCATGGAAGGGTATTTGGGTGTGTAGAAAATGGAACCTTTTTAGGGCATGCAGGAAAGGGAACCCTTCCACACCACTGGCAGGAATGTGATTGGTACAACGTTATGAAAAACAGTATAACAGTTCCTCAGAAAATAAAAATTGATCCACCACATGACCCAGAAATCCATCGGTTGAGTATGCATTCTCCCCAGAAATGAAATCCACAACATATAGAGATATCTGCAGTACCACCTAATTCTAACTTATTAATCCTACAAGAAATAAGTGTTTCTAATTGAAAATAATGTTTTTTAACCACCCTGCCATCAAATATTTATTCTAATTATCTCTCCTTATTTCTTGCTATGTAATAACCTAGGTACTACTGCCCATTGACAGAACTAACTAATTATTCCAACAAGAACTCAGAAGTGTTGAAAAGAATGCAATTTCATTCTTTCTACCCTCAACCAGCTATTCTAGTTTTATGGAGGATTCTGTATTTAACTCTTACCCATGTAACTCTACTTACCATATTCATGGCACCTAGTCAACAATCCTAAAGATGATAAGAACACAGAGTTGACAAAGATGGTTACTCAACTTTGTACGTTCAACCAGATTTCCAGGTAATTGGGAATTGTTTATTCAATTATTTGCCAGGTATGACTGGGGGGTCTGGAATTATTTCACTAAGACATAAGAAGTAGTACTGAGGAGAATATGTTTATTCTAGGTACTGGCTTCATCTAGTTATCTCTACTTAATTATTCACCTTGGTAAAATAGATATCTATTGTATGAGGTAATATTTGTAACACTAGGTTGGGATTTGGCAAGGAGAAAAACGGTTATTCAACTCTCTGGCATAAGCCCATTATCTTTAGCTTCCTGAGATCAATTACTTGGTCTGGCTGTTTTTATTAGGTTGGTGTAAAAGTTATTGCAGTTTTCGCCATAACTAATTGATATCTTTAGGTTACTAAATACATGTTTACTGTCAGATGTCTGTGGTAATTTATTATCCCAACAAAAAATAATAGAATGATAAAGAAGGTTTTTCCTTATCCTGGCATCACACAGAGATTCAAGTTATCTACAGTTATCCTCCATAACTTTTTTCCTATATAACACTCAGCACCTGTCCTTTGAAGTTCTAAGCTCTTGTCCCCACTAAAACTAATAAATCAAATGTGAGTTGCAGAGAGCATGATTTTCAGGATCAGGCTTCACTTGGAAATGTAATGATTGGTAGCTGTTTCTATGTAACAAGTTTCTTGGGAAAACCCAGTTAAGTCGAACTTATTAATACGACAACGACAAAATTATATTTGACAAGAACAGGTTCCCTATTTTTTGCATTCCACTTAGTATCCTTGTTGTCTCTATTTTACTGCTTACTTAGGTACATGACTTACCTATAGTACTAATTCACTGTTAAATGTATATAATGTGTAGTGATTAAGTCAGGGTAATTAGAATGTCCATCACCTGAGTACAATACTTTTTTGTGAAGGACTGTCACCCTACTCTGCTATCAAACAATGAATTCATTGCTTCTATCTTACTGCAGGTTTGCTCCCTTCGACCCATTTCTCTTTGTCCTTCCCCCTCCTGACTCACTCTTCTTAATCTCTGTTCTCTACCTCTCAACTCTGTGCCACCATGCAACTAGAATTTTTAGCTCCCACATATAAGTGAAGACATGTGATATTCGTCTTTTTGTGCCTGGATTATTTCCCTGAAGGTAATGACCTCTAGTTCCATCCATGTTGCTGCAAATGACATGATTTCATTCTTTTTTTTTGTGGAAGAATAACATTTATTCATTGATGGGCACTTATGTTGATTCCACATCTTTGCTATTGTGGATAGTGCTGTAGTAAACGTGCAAGTGCAGGTATTTTTTGAAATATCAATTTATTTTCCTTTGGGTAGATACCCAGTAGTGGGATAGCCTCATCGAATGGTAGTACAATTTTTTATTTTATTTTTTAGGAATCTCCATACTGTTTTCCATGGTGGCTGTAGTAGTTCACATTCCCACCAACATGGTGTAAGAGTTCCCTTTTCTGCACAAACTTGTCAACATTTGTTATTTTTTTCTTTTGAAATAACAGCCATTCTGACTGGGGTAAGATGATATTTCATTGAGGTTTTGATTTACATTTCTCTGATGATTAGTGAAAGCAGACACCTATCTCTCCCTGTATATGAAAATCAACTGAAAATAGAGTGAAGACTTACATTTAAGATGTGAAAATATAAATACTAGAAGAAAACCTAGAGGAAAATCTCTTGGACATGGTCTAGGCAAAGAATTCCTGAGCAAGACTTCAAAAGCACAGGCAAGAAAAGCAACCAAAAGTAGACAAATGCAGTGCATTCAACTGAAAAGATTCTGCACAGAAAAAGACATAATCAACAGAGTAAAGAAACAGCCTGTTGAATGGGAGAAGATATTTGCAAACTATTTATCCAACGGGGGACTAATATCCAGAATACATTAGGAACACAAACAAGTTAACAGGAGAAAAATAACTCATTTAAAAAGTGAGCAAAGATTCTGAATAGACATTTCCCCAAAGAAGACATAGAAATGATGGACAGGTATATTAAAAAAGTGCTTCACATCACTCATCATCAGAGAAATGAGAATCAAAACCCATACTATTGTATTAGTGGAAAGTACAGGGCTTTTTATTAGCTAACCTCTGGAAGACTAACTTTATACAAATTCATTAATGCCCTTGGCACCATTGTTAGAAGCCAGAAACTTGGTGTAATGATCTGTAGAGGGGGAGTCATTCAATACCTGTGTTTTCCTGCCCTTAGATGAGAATGGAAAGGTGTCCATTGGATTTACTCTCAAAACATTAAGATAGACAAGTTCTACTTTGCTGCTAGATATGTCGTAAAATGATATAATGCAATCTGGATTACTCATGGAGCAGATACTCCATATTTTATGTTCTTTATTGCTTTCTCACTTTTCACATTTTACTTTACTAACCTCCATGGACTGTATTTGCAAAAAGAAGATGATGGTGTCAGAAAGTCACCAGATGGAGGAGTTGAGCTGCCACTGCTAATGTCAACCAGGCAGTCCCTGACAAATAGTGTGCGGGCATATGAGAACAACCTGGATAACATTTCCAATGCAGATTTAATGTTCCCTCCCACAGAGTTCATTTGGTAGGCCTGAATAGGGCCATGAAATCTGAACTTTGCCATTTCCCTTTCACTCTGATCCTGATACAGGCTGGTCCACGAGCCATACTTTGAGAAACTTTGATGTCAATGGTAATTGTAGCCATGGCCATATATTATATAAAAATGTTTAGAGAGAGAGTATAAACTTGGAAGAGAATTGAGTAAAACCAAATCGCTTGGAATCCCATCTTGAAAAGGCCCCGTGGAGGAGGTGCTGCTAGTAAAGATATTGAGAAGTGGCCAAAATGAAGAGAATAACAGGAGAATGTGTTGTTATGGAAGACAAAGGAAGACAAAAGGAGAGGAAAGAGAAAAAGAGGAGAGTGTGCAACAGTGTTGACTGAAGCTGAGAATCAACTGAGATGAGGGCCAGAGAATGTCCATTAGCTATAGTCACATGGAGGTCACCAGTGACTTTTGAGGGAGAGTTTTTTTTTTTTGAAGAGATGTGTGGGCCCACGTTGGTTTCTAGCGGGTTACAGAAAATGTGAGAGGTGAGGCAATACAGGCACCAAGTAGAGATAATCCTTTGGAAACTCTGCCACAAAGAGTAAGAGAGTGGTGGGAATTACATTGGTTGTGAATAACGCCCAGGTGTTTTCAAGTTGAAGGAGATTCAAGTATGTGCTAATGGAAACAAGAAAGACGCAAAAAGAAAGACATACTGAAGATAGAGGAAGGAGAAAGATAATGGATAAACCAATGGATGACATGAGGTTCCTGGAAGACAGGAGGCCATGGAACATGTAGAACACAGGGGCAGGGACATCTCTGCTCCTCTAATAGATCAGGCACAGATGCAGGTAGCTTGTAGGTTTGATGGCAGAAGTTTTGGGGGTTTCCATTTGAATTGTCAGAAAAACAGGAATAGGGTCAAAGGGTGAGTGTAACAGGGCGTTGGGAATGTAGATAGCCGACTTGAAGGGTGAGCACAGCAGAAAAGGCAGCAGAAAAAAAAAATCACAGTTGGGAGAATGAGTTGACCAGGTGGAAACAGGACACTTGGGGACCATTTTGAGGGCCTAATTGAGGGTGGAAAACAAATACAGTCAAGAGGGTAAACACTGGCCATGTTAAGTAATTTTTCCACAGGCACAGGGACAGGGGCCAGCAATGCAAAAGTTTTTTTTTTTTTCTAGAAATAAGACTTTTCCTGACAAATGCAGTGAATGCACAAGAAATTATTGGGAGGTGACTGACAGAAACATTGGACTTTGAATCTGAGAAGACAGGAAATTCTCAAGGATAGAGGAACAGGGAAAAGGTCAATGGAGTAGCAGTCCAGATGGAGTAGAAGTCTAGTGGGATCACAGGGCTAAGCGAGCTGGAAGGTGGGATTTCATAGCATTTTTATGACCTAGTCTCTCCAGACACAAATCATCACTTGTGTGGTCCTCTCTCAGTCTGAGCAGTTTCAGATGCTGCCTCAGTTCAAGAGAAGGACATATGGGCTCCACTCCTTGATAAAAGCAGTGTCAAGGTCACATGGAAAGAAGAGCATGGGGGAGAGAAGATGGTGTTGTGGCCAACTCCTGAAAATGCAATTTGCCACAACCAGTTAAACGGCCAAAAAGAAATAACAGTGAAATTTGTAAATTGTTTTTAATTTCAATTTTTAATCTTTGTGGGTACATAGCCGGCATATATATTTAGAGGGTACATGAGATTTGTTTGTTTGTTTGTTTTTCTTTTTGAGATTGAGTCTCCCTCTGCTGCCCCAGCTGCAGTGGAGTGGTAGCTTATAGCTCATTACAGCTTGACCACCCAGGCTCATGCGATCCTCCTGTCTCAGCCTCCCAAGTAGCTGGGTCTACCCGCACAAACCATGCGTGACTGTTTTTTCTTTTTGTTTCTGTTTTTTTTAGAAACGAGGTTTCACTTTGTTATCCAGTCTGGTCTTGCGCTCCTGTGTGCAAGCGATCCTCCCACCTCGGCTTCCCAAAGTGCTGGGACTACAGGTGTGAGCCACCACAACCAGCCCAGCGTAACACTGTAAACATTTTTGAAAATGTAGCACTAATGTATATGTATAAAAACTGCAGCATGAGACCGGGACGCGGTGGCTCATGCCTGTAATCCCAGCACTTTGGGAGGCCGAGACGGGTGGATCACGAGGTCAGGAGATCGAGACCATCTTGGCTAACGCAGTGAAACCCCGTCTCTACTAAAAAATTACAAAAAATTAGCCGGGCGTGGTGGCGGGCGCCTGTAGTCCCAGCTACTCGGGAGGCTGAGGCGGGAGAATGGCGTGAACCCGGGAGGCTGAGGCGGGAGAATGGCGTGAACCCAGGAGGCGGAGCTTGCAGTGAGCCGAGATTGGGCCACTGCACTCCGGCCTGGGCGACAGAGCCAGACTCTGTCTCAAAACAAATAAACAAATAAACAAACTACAACATGATACCAGAAAATACACCTTCTCTATCATACAAGGAACATTTACAAAAGTTGATCACATATGAGGTCACTAAGAAAACATCAGTAAGTTCCACGAAATAAAGAAATCACAAATTACATGCCATCGTCATAGTATACTACAACTAAAAGCAATAAAAACCTCTCCCCGCTAGACTAGAACTCATAAATATCATCTGTTAAAAGAATATTGGACGCCAGTGGAGATAGGAGATGAGATTATATAATTTCTGATAAATTAAAATAAAGTCTACAGATCAAAATCTATGAGACATATTTAAAGAAGCGATCAGAGAAATATGGGCAGCTTTGAATACTCATACCCATGACAATGAATGAGGGAAATTTCTAACTCAAGGACAAGACATAAAATTTAGAAAGAAAATTATTTCTTTTGGCTTAGTAAGACAAAAGAAAGCACAAGAAAGAAATAACATTAATATAAACAGCAGACATTATTGAGGGAGAAAACAGAAAGATGAGATCAAGAAATGAAGTCAAGATGTTCTTTTTAAATCATTGAAGCAGATGAAGTAGCAGCTAAATGAATCAAAGTCATAGAGATAGTGTTTCTATATATGATAGGTAGGTAGGTAGATGGCTAGATAGATGATAGATAGATAGATAGATAGATAGATAGATAGATAGTCAGATGTATTGCACAGCAGAAATAGAACTACCAGAACACCTCATTTGATTGTGCTTTACTTTATTGCACTTGACAGATACAGCTTGTTTTTGACGCTGCATTGAGCAATCTGTGGGCACCATTTTTCACAGCATGTGCTCACTTCATATCTCTGGGTCACATTTTGGTAATTCTCACAACATCTCAAGTGTTCGCTAGGATTATATCTGTTATGATGATCTGTGATCAGTGATCTTTGATATTGCTATTGTAATCACATTGGGAAGCGACAAAAATGCACCCTATAAGATTGAAACTTAATCTATCAACGTGTGTGTTTTGACTGCTCCACTGACTGGCCTTTTCCCATGCCTCTCCCTCTCCTCTGGCCTCCCTACTCCCTGAGACACAAGAGTATTGAAACTAGGCCAATTCCTAACCCTACAATGGCCTCTGAATGTTCAAGGGAAAGGAAGAGTTGCACATCTCTCACTTTAAATCAAAAGCTAGAAATTATTAAGATTAGTAAGGAAGGCATGTCGACAGCTGAGATAGGCTTTCTGCATGAAACCATTAGTAACAATGTGAAGGAAATGAAAAGTGCTACTCCAGCAAACACATGAATGATAAGGCAAAACAGCCTTAGTGCTCATATGGAGAGAGTTTTAGTGGATAGACCATCAAACCAGCCGCCACATGACCTTAAGCCAAGGCCTCATCAAGAGCACACTCCTAACTCTCCTCAGTTCTCTGAGGCTGAGAGAGATGAGGAAGCTGCAGAAAAAAAGAAAAAAATGTGAGAAGCTGGCAGATGTTGACTCATAAGGTGTAAGGAAAGAAGCTGTCTCCATCACATAAAATCGCAAGGTGGAGCATCAAGTGCTGATGGAGGCGCTGCAGCAAGTTCTCCAGAAGATCTATCTGAGATCATGGGTGAAGGTGGCTACGTTCACAACAGATTTTCCTTCCAGATGAAAAAGCCTTCTATTGGAAGAAGATACCATTTGGACTTTCCATAGTTAGAGAGGAGAAGTCAATGCCTGACTCCAAGGTTCAAAGGACAGGCTGACTCTCTTGTTAGGGGCTAATGCAGCTGGTGACTGTAAGTTGAAGCCAATGCTCATTTACCACTCTGTATATCCTAGAGCCTGTAAGAATGATGTTAAAGCTACTCTGCCTGTGCTCTAGAAATGAAAGAACGAAGCCTGGAGGACAGCACATCTGTTTACATCATGGCTTACTGAAGATTTTAAGCCCACTCTTGAGACCTACTGCTCAGAAAAAAAGATTCCTTTCAAAATATTACCACTCATTGACACTGTGTCTGGTCACTCAAGGGCTGTGATGAAGATATACCAGGAGATTTTTTTATTTTTATGCCTGCTAACGTGCATGAAACCTTCACTCTGCAGCCCATGGATCAAGGAGTAGTTTTAACTTTAAGTCTCCTTATTTAACAAACACACTTCATAAGGCTATAGTTGCTACAGATGGTGACTCCTCTGATGGATTTGAGAAAAAGAAATTGAAAACTTTCTGGAAATGATTCACCTTTCTGGATGCCACTAAGAACACTGGTGATTCATAGGAGGAGGTCAAAATATCAACAACATTAAAGGGAAGAAGTTGATTCCAACCCTCATGAATGACTTTGAGGGGTTCAAGACGTCAGTGAGGGAAATAATTGCAGATGTGATGGACACAGTAAGAGAATCAGAAAGAGTAATGGATCCTGAGGAAGGAACTGATTTGCTGCAATTTCATGATCAAACTTGAATGGATGAGGAGTTGCGTCTTATGAACGAACAAAGAATGTGTGTCTTAAAATGGAATCTACTCCTAGAGATGATGCAGCAATGTAGTTGAAATGACAACACAGGATTTAGAATATTACATGAACTTAGTTGAAAAAGCCGTGACAGGGTTTAAAAGGATCGGCTCCAACTTTGAAAGAAGTTCTACTCTGGGTGGGTAAAATGCTTTGAAACAGCATCATATGCTATGGAGACATCTTTCATGAAAACAAGAGTCTCTCTATGTGTCAAACTTCATTGTTGTCTTATTTTCAGAAATTGCCCCTGCTACCCCAATTCTCAGCAACCACCATCCTGATCAGTCAGCAGCCATGAACACTGGGGCAAGACTCTCCACCAGCTAAAAGATTATGTCTTACTGACGGCTCAGGTGATATTAAACACTTTTAATACTTCAATATTTTTAAGTTAAGGTATATAAATTTAGACATAGTGCTTTTGCACACTTAATAGGCTATAGCATAGTGTAAACTTAAACTTTTATACCCAAGAAACACCAAAAAATCCGTGTTGCTTGCTTTATTATGATGGTCTGGAACTGAACACCACAATATCTTTGAGGTATGCCTGTAAATTATAATAAAGAGGAAATTTGTAAAAACCAAAGGGATGTCTTTACGCATCTCTATGTGGATACATTTGTAACACTCTATGAACAATGTAATTTCTTGTCAAAATACATTTTATTGATCCCAATAGCGCCCAAAAGGTTAAAAGACAATTTCTACAAAGGAAATAGCATTGTGAAGGAAATAATCCATAGGAGACCATCAGGCACCGATTCCTTCACAGGGACTTTCTCCAAACCTTTAGGGCCAAATAGTTGCAGCACTTAATATTGCTTTGAAGACTAGAAAATGAAGGTAAACATTGGACTTCTTTTTTAGGAGGAAGTAGAACAATATTCCCTAAAGCTGATAATGGCAGCATCACAGATGGGCCAATGTTGCTTCTGAACATTAATGTGGCAATCCTAAATAAAATATTACCAAACATATTCAAAAATCACAATGAGAAAATGGTACACCATGGCCAAGTAGGATTTATTCTAGGAATACAAAGTGGAATATTAGCAATTTTAAAACTTTGCCATTTAATAGGCATAAGGAAAATATTGTACAACTATCTTCACAGATACTAAAAAATGGCAAAATTTGAAAAAAATTATAATCAAAATTGAATGCTAAATAATGGAGAAATCCTGAGGCATTCTAGTAAAGAAGCAGGCAAAAATGTTTAATGTGTCCATTATTACCTATCATTGTCCTGAAGGTTGTCACATATGCAAGGAGCAAGACAAAGAAATTAGAAGCAAAAGAATTGGAAAACAACTAAAATTATCTCTAGTTGCAGGTGACGTCATAATATACTTGGAGTACCCTAGAGAATCAGGGGTAAAAGTAACTAAAACATTAAAAAAAATCAGAAAGTTTTCAGTATATAAAATTGACACACAAAAACCAACAGCCTCCACAGACACAAAAATATAACCAGTTAGAAGACAAAAGTTAAAAACAAAACAAACTTCATTTACAAGAGCAACAAAAACGGTTTTAAAAATAGGCATAAAATTAAGACATATTCAAAACAGTATAAAATGCCTTTTACAAAGACACAAAAGTAGAGTTGGACTAGTGGGTAGAAATCCCTTGTTCCGTGTGAGGACATTATAACTAACATCATCAAGATGTTACTTCTCCCTAAGTGAGTTTTAAGTTTATTACAATTCCTCTTTTGCCCTGGAGAGAACAAGATGATATTATAATGCCTATTTAAAAAGGCAAGTATAGCTACAAAATCACCGAAAAGGAAGAGCTATGAGGAATAAGTGGCCTAAAACATATTACAGTATACACCTGAGCTTCTGTCATTAAAACACTGTGGATTCGCTGGCATGAGAATGGACAGACAGGCCAAGGCAACATACTAGAAAGTGATAAGCAGACCCAATAATATGTGTAAATTGAGAGTATGAAAAAGGTAGCATTTCAAATCAGCAGGGACAAAGAAGGACTTTTTAGTAAATAAGCTGATAATGGGAAAACTATACAGTATTCAACTAATGAGGACGAGACAACTAAATTTCCACGTGAAAAAGGAAAGCAGAATTGGATCTCTACCTGACATGGGGAACAAAAAATCAAGTGTAGATAAACACAGAGTTAAAAATGCAAAATAATACCTCAAAATCTTTATTAGAAAATAGAGGAGAAATTTGATGACTTCTGAGTAAAGATGGATGAGGAACAGCTCTATTCATTCCTTTCAGTGTACCCAGTTTAAGTCACATATCAGTGGTCTTTTTTTAGGTTTTATTTTAGGTTTGGGGATACATATGCAGGTTTGTGATACAGATAAATTACGTGTCACAGGGGTTTGGCATACAGATTATTTTTTCACCCAGGTTACAAGCATAGTACCTGATGGGCGGTTTTTTGATCCTCACCCTCCTCCTACTGTCCACCTCAAGTAGGCCCAAGTGTCTGTTGTTCCCCTCTTCGTGTCCATCTGTACTCAGAGTTTTAAATATGAGTTTTTCATATTCCTAATTTAGCTATTCTATTGTCATAGCCTTCTGATTTTGTTTGCTTTAAAGTACCAGAGAAAATTGAATTCTCTAAAGTGGGTATTTTCTATTATTATTGCACTGATAAACTGTGTAGTAGAAAAGTAAATACAACTTTTCTACCAGTGAGAAACATGTAATTGGATCCAAAAACTCATAAAGTGTATATTGCCACGTGAAAGCCTGGTTGCACTGACTGTTACAGGACCATATTTCCAAAAACGTTTGAGAAAATTTCTGTAGAGACTATGGAGACAATACTCTTATATTTAAAATGTTTTGTTCCTTTTTTTTTTTGTTCTTCTATAGAGATAACTCATACAAGCAGTGTATTTGGGGAGCTTTGCTCTGCTAGGTGGTGACAAAGTGCTGGTTTTGTGAGCTGCCTAATAAGTTGAGTATTATAGATGGGTACTGTATGTAAAAAATATTTGTATTACGGTGCAGATCTTTTATGATTGCTGAAAACTATTAATAGCAATTGATGGTAGATCTCTGATGTGAAACCAGGTTTAGGAAAGCATTCCTTGCAGTATTACAGTTTTCTGAGACACGGCACTATGGATAAAAATGTCACATAAGAAGCTCCAAGAAAATATTTCAGAAGTGTTCGAGAATGTATTTGACTTCTTAAACTTAAATTTTTATACACATGGACATTGCTTCTTTTATTACAATACAGTTAATAGCATTAATCACTAGAGTGCTTAAAAATAGTTTTCTTATTGTGTATTATTTCTACCCTTTTGATGGTCTTATTAAATAAGATACTTTTGTGTGCTTTACATAATGAGTCGTGACAGTACTTCACGGCAAAGTGTCCTTTGAATTGTAGGACATTTTCTAAATGTAGAAATTAAATTCTGTGTTTGTAACCCTTTCCGTACATTTTAAAAATAGAAGCTTTTAATTATTTGCTTTTCATCATCTGTCAATTAAAAGTGATTTGCAGTTTTACCATTTGGAATTGGAATACTAATATTAATACCTGAAAGATTTTACAGAAAATAAGTGGGAAAATCTTGCTTTTTGAAATGATTCTTGCATTTTACATTTCAAATGTCCTTCTAATATTAATGAACCATCATGTCCCATATCGATTTGAATATATTCCAAGGAACTACTTTTCAACATTAACTTTTAATGCATTTTCACTTACTATCTAGCTGACATGCATGAAACGGGGTCTTTCTGCAAAGAGAAAAAGGCTTGAAACATATACAAAAGCTTGCAGCAACACCAAGAACAGAATGGAACATATTTTGAAAACACAACAACTGAAAAGGTATGATTGCTGGCTTTTTTGCACAATGATATTTATATCATTTCTTTGTATTCGTTGGTGCAAATCATTTCAGTGTCCTGTACTTATTGGCGTCTCCAGTGAACAACGTATTTCACTTGATTGTTCCCTAAGCAGGTAAGTTTCTTTAGTTTTATAACCTCAGTTTAACAAAATTATGAGATATTACGTAGAAGCCAATGAAGATGACCTCTTTTCGCCTTCCAGATAGCAATAGTCTTCCTGTATAATTAATTTTTATCAATTTCTAGAAATATGCTAGCTAAATGTGAGGTAAATGTCTTCAACGTTTAGTTTTAGATCCTTAACGATATTCCATTATGTAGAAAGGGATAACCTTATGTTTTAAATAAGTTATCTATTTTAGTGCAATTGTTTTCGCTATTTCTTTTACAAAATCACTGTTGTGTCAGAGTGGAGAAATAGTTCAGTGAAATATTTCTTTTGGAAAATCTTACGGGATGACTGGCCATGATAGTCTTGAATTTACTTATGGGAACCCCCACGTTAGTCAGTAAGAGGAAAGGAAAAGTAAACTGCTCTTAGAGAAAATGAATGTTTCTGGTAAATTTTTAGTGCAGTAAACCCTCCTTTGTTTTCAGTACGTAAAGAACATAAGACAGCTGATCTAGTAGTCAGTTAGGAAGAAATCCTTTTGGAATGAGAGTAACTCATTTCCCCTTTTCCCAATGAGAGGATTTCAGTTGCTATTACTCCCTTGTTACTTTGCCACCCAGGTTGTTCTATTTGTAGTATAAATTATGTCAAATCAGTTTTGGCTTGAATAGGATTGATTTTTCATCTCTCTATGAAGCATGACCATGTTACTTATTATGTGTTACAGGCAGAAATGTAATTGTAGATGTTCTCTGCAGTTGCTGAATTTTCTTCAAGAATATAACACACACATGCAGAAGACTGAGGAAGAATAAGAAAAACAAATTGTTGGCATCAGGCTTAGCTTTATGATTAACCTATTGCATCACTGTCTGAGGTAGTAATAGTTCATGCAGAAATCCAGCAAAGAAGGAAGAGAGCATGAGCCCAGAGAGGGTTCCCATTAGAGGACTAATGGATGAGGGGAATGTAAGTGCCATGCAGCATTAGGGGCCCAAGTGGGGTCAGCATCATAGTGATTAAGAAGTTAAAGTGAGCTCAGTTGGTGTATTTGTGCAAGAGCAGCTGTAGGGTTGGAATTTTCTGGGTTGGGGTGTAGCTGAGCACGTTGATAGAGGGAGAGTTGGGCAGGGCATAGACGCAGGGATGGGGTTATGATGACTGGTTGTGGAATTTCAGACTGAGTTACCCGAGCACATGGGGGTGGGGCGTTGGGCAGTGAAAAGGGCTCCATTCAATGGGTGTCAGGTCCGGATAGACTCCTGAGCTGTAGTACTGAAGTAAGTGACCTACAACGGCAGGGAGGTAGTGGCTGTATGTTGGGAAGATAGAGGAACAGCTGAGTGCAGTGGTCAAGGACCAGGACTCTGGAACCACCCAACTTGGGATCCAACTCCAGTTTGACCATTGCTAGCTCAGAAACCATGGGCAAAGTATTTATCTCTGTGTCTCAGTTTCCTTATCTATAAAAGGAGACATGGTAAGAGTACCTACCTCAGAGCTGTTTGGAGGATTAAAGGGTTCCTATGCAATGGGTTTATTTAACATCTTCGGGATGCAATCTGACCGATGGTTGCTCTTTATCATTGCTATTATTAATGTTACTTAGATGTTGTAGTCATTGGGAATGACAAAATCTAGGGGATGACTGTGTGAGTGAGTGTCACATAGAGGAGAGAAAACACTGTTATTGGAGATTAGGTCAAAGTGTAGAAAAGCCAGCATTATTGGGAGGTTCATCTATGTGCATATTGAAATGACCAAGATTTTACACATGTTTAAAATCTTAGTAAGAAAGAATGTTTCTTAGTTAATTTCTGTATAGATCTTACCTATCTGTGGTAAACAAATTATAGGCAGGGTCATCAATTACTCTTCATCTGAAATCAAGAATTAGGACATACGTGTTGAATATGTATAAGAAAGGAAATGCTTTACTCAATGACTGATGAAAAAAGTTATTACATTGTTTTAGCGTATGAGTGGTGAACATAATTGTTTAAAACTGGTCATAAACGTTGCCGAAAAGAAAATGTTCAGAAGTATTGATTTTAAAGAGTATTCTTTTAGAGCTAATGCAGAATTATGCTTTGTAAGTATTAACATTTACCCCATTTCTTTTCACTTTTTTGTTTTGTGCTTCTAGAAAATATTTAGAGAGCAACAAAAGAGATGGCAACAAGAGAGAGTCGTTAGCAGACAGCAACTGAAAGAGATTAAGCTGCTACATGAGCAATTCATGAAGGTCTGTTCTATTTGGTTATACAATACATTCTTATGAAATACAAAGCGTGCATAAAAATAGAAGACAATCTGCTTGTTTCTGAATGCATGGAAAGATATTTTGGTTATACATTTTAAATTACTTACCATTTTCACTTTGGATGTATTGTTCTGGATTTAACATAATTGGTAAATGTATTTTTAGGATTCATGAATAGTTTTGTGGGAGCTATTGAGAACAGGAAAAGGTAAATTGGAAATTTTACCTAGAAATACGCATCTTGTGTATAAAGTCGACACTTTATTAACACATTAATTAAGATTTTATTTTCAGTTTTTAGGAGATCAGCGACAAATCTATAGTGGAAAGCAGGAAGTCCATAAATCCTTTCTGGGTGTCTTTTTTGCTTGTCTTGTTTCAACAGTTTTAGTTAAACAGGAAGTAGGCAAGTATAACTACTGAGTATCTCTTTTATTTCCTGCTGTAATATAGGAGTGTTTTATGGCATATTTACTCTCAAAATTATTACTGGCTAGTAATGGTTTTACATGACAATTTGTAATCAAAAGAGATGGTTCAGATGTATAACAGAATGGGAAAGCCTGCAGATTATTAACACTTTGTGCATTGAGAATTAACTGCTGTCATACAGCACATTAGCGAATTGTCATCGGACAATGACCTCTTCTTGCTCTAGATGTATATTATTTAGGAAACCATGGAATTCTTTTTTGGGAGGTATTCTTTTTAATAACCTTGTGAAAATATACGTTCGTAAGTCACTCTTCTGGACTAACTTAGATGTGTTAAATAAACTGGGAAAAGAGTTTGATAATAAAATTTTCAAGCAACTTGAGGATTATCTATACACAAAACTGTTATTTAAATAGAAGTCACAAGCAGAGAGCATGTTGCTATGTTTCCCAGAAACCATTTATTAATTGATATGAACATGAGACTAGAAAAGTTTTCCTGTCAATGCTTATGCTATATGTTACCACTTAGACGGTAGGAACTTTGGTATCATCTTGGGCTCTTACCGGTCTGTTATCTTTCCCGTGCAGTTGTCACGAGGCCCTGCAAGTTTTACCTCTGCAATGGTCCTTTAATTTCTTTCTTTAAATTCCCACTGCAGCTGCCCTAGTTCAAGACCTCATTCTTCCTTGCTTGTACTACTAAGCTGTTATCTGAGTTCTCTCTTCTCTTCTGAGCCATCCTTCATTGATCGGCAATATTATCTTCCTAAAACCCTTCCCTTCCCTTTCTAAAATGCTTCCTAGCTCTTCCCTCTTCCCAGTCTGACAGTGGTGTCTACTTCTCATACTTCTCAGTTCTTAGGTATTCAGAGACACTCCCCTTTACGTGACCCCTTCTTAGGCTTGCCTTCTGTCTTTCCTCCCATCTCTCCAGGTTGACAGCCTTCTCTGAATGAACTCACCGTTACTCCCATGCTTTGCTCTTGCTCTTCCCTCACCATGCTTCTAAAATCTTTTTGTTCTTTTTTTGACCGATTGAAATCTTTAGCAAACTAAGTCGACATCAGCCCCTATTTTTGGCTACATGTCCTAGTGAGTTGTCCTTCCATGGCAGTTACACAATTTTTGTATTACTTTTTTTTATTCGTGCATTTGCTCATGCCACAGGAATATGGAAGAGATTGTGTATTCGCTTTTTACTTCTTCCTCAGCATTAACATACAACATTTTAGGGAGTAGGAACTGTTGAACTATTTGTTGAGTGAATAGGGTGTATTTCAAATATAGTTATGTTTTCTCTACCTTGATGAAGTCATATCACAGACCATTTTATCCCTTCAATGGAAACCATGTTATATGGACTATTAGTGATAATAAATGGATCACTACCTGGTGAAAAAATGTGGTATTTCATGACGTAAGACTGCCAGTCTTTTTCTGTCTTTGCTCCACTTCGACCTTAAGATGGTCATCAACCCATTTTTTTCAGGCAAAGTACATGACTGTTGTACCTGCTGTAATAATATTTCACTGAAATCTGGCATTAAAAAGCTTAAGTGGGCATTTGGAGCTCCATGTATTGATTACAGTTTTTAAATTTGAAGTAAATAAACAGCATCCTTTATTACAAACCGTTTCCTTTTGACATTTAATTTACCCTGTTTACAACGTGAAATGTAAAGTGGCGGCCTGTCAGTAAACTAGGCTTTTTGTTTTAGAGCATCGAGGATTCGGAAGAGTATTATGAAACAACTCTTTTTGATGAAGAAAGTCAACTTAAAAAATAAATCGCCGTGTTCCAAAATAAAATTGTGTCGGAGACTGTAAGTAGTACATATTTAATCTGAAAAACTCAGGATTGATGTAAGCACTGGAATACTGTATTTGTAGGAATATGTATCAGAATTCCTTAAATTTCTTTTTTTTGAAACAACTGCAGCAAGAGTTGGCACTTATTCAGTTGTCTCTTCAACCTCTGTTGTTCTGATGACTGAAGAAATAACTTGAACCCATGTTATATGATACAAGCATAACTCCAGCTACACTAAACCACACTGACAGTGTTTTGATAATTCTTGTACAAACCAGTATACCTCATTTATCATTAATTGGTTTGTTAAGTGCAAAACCTCGTTTCTGTGGAATGAACCCTAAACACAGTTATGTGAGTAGCAGCAATTGTTCAGTTATATAATGGTTAATTAAGTTGTAACATTAAAGATAATATACTTTTAGGTGTGGCCTCTGTGGGTCTGTATCAGTCTCAAAATGTGGAAAGCACGGGCATGGAAGGGTACATTTTTCTCTTTTACGGACAACAATAAAAGAAGACTATATTATCTGTGCATTCTTTTGTATTTACTCATTAGCTTAAACAGCACATTCCAATAAAAGTATGATTTAAAAATACTCTGTAGCCTTATCAAAATTACTAAAGTAAGTTAAAGTCTGTGTTCTTGAAAAACTTTACTACAAATGATTAAGACAACTGAACAAGATATATGTTTATCAGTGCTGAGCCACTGGTTTGTGGATATGTCATTTCCACAAAGACATCAAAATGCCATTTAATTTGTTTTGGTTCACCATTCAATGATACCTCCCCTGAGCATTGATTGAAAGTATTTTATTAACATGTATGTATACTTAATTACTTATGATTACAAGTATTTCTCATCTGTGGCAAGATAAATTATGTAGAGTGCTTTGTCTTTCAAGTTTAATATTCATGGAGTACATGGAAGTTTAGGTATACATGGATCTGAAAACTTGAATCATCAATTTGTCTACCTGTCTTTTTGCAATGTGCAATTTTTACATGTAACAACATACAAAATCTTCATTTGGAAACATTTTATATAGTAAGTATGAAATTCAGAATAATTTTGGAGTAAGTCAGTTAAACGTATTCTTTTGCAGAGTTTCTGAAATTGTGTTCATGAATCATTCAAAACCCCATACTCCCATTGGGAGGAGAGGAGCCACTTCCTCTGATTTTTCTTTGTGATTTTCATTTTAATTGGCCCTGCTATACCACTTTTATCTTTTCAAGGTTTCCCAAGTTTTAAAAAACCAAGTTCATACAGATTCTGTTTTTCTACATTATGAGGGGCATTTAATTCCTAAAGTTGCAGTTTTTGCCCTGAAAAGTTATTAGGGGTGTGTGTATGTGTGTGTATAATGTGTATATTTACATATGTGTGTGTGTGTAAATAGACATGAATTTACACACACACATACACACACATATATATTTAGTTTTATATCACTTATATAGGAAAAATGAGTCCTCTGTCATGATCCAATATTGGACATTATGAGGTTCATTTAATTCCTAAAGTGCATTTTGGTAAAGGATTTTTCTTTTATCCAAAGCGTGTATTGATATATAAGTACTACATCAAGTTTCTAAGAAGATCATTATTTGAGAACTTTTTCAGTAGTCACAGAGGCAAAATAAGCACTCCAGAGGTCCTTGTGAGACTTCTGATATTCATACTGAGCTATGTAAATATTTATTCTACAGTGGAAGGACAAGAGTTAGGACACAGTGTACTTAATGATGGAATGGTTGATATTTATGCCACCCCTTGCTACCTCAGATGAGTAACTGCATACTTGAAGTCACTTTGGCAGATATTCTGAAAGGAAGAAGTTTTTGCTCTGAAAAGTTATTAGGGATGTGTGTAAGTTTGTGTATAATATGTATATATACATATATACGTGTGTGTGTTTGTAAATAGACATGTGCGTGCACATACACACACACTCACACATATATATGACTTTAGTTTTTAGAATAATTTTCAGTTTACAACAAATTGATCTGAAAGTCCTGAGATTTCCCATTTGCCCCTGTTCTCCCACAATGGCATTCCCCACTGTCAATATCCCCCACCAGAGTGGTACCTTTGTTACCCATCATGAACTTACACTGACACATCATTATCACCCCAAGTCCGTAGATTACTTCAGGATTCCCTCTTGGTTACCACTTTTTAGTGACTATTTTTCTCATGTCACCTGTGCGTAGCCAGTACTTTATTTTTCATAAAGAGAACATTTAATTTATACTTTTTTGTGACCATGAAATTTTAAGTCAGAATATCAGAAACAAGTCACAATAAAACAAATGTAAAAATTTACTTCTCTCCCAGAAATGGTAAGTCAAATACCTTTTACTAAATACATATTCTTGAAAATTGCAGTTAGCTCTTTTATAGTCTAGTTGATAGATTGAAGCACATAGTTTCCTTTAGTTCCATAATAAACACCTCCTTTGAAAAATGGCTGACATCAAGAACATTATGTCTCCTAAGATTGTCTCACTCAACAACTGAATTATTGAAATGTACAATCACAAAAATCTAAGTATGTCTTTATAACAACGATGCACTGAACAAAATTTAGAGGTAACGGGCAAAGTTAGCTTCCAAGAAAATGTGCCCACAAACCAGTGGCAAATCGTTTCCTTCAGCAACTGAAACCCAGAATAAATGCAGTCTGTTGCCTCTGCCTGTTGGAGAGGGGTCTTCTTACACCTGAGGGAAGTGGCCATCTCGTCTCCCTGATGTTAGTTAAAATTCCATCTGGGATTGGCAGGTTAGTATTTTTGTGCAGATATCTAAAGAAAGCTGATCTGGCCAAATCAAAAAATACTTGACTCACTCCTTAGGAGGACCTTAACTCTGCCCTGATTTCTGTGCACACACCAGATTTATTGCACTCACAGTACAAAAGCTCTGAGGTGTAAAATTAAACCAAGCAGTGCATTGCATTCTTATCCAGATGAATCGGGGCTCTCTCAGTGCTGCTCAACCAAAGCACATTGGAATCACTTCTTCTTATTCTTATTTGTAAAACTGACAGTGATGATGGTATCTGTGTCGTGGGAATATTGTGAGTGTCAGAGGAAACAATGATGGTGAAAAGCTTAGACAGATCATACATGTCAAATAAAAGTTAGCTGTTAATTACTGATATTGTCATGATTTTTACTGCTATGTAATAGTTGTAAATATATATGGGGTAAGTGTGACATTTTGATACATGAATACACTGTGTAAAGATCCAATCAGGGTAGTTGGGATATTTAGCACCTCAAACTTTTATCATTTCTACCTGTTGAGAATATTGCAAATCTTCCAAGTATTTTCAAATATGTGATAATTCTGGTTAACTATAGTCACTCTACCGTGCTATTGAAGACTAGGACTCATTTCCTCTGTCTAACTGTATGTTTGTATCTGTTGTCCAACGTTCCTTCCTCCCTGTCTTTCCTGGTAACCACCTCTGGTAACCACCATTCTATTCACTACCTCTATAAGATCAGTTTTTTTTAGCTCTGACATATGAGTGAGAACACGTGACATGTGTCTTCCTGTGCCCGGCTTATTTCACTAAACGTAGTGTTTTCCAGTTGCATTCATGTTGCTGCAAATGACAGGATGTCATTCTTTTTATGGCTCAATAATATTCCATTGTGATATATAGTGCATTTCTTTTATCCATTCATCTGTCGATGATCACAGGTTATTGGGGGACCTCACCCCCAATATTTCAACATAGGTTCTTTCTATTTTCCATAAGTGTCGGCTGGCTGAGAAATAAAGAGAGAGAGTACAAAGAGAGGAATTTTACAGCTGGGCCTCTGGGGGTGACATCACATATCGGTAGGACTGTGATGCCCACCTGAGCCTTAAAGCCAGCAAGTTTTCGTAAGGTTTTCAAAAGGGGAGGGGGTGCAAGAACAGGGAGCAGGTCACAAGATCACATGCTTCAAAGGGCAAAAAGGAGAACAAAGATCACATGCTTCTGAGGAAACAGGACAAGGACAAAACAGAACTACTGATAAGGGTCTATGTTCAGCTCTGCACGTATTGTCTTGATAAACATCTTAAACAACAGAAAATAGGGTTCGAGAGCAGAGAACCGGTCTGACCTTAAATTTACCAGGGTGGGGTTTCCCAATCCTAGTAAGCCTGAGGGTACTGCAGGAGACCAGGGCGTATTTCAGTCCTTATCTCAACCTCATAAGACAGACACTCCCAGAGTGGCCGTTTATAGACCTCCCACCAGGAATGCATTCTTTTCCCAGGGCCTTAACTATTAATATTCCTGGCTAGGAAAAGAATTTAGTGATATCTTCCCTACTTGCACGTCCATTTATAGGCTCTCTGCAAGAAGAAAAATATGGCTCTATTCTGCCCGACCCCACAGGCAGTCAGACCTTATGGTTGTCTTCCCTTGTTCCCTGAAAATCGCTGTTACTCTATTCTTTTTCAAGGAGCACTGATTTCATATTGTTCAAACACATACATTTTACAATCAATTTGTACAGTTAACACAATCATCACAGTGGTCCTGAGGTGATGTACATCCTCATCTTATGAACATAACAGGATTAAGAGATTAAAGTAAGACAGGCATAAGAAATTATAAAAGTATTAATTTTGGGAACTGATACATGTCCATATTAAAATGAAATCTTCAAAATTTACGTTCAGAGATTGAAGTAAAGACAGGCTTAAGAAATTATAAGAGTATTATTACGGAAGTGATAAATGTCCATGTTAAAATGAAATCTTCACAATTTATGTTCCTCTGCCGTGGCTCCAGCTGGTCCCTCCGTTCGGGGTCCCTGACTTCCCGCAACAACAGGTCGATGGCATCATTTGGCTATTGTGAATGGTGCTATGATAAACATGGGAGTGTAGATACCTCTTCGACATACTTATTCCTTTCTCTGAGATATATATATGCAACCGTGGGGTTGCTGGTCCATATGATACTTCTAGTTTTAGTTTATTGAGGAACATCTATTTCCATGATGGCTGTAGTACTCTGTGTTCCCACCAATAGTGTAAGAGCTCTTCCCTTTCTCTCCATCCTCATCAGCATCTGTTATCTTCAACCTGTTTGATAAGAGCTATTCTACCCAGGGTGAGATGATACCTCATTGTGGTTTTAATTGGATTTGCCTGATGATTGATGATGTTGAGCATTTTTTCATATACCGGTTGCTCATTTGTATGTCTTCTTTTGAGAAATGTCTATTCTGATCTTTTGTCCATTTTACAATCAGATTATTATGACTATTATTTTGCTATTGAGTTGTTTGAGTTCATTATATATTCTGGTTATTAATCTCTAGTTGGATGTATAGTTTGCAAATATTTTCTTCAGTTCTTTAGGTTGTCTCTTCGTTGATTGTTTCTTTTACTGTGCAGAAGCTTTTGAGCTCCATGTGACTCCATTTGTCTACTTTGCTTTTGCTGCCTGTGCTTTGGACGGCTTACTCAAAAAATCTTTGCCCAGACCAGTGTCCTCAAGCATTTCCCCACAGTTTTCTTCTAGTAGCTTTTTAGTTTCTGGTGATAAACTATGAGCATGCAGGTGTGACTCCATTTGCCAGTGTGGTGGACTGAAGTTGTGAGGACAGAACGGTTTGTATTTTCATAAGTTTTCTTATGCAAAGTTGATTTGATGACAGTGGCCTACAATAAAAACACTCCTTAATGTGGCAGTCTTCAGTACCATATAAAATGTGCAAATTAGCAACATTTCTGTCTGAGTTTGGAGCTACAAGATTCAAGTGTGGAGTATTATATTGTTCCCTTCCCTTTAATATTTAATGGAGGAGGTACATTTTTGCCTGTAAAGAGATCAACTCATGTATCTAATTATGTATTAGGAATATGGGGTCATTTCCTTCTATGTGGTAATATATTCACATATGGGGGAAATGCCATAATATATGGGACAACAAGATGGATAATATTGTATTAATGATTATAATAAAATGAATAATGTAATATGAAGAAAAAAATCAATTCACTTTAAATACAGGCTAGATACTTTTTAATAAAATCAGTAGTGCATATTGTTCTTTTGAATCTTTCAGTGGTGCTTAAATTAAATATAAATTTGAACACTCAGATTTACCCTATAATCCAACATTGTTGCTCCTCAAAATGAAGACTTCACAAAAGTGATCATTGAGGAACCAGAATTTCAGCTACATCCGGTCTAAAGAAGTAGGGCAATCAGTAGCTAAGGGGTTTGTCAATCACATTTCTGAATGGGGAGGATAGCTGATGCTGTATGAAGCACAGATGATGCAGACTTATCTACAGGCTTCATGCATCTCCACCTTCAGTTCCATGATGAAATCACTGTCTGGCTATACTGTTAAGTGGACAGTGCTACAGAGCAACATACGCTCACACCACTGCGAGATCAACATTAGCACACGGACAGGGCAGGAAAGAGCTTTCCGGTGGCATCTATCACATTTCTAATACAGACCATCACTGAGGTGACAGAAACTGTTACTCTCTATGTGCTTCCGTAAGGCTTGAATAATTGTTACACAATCTCGGATTGTGTCTCAAAAAAAAAAAAAAAAACTTGTTGTATAGACGGGTTTCACTATATTGCCCAGGCTTGTCTTGAACTCCTGGCCTCAAGCAATCCTACTGCCTCATCCTACTAAAGTGCTGGGATTACAAGCATGAGCCACCACCATGCATGGCAAAGAGTCACATAATTTAATAAACACACATACAGTGATTGTACCAGGGTGGAAGTTGCAAAGGCTCTGGAGATGCTGATTAGAAGGTTTGCAAAGACCCATTCTACTTGTCAAAGCAAATGACCCCAGAAGTGAAGGGGTGGAGAAATAGACTCTCCTTTTGGGTGAAAGACCTGCAAAGAATCTGAGGACATTTTTAATCCACTTCAGGGAATTAAAAATCGCTTACACCCCTGCCCAGCCCAATCCCCTCAGAAGCCTGGACAAAACTGATGGCTTTTGACGAGAGGACCTTGTCATCTTCCAGGACCTCAAAGTCACCACCCTAAAATGGGATTTCCCAAGTGCACTTTCCAAAGTGAAAGAGCAGAAAGAAATACAACACAATAGACACCTGCAGTTGTAACAAATGAAAGAACAGCTTAAATGGTCCCTGCAATCTTCACATCCTTTTGCAATTCCCTTCCCTTGTATGTGGGCTGGTCCCAGAGACCTGGAGACTTGATTCTAATGCACGGAATACAGAAAAGTTGGAGGGATGCTGCTTCTGAGATTAGGTTACTGGTTTGCTCACTCTCACTTCCTCATTTGCTCATCTGATTGAAGCCAGATGCCATTTTATAAGCTGTTCTGAAAAGAATCCCATGGGTCAATGATCTGAGAGAAGTCCCTAGTGAACAGCCTACAAGATGCTTAGTCCTGCCAGTAACCAGGTGAGTGAGTTTGGAATCAAGTCCTCCCCCAGCCACACGTTCAGATGAGACTGCAGCCACAGCCACTACTTTCAGTGCAGCCTCATGAGACACTGCTAACCAGAGGCACCCAACTAAGCCACATTCAGATTCCTAACCCAAAGAAACTGTAGAACAAGGTTAGATTGTACTAAAGCCACAGAATTTTAGGGTATCTGTTATGCAGCTGTAAACAACTATTAATAAAACAGATGGGAAAAAATACAGCAGGCAATAAGAACCAAAGGAAGAGGAGACGGCTCTATAAAATGCAGAAAGTTTATATTGAGTCAAAATAATTGTCATGGATAAAAATGTATATAAAATGATTAAAGTTACTACTTATAAGAATGATATGACATTTCTAAGCTCATTTGTGCTTAATAAAACACACCTAAAATTCATAAACCAAGAAAATTCAAAACTACAGACAGAAATTAATATATATATATAAAATCATAGTGTGAGTTTTTAACATTCCTCTCTCAATTTTCAACAAATCAAATAAATAAAATATCAAATGTTGAAATTATTTTAAAAATGAAATTAAAGCATGTTTCATTAACTAGATCAATGCTGCCACTTATTAGAGAAAGTAAGCTCATATGGGGCATAGACCACGACAGGCCATGTGCTAGGTCTGGGAAATTGCAGAGAGTTGCTATCATAAGGATCATTTTTTCAAACCACAAAAATATTTTAAGCTTATAACAATATTCAAACATTTAACAATATACCTATTAATAATAGCTTACAAGTCAAAAAGAATTCATTAGGGAAATCAAAACATTTCAAAGTAAATGCTAAAAATACTACACAAAATATTAACATAATCCAGAAAAAGCAGCTCGGAGAGAAAAATTTAAGCTTTAAATGCATAATCTGGAAAATAAGGAAACTTACACACTAATGATCTCAGTGTCCAATTAAGTAGTTATAAGAGGTACAGAAGAATATTTCCAAACAAAACAGAGATGAGGATATATTATGATGACAATAGAAGTTACAAAAAACAGACATTGAATAGGAACATTAAAAGAAGAGTGGATCTTTAAAAGTACTAATAGAATAGTGTTCCTCTATGTGGATATGTTCTAGAATTTCAAACTGACTTTGAAGAACTCACCAGAAGTGAATAGGACACAGCCACAAATGGATATAACTGCATTTAGAAAACGGCAAAGACCATGGAAGACATACAGCAAGCACAGTAACAGTTTAAGGAAGGGAAGGAGAGAGAGGGACGACCTTTCTATGAGGGAGCAGGATAGAGGTGTGCCCTGAATTTGAAGGACAAGAAGGAATGAGATATGCAGAGATCTAGGGAAAGGAGTTGTGAGGTGGGGTGGGTGTGGAGTAACAGAGAGTCCCAGGCCTGTCCTCCTGGACGGCCAGTGGAGTCATGCGCCATTGGCAGAGACCAGAGGCAAAGAGAATGATGCTGTGTGGATGCTGGGAAGCCTATGGGTCTTCCCTCCGGATTGTGGATCCCTTGAGAAAAGCAGGGAAAAAAAGCAGAAAAAAAAATCTTAATTTTCTCTAAGATACACACACACACATACACACACACACACGTATACATGTAAACAGTTGTTTAAAAACAAGGATACTACAGTGCTTAAAATTAAAAATTAAAATTGCGACCCTTCTTATCCACTTTTGATTCTTGCTCCCCAGATGCAAGGACCTTTTTTTGATATTTAACTCCATATTTTAAAATCAAATGCTTTCATCCAATCACTTGAATTTTTAGGTTTAGATCTTATCTTTTGAAGATGATTCAGCTTATGAATGTGACTCATCACACATACACTCACACACTCGCACACACTTGCACACTCAAATACACTCACAGACTGTCTCACACACATCTGCTCACACACACACTTGCACTGTCACACAAACTCCACACATTTGAGACACTAGCATTCACACACTCACATTCTCTCACACACACACTCTTACACACATTCACACACTCACATTCTCTCACACACACTCTTACACACATTGACACACTCACACTCACACTGGCTTCACCTTTCCCCAACTTAGTTACATCTTATTTTGTGGCAGATGATTATTACATATTTATAGCATCATGATTATGTAAATAGTGCTCTTGGCTAGAACACACAATGCACTATAATTACATTTCCTTTAATGAACTTTGTTTTCTTCAGCAGTAATCATCTTGTTGAAATCATTTTTTTTTTGCCCGTTTTTAATGTGCTTAGGACTGGTATATCTTGCAACTCCCCTGCAGATGCACACTTCCCCGTCAATGGGTGTCCCCTTGTCTGATAATTTCTTTCTTGCGTGTTCATGGGCGCCACTCTGGGATCCTTCGTCTTCAGGCTCAGTTTGAGCACGGTGCTCTCTGGGCTGCTTCACTGCTGGTGTCATCGCCATCCTGGACGGCCTCTTCCTTTCCTTCCTGGGTGAAGTCACTGTTTCTTGGAGCTACTTGGTTTATAGATGTGTTTTGTTAAATCATATACTAGAGTACTCTCCCCCAAAAAGGTGAATGGGTAATACCTGCTTCAAGTCGACATGCATGTATGAAAATGCCTTTATTCTTCCCTCCTACATGAACAAAAGTTGGGCTGAGTAGAAAATGCTATGTGAGAGATCTTTTCCTCTAGACATTTGAAGGCATTATCTATCTCCTAGCTTTCAAGGTTGCTGTTGAGAAGTTTGACAGCATTTAGATTCCCCAACACTTTGAATGAACCTGATTTTTCCCACTGAAAAATGATCTCCTACTTGCCTCATTAAAGTTTAGTAATGATGGGGCTGGTTTGGGTCTTTATAATCAATTGTACTGAAGAGTCTGCAGACCCCTTCAATTAATTTATTAAACACAAAGGTATCTAAGTTTTACCATGCGTCAAACATTTTCTGGGTCCTGGGATGCAGACAGAGCAGTGTTCTTGAGCATCTTACCCTCTAGCAGGGAGGCAGAAAATAGACAATAAACATCATGCATAACCAAATGGCTTTGTGATATGTTTTATGAAATTAAAGAAAAAGTAAATGAGAATGCGAGAGACAGGGGTAGTGGGTGGGTGGTTGCAACATGAAATGATGATGTGAGGGGGTGAGGAAGCCAAGAGTTGGAAATCTCATCCTGGGAGGAATGAAGAGCCATGCAAAGGCTCTCAATCAGCCCCTCATGCTGCCATAACAAAGTCCCACAGACCAGGGACTTAAACAGTAAACATTTATTCCTAGCCTTTCTGGAGGCTGGAAGGGCCAGTGTCAAGGCCCCGTAGGGTTTGTTTTCTGGTGAGTGCCTGCTTCCTGGCTTGTGGGTGGCCACCATCTCACTGTGTCCTTGCACAGTGGAGAGCGAGGGACAGCCAGGTCTCAGTGTTCATCCTTACCAGGGCATTGATGCCATCCTGAGGCTCTGCCCTCTGAGCTTGACTAAGCTTAAGTTAATCACCTCCAAACGCTTCATCTCCAGATACCCTTCCATTAGGGATGAGGGCTTCCACAGATGGATTTTGGGGTACACTTTTCAGTCCACAGCAGGCTCTGAGGTAAGCATGTTCCTGGCATGTTGAAGAAACATCAGGGAATTAGAGTGGCAGGAGTAGACTGACAGCTAGGGAGAGTCGTAGGTGATGAGGCAGACAGATCACAAGGCCCTTATCCATTTCTGGGGTGGGGATGGGGTGCTTTGGCTTTTCATCTGAGTCATGGAGGGACCCAAGCAGGCCTCTCGGCAGAGCGGTGATGATGAGTTAACACAGCTTTACAGTCTTACTCTCACTCCAGAGTTAAGGACGGCCTGTATGAGTGTAGAAGCAGGAAGGCCTGTTGGGAATATCCGTAGCAGTGTACACGAGAGATGAGGTGGGTACTCTCGGTACAGCAGCAGCAATGAAGGAGAGAAACGGTCACATTCTGAATACCTCCTGAAGGGAGAGCCAGTGGGACTTCCTGTTATATTGGAGGTGGAAAGAGAAAAGAAAAAGAGGAGTTTAAGATGATTGCAAATTTTTGGTTTGAGCAACTAAAAGGAAAGACCTAGCATTGCTGAGATGAGAAAGGCTGTGGTGAAGTGGAATTTGGGGGGATGGTGAGGCATCTAATTTTATACATTTTGAGTCTGAGATGACAGACATCCAGAGGATGTGACAAGTGCAGCTGGACAGATTAGTCTGGGATTAGGAGGAAAGTTCTAATCTGCAGACATAGAGTCCTCAAAGTAGGGATGATCTTCAAGACCTCACCCTGGATGAGAGCCACGGAGACAGTGAGTTTGGACCTCAGGGAGAATGTCCCATATTCAGGCACTCAGCATTTAAAGCTCAAAGAGAAGAAGAAGGGCCAGAACAGGAGGCTGAGAAAGAGCAATCAGTGAGGCGGGAGGGAGAAGCCAAAACAAGCAAGAAGGAGTGAGGTCGGGAAGCCATGCGAACACAGCACATGCAGGCTCTGCTGTGAGAGCAAACCACATGGCACCTGAGAACTGGCCACTGGTCTAGCAATATGAAAGTTACTGGTGACTGGATGCCTCACTGATGTCAGTTTAGAAGAGAATGAGGGACAAGCAACAGATAATCATCTTTGTTGCAAAACAGTAAAAAATATGTAGTAGTTGGTGGGAAAAGTGGGGTCAAGAGAAAACTGGACAGGTCTTATTTTTTCTTCTTCTTCTTTTTTTTAAATGACCTCTCCTGTTCTCCATTTCTTTGTGCTCTTAGTTTCTGAAAGTTTCCCTCAGAATTTTATTGAACCCATCTAATGAAGGTAGGTGTTCTACCTTGGCTTCCAGAATCTCCCCAGCAGGTCAGGTTCAAGTTGCCCCTGGTGGTAACTGGCTTGATGATACACCCATTCCTGGTGCCTTCTTCTCCCTGTCTCACTTGCCCACGTCGCTGTAGGTGTTCCCTTCACCTTTTGAATAAGCTAGTTGCACTTGAACCCTCTCCTTGATGAGGCTCCAAACCAAGACAGTCTGCTAAGTCACTTTTGCTTAGTCTTTCCTTCCCCATTTCCAAAATTGTGTTGTCCCTGTCTGTTCCCTTTGTTGTGTGGGCTTAGGCCTTTTGAAAAGTCCTTTTACTATGACTATAATTAGGCTTTGAGAAGAGAAAGAGCTAAGTGAGTGTGTCAAATTTGCCATCTTTAGCCAGGAGACATTTCTCAATCATCATGATATCAGCGACCTCATCAAGGAGAAAGAAACACAGTTCTGACCTGTCATCTGTGATTCTGCAAAGTTTACTGGAGTCTAAAAGTTGGTCTCCATGCCAAAGTTAGCTTTGCCCAGGTATGACAGTATTTCATCTTTGCAGGCCGTAAATAAGCCGTGAGCACTTACCGTCAGTGTGGGAAGTGGACGGATACTTGAGGCTGCCGAAACCCCACTGCCAGCCCGTTCATCCTTGGACCGTGAAGCCACCCTCATTAGCACTAAATGCAACATTGCCATCAAGGTCACTCGTAGACACTTGAGTTTCTTTATCACCTGCACAACACCAAGCAAAATGAAAAGACCATCTTCTCAAATCAGGATCTGGTGAGGCTGGTGTTGCCCTGATGGTTACATTAGAACGGACTGAATTGTTTTCATTAAAATGCAACCCCATTACTATAGATGAGAAAGGAACTCCACCGAGGGAGATTTCAGATCTATGTTTTGTTTCACTGAATTATGGAAAATTAACATGCTTCTGTCTTCACTCCTAAAGGTAATAACACTCTCTCAATGGGAGGCATGGAGCGCATATGATTAGGCAGCCTGGAGGAGTGAGGCATGTGTCTAATTTTGCTCTCAACAACAACAACAGCAACAAAAATACCTGTTCATTAAAAGCAGAGAAGAGATATTTATATATCAAATTAGTTCTTTTGATTTAATCCCTGGAGTAAAATGTCATAAACAGGTATTAATTTGGGTCTGTTTACTAAAAATTTAATGCCTGCAGAAAATCTATTTGAATCATCACAAATGTAATATTGTCTACCAAGATGAAAGTGGGGAATTATAGCAGCAATTTGGGATGAAACTTGAGTGTACTGGAGCTGGTGTGTGCCCAAGCACAGACTAATTAATGTCTGTGTGCTGCCCAACTCGCAGATTCACACTCAGCAGAGCATCAATTAGAGGGGTCAACCTAATCCACATGCCTTACTAAAGCAATAAAATCACTTCTTCCATTTCTAAATATTATTGCTGCTAATATGTGGCCCTTAAATGTGTGTTCTTAGCTCTCTTGATGAAAGGGATTAATTATCAGGATGATTATTTCACCATATGATTTTGTTGCTCTGCCTGATAAAACAAAAGACATTTCCTGGGACAAGAGGAGGGATAGCCAATAAAGTCATTCTGTGTAAACACCGCAGCACTGAAACCAACAAACGGTTGTGTCCATGGTAATGATGTCCCCAGAGAATGGCATTGTGGGGAGTATGGGGACCTTTGATCCAGGCTCCTTAGCCAAGCAAAAGAGAGGAAAGGAATTTTGTTTTTTCAGATCATTCAAAGGCAATTCCAGACCCCCCCTATTGCTCCTGTGCTTGCAATATTTATTTTCTTTGAGTATTCCAGGTATTACAGTGTTTGGGTCAAAAGACCAGAGAAAATGGCCTTAATTTTGTGTTTCTTTCAGCTAACTAGCTTGTAAGTGTTAATTTCAAGGGTTTGTGAAGTATCTGGGATACCTAAAGTCTCTCTGCATACCTGGCCTCCCATTTCTGCCACAGCCCTGCAGGGGAAATCAGGGCATCTCTATGTTACCAATGAAAACATTCACATGCAGAAATAGTAATTGGTTCTCTAAGGCCAGAGAGTTGGAAATGTTTAGCCAGGACTTGAACAGAGCTCCACCCCATTTTCAATCCTGTTTTCTTTTAACTGTACTAAGTTGTCTCAGTCTACCTAAAACACCTATCTGAGGAACAACATCCTTCAGAGTCCAGGGAATTGGGGCCATGGCTTCAGGCTGTGGTCAGCCCTTATCTAGGGGAATCTTGCCTGGTGGCTTAGAGACAAAGCTGCTGCCCCAGCCCATGGGCAGTAGGGTGGCTCACTGAACAGGGCATCAGTAGCTTCCTGTCCACATACAACTGGGGAAGAGTGAGCTTTGTTCCTCTTGAGGCTGAGGGCCAGAGGCCTTGGAATGAAACCAGGGTCTCAGATTTCAAATCCACCTTTGTCCACTGGGCCCCTTCCTGAGCAAGCCTCTCAGTGTCCAGGGGTCCTTGGGAAGCTCTGTGCTGTGCCCAGGGCAGCTGGCTGGCTGTGTGGCCTGTTGTCTTGTTGGACTTTTTCCAGGAAGAGGATCATGTTCCCATCCCTTCACCTGAAACTGCCCAGTGGAGCTCAGCCCCATCCCTCTCTCTGAGATTGGAGTGTGTCAGGGATTTTTTTTTCCTTTCTTGTTTCCTTTCTGTTGTTTCTAGAGACACAGATTCTTTTCTACTGGGCTGGGAGCCATTCCTCTAACCCTGACGTTTAGCCTGAAGCCTTTGCTTTCTCCTTCTCAGAGTAGTCCTTTGAAGGCCAGCCTGCTTTCATCTGTGTGCACCATGCTCAGATGGGCTTAAACAACCCCCTACAGTCTCAGAAATTTCAAGATTTTCTGCTCAGTTTGGGCTGCACAGAAACCAAAGACCAGTTTGGACTATCTACTCCCAAGGAAGATTGCTCATTGCTGACATAAAACCAAGAGATTTTTATCAGAATTCAATGCCAGCTAGGCATAGCTTAGCTTCGTAATATGAATATGAAAAAAGAAATTTTAAGATAATTTATGATAGAGCCGGTACAGTGATTCTAAGATTCATTAGTTGTCATGGTACCCCTCCACACTCACATGCACATACATACAATCATACCCTCAACTTGGGCGCTCTAAATATGGAAAGTTCATTGTAGGAGGTTCCTGGGTGGGGAGACCAAGCTCCAAGATGACAAGCTCAATGACAGAATAAATCATTGTGCCTCAGTCTTCACCTCCAAGTCATAGCATTTAATACCATGACTGATAGATGGCAAGAACACAACAACTGATGAATCAAAAAATGAATGGACAATTAAAAGAACAAAATAGAAGCAGAAGAAGGCAGCATATCTGCTGCTTTAGACCTTCATGATGTTGGCCAAATTCAGCCACTTCGTTTCCTTCATAGGATCTCATGGTGATGCTGTGAATCCTCTCTAACCAAAGCCCTTCTAGTCAGATATCTTAAATTTATTGTCAATAATACCTTTCATTTACTTACACAAAAGCTTCTATAATGTGGGTCCAACTGTTGAGCTGTTGTGCTAGGCCTGAAATAAATATGTAACAACTCTTATATTTTGAAGTTGTCTTTAATTTGGCACTGGAATCTCAATTGCAGCACAATTGCTGTGACTTCAGAGCTGTGCATCTCCTTTTGCAAAAACACATAAATAATTAAAGAAAACCGAAAGAAAGAAACAAGAAGCCAGCACTCACATCTTGGTGGTGCATTGAAGCCCACATGTAGGAGCTCAGGAGAGCCAATGATAAGGTCAGTGATGCTTCGATGGTCACTCAAGATCAGCCATGGCAGGGGTATTTACACCAGGGGAATGGGACAGAGGAGAGTGGGTAAGCTAGCACAGCTTCCCAGATCCCACCTGACTTCTCCCTTCCCTTCTCTGCAGGATCTGCACTCCTCAATAGACACATGGTCTGCAGCAGTTGTTCCCAACCTTTTTGGCACCAGGGACTGGTTTCATGAAAGATGGACAGGGGTGGGGAGGATGGATTTTTTTTTCCCCATTGACTGGGGGTGGGATGGTTTTGGGATGATTCAAGAACATTACATTTATTGTGCACTTTATTTCTAGTATTATTATGTTGTAACATATAATGAAATAATTATACAACTCACCCTAATGTAGAATCAGCGGGAGCCTGGAACTTGATTTCTTGAAACTAGATTGTCCTATCTGGGAATGATGGGAGATAGTGATAGACCATCAGACACTAGATTCTCATGAGGAGTGCACAACCCAGATCCCTGGCATGTGGAGTTCACAACAGGGTGTGTGCTCCTATGAGAATCCAATGCCACCTCTGATCTAACAGGAGATGCAGCTCAGGCAATAATGTGAGTGATGGGGAGTGGCTGTGAGTACAGATGAAGCTTCACTTGCCCACCACTCACCTCCTGCTGTGTGGCCCAGTTTTGGGATTGGGGACCCTTGGTCTATAGAATGCCTGGCTCAGGTAGACACGATGCCATGCTTCCTATTGTGCACGTTGCTTTTGGTCAGCAGTGCAGGCAGAGAAATGCAGGCTGCAATGGTTGTTTATAGTAGCAGAACACAACAGTCTGCTTTCTGTTTTGGAATCAGGGTCTTGGGCTCAGCTCATGCACTGGTGTACTGACTCCTGTTTTTGTTTGTTTTTTTGTTTGTTTTTGAGACGGAGTTTCACTCTTGTTGCCCAGGCTGGAGTGCAATGACATGATCTCGGCTCACTGCAACCTCCACCTCCTGGGTTCAAGTGATTCTCCTGCCTCAGCCTCCCGAGTAGCTGGGATTATAGGCATGTGCAACCACGCCCAGCTAATTTTGTATTTTTAGTAGAGACCAGGTTTCTCCATGTTGGTCAGGCTACTCTCGAGCTCCTGACCTCAGGTGATCCGCCCGCCTTGGCCTCCCAAAGTGCTGGGATTACAGGCTTGAGCCACCACACTCGGCCTCCTATTTTTAATTAAAAGGGTAAATTCAGAGAGAACATCAGTGAATTGGAATAAATGTGTTCATTTCTCTCTAGACAGAAGGTCCCTGTGAGTCATGGTGCACTGAGCTGGACAACAAAACCTCGCCCCCAGTGTTCCAGGGGGCCATGTGGATGGGAGTAGGAACAAGGCCTGGGGACCCCATTCCTTGAGCTCAACTCTTGACCTTACCATCATCACAGCAAGTTTCTGAAACTTTCTGCACCTCAGTTTCTTCACCTTTACTGCGGATGTCCAGGTAGCACCTAAGAGATGAGTTTGTCTTGAGTGTTAAGGGAGGAGATACACCTGAAGCTCTTGGTACCGTGCCTGGATTGCAAATGTGCTTCCTTAATGATGTCAGCAGTTGTTGTTATTTTTCTTTGCCATTACAATGTTATACCAATCCTATGGGATGTTATTGTTTTAAAACTGCCTGTGAGTATTATAAACAATATCAACAACAAAACCAAGAAAAATGCCGCTCTCTACTTCCCCTGTGGAAAACCACAATGGCCGTAAGTGTCTGAACAGTTGAAAAACCTTTCAGCAGTGAGACTGGTTAACTTTAACTCAAGAGTTTTGCAAACATACTTGAATAGGCACCTATCAGCTGCTGGGGCTGGGAAGTATGGTTGCACCCACCTTACTGTGGTTGGCTCAGCTTGGAGGAGCCCTGGGAGACCTGCAGAGAGTGTGGGTGCTAGAGCCTTCTGCAGGGCTCAGGACACATTCCCCAACACACCCAGGGCCAATAATTTGCACTGGGATACAGAGAGGAGGCTCGGGGCCTCTGTCAACAGATTGCCATCCACTTAGATGAGTAAATGGGTAAGAACCTCCTCGGGCCTTCCTGGGAGACCCGGATGTGTGAGGACCGTTCTGGGCCCTTGACCCCTGGTGTGTCTCCACAGTGCTGGCCCCGTGGTGTGGTGACATCTGTCTGTCTGTCTGGTCTAGCATCCAGCACAGTCCTGGGCACATGAATTGGTGCTGATGCTGCTGAAGGAGTGAATGCAGGCCAGAAGGAAGGAGTGCTGGGGAAGAAGTGAGCCATGGAGCAGGTGGGTCAGGGGGCAGGGCAGTTTACCTGACCAAGCTCGGGGGAGAAGGCAGCTTCAGAGACAGGCTGGAGGGAGGGTGGAAGGAGGAGAGTCCTTGTGCGAATGGTGGTCGCAGATAGCATGGAGGCTTGCCCCCTGCAAAGCCACCCTTGGGCACAAAGACCAGGGAGAGAGAGGAATGCAGGAATGGGGAGTGAGGGGCTGCTGAGATCCAAGGACCTGGCTTTCTGCCTCAGAAGCTTGGTGTGCAGCTGGGAGGGGCCGAGTGCAGAAATGCTCCTCTGTAAGGATCAGGACTTTAGCAGATGCCAGCAAATCCACTTGCACCCAGAGTAGGAGTGCAGAGGGAGGCGATGTGGTCAGAGGTGAAGGAGAGAGAGCAAGGAGCCTGATCAGGAATGAGGGGGCGTGGTCAGGAGTGAGGGGGCATGGCCAGTGTGCGGTGAGTGAGGGGGCGTGGTCAGGGGTATCAAGAGCGAGGGGTGTGGTCAATGATGAAGGAGTGAGGTGGTGTGGTCAGGGATGAGGAGAGTGAGGGGGTGTGGTCAGGAATGAGGCGAGAATGAGGCATAGTCAAGAATGAGAGTGAGGGGGAGTGGTCAGGAGTGATGAAAGATGGGGGTGTGGTCAGGGGTGAGGAGAGTGAGGGGGTGTGGTCAGGAATGAGGCGAGAATGAGGCATAGTCAAGAATGAGAGTGACGGGGAGTGGTCAGGAGTGATGAGAGGGAGGGGGTGTGGCCAGGGGTGTGGGTCCAAAATGAGGAAAAGGAAAAACCAAATACCAGAAGAAAAGTTGGACCCAGAAATCGCTTTTTTACAACAAGCAGCCGTTCTCGGAATTTTGCTCAGTGCGTCTGTATTCAGGGAGCGAGACCCTGGGGGAAGCCTGTGCAGGAGACAGAGGGCAGCCCCACCTCATTCTTCTGCTGGTCACTCTGTGCTCAGGCAGGAACCACGGACAGAGGCCTCCCAGTTCACTCGGGGACATATCCGCAGATGTGAGAACTCAGAGAGATGTTCAAGTTTCCTAAGAGGGCTTCAATCATGGCTCACAGGTGACACAGGAGAAATCCAAGTGGGCTTCTCAATTTGTTAAACTTGTTTTTCCTCCTCATATGCTTTATAAACAAAAATGGAAGAATTTAATATATGTACAGAGCAGCAAATGTTCTCTCCCTGTTGCTTTCAGATGTTTTCCTCTTATGTAAACAGTGTTGATGAAAATATAAATACCATCATTCCACCTTCATGTTAACAATCTTATTATCTTGCATCAACAGAAGTGAACAAATATGTACATGACACCTATCAATTCCTTTTTAAAAAACGTATTTCTAAAGAGTGGAGGAAGAATTTAATGAATTCAACATGTAGTTTACCTGCTTATATTTTGAAGGCGATTTAATCAAGTAAAACCAAATTATTGCTTAAGTTGTGTCAGATGTACAACAGCCATCAACACTCTCCATGCTAATGCGGGGTAAGGGGTGGGTGGAACTAATGGCAATGGGTCCAAGTCCTCTGGGTCAGGCGATTAGGGGCTTGGCAGGCTGGAGAGAATGTTTAGATGCTGGGGCAGGATATTTCAACCTGCTGGTCAGGTAAGAGATATTTGCTGGCAGTGAAAGGAATATTTTTTGTGGAACAAATTGCTAGGAAGAGGTCACTTGGGGGGCATTAGATGAGAGAAATATCAAAGCCAAACTCCAAATCAGTCTAAGGGGGCTAAGGAAAACGGAAATCACTACTGATTCCATCTCCTCATTGGTTTCGCTTATTCCATAGCATACTTTCTTTTTCCATCTTCCATCACTTCATATTCTTTTCTCCTCCATTCTTCGGGGTTTTTTTTCTTCTACCTCTTTGTAACAAAGAAGCATTTAGGAACAATTTTAGGAGACAGTGAGACAAAAAAATAATTTAGAGAAGACATGATAATATACTCTGTGTGTGTGTGTGCGTAAAACATATTAATATATTTGATTTGCCAAGAAAGATAAACTGGGATTTTTGAGATTTAAAAAATTCATCATGGCCAGGCGCAGTTGCTCATATCTGTAATCCCAGCACTTTGGGAGTCCACAGTGGGTGGATCGCTTGAGGCCAAGAGTTCGAGACCAGCCTAGGCAACATGGTGAAAACCTATCTCTACTAAAAATACAAAAATTAGCCAGGCATGGTGGCGCACACCTGTAGTCCCAGCTACTCGGGAGGCAGAGGCACGAGAAATGCTGGAACCCAGGAGGTGGAGATTGCAGTTAGCCAAGATCACACCACTGCACTCCAGCCTGGGCAGCAGAATGAGACTCTGTCTTCCAAAAAAAACAAACAAAAAAGCCATGGTATGTCTGGTTATATTAATCTCCAAACCAGCTAGTGTTTAGTATTGCTAGAGCTATAATAGAATCAGGAATAGGAAACAGATAGGAAAAAAAGGAATTTTACAAGGATTTATATTTGCAAAGAAAAAAGGACTTATTTAGAATTGTTTGTTGAAATTCCCCCAAGACTATTTTTTGAACTTATATATGTAGACAACAACAAGAAAAGGAGCTTAGGAGTTCTCACAGGGTTTAGGAACTACTAGACCTTGTGTATTATGTTCATCTCAGCACTCAAGCAAGTAAAGGATAACTAGAACATGGTATCTCACAGTGAATAACATGGTTGGTTACTTTACTAGGCTGACATATGGAGATAGGGCCTATAGGAGCAGGGCTTTTCTTATGAATACCAGAGAGACACCCAGGTTCAACTGCATGTACAGTGCATGAGGGATTAGCTTTACAGTGTTATCTGCAAAGTACCTAAAGGTGTTCTCTAACTAAGCACCAACTTCTTAGCCTAGTCCTCTTAGGCACACACAAAAAAATATCTAATACTAAGCTTATAGGAATACTTTATTTGGTCACTTGGTGGGGGAAGGTTGCTGAGACATATAACATTTAATACCTAAAGGTAGGAGGAAGCAAGGAAAGAGAAAATGCAGAAAGGAAGAGTAAGAGCCCAAAGAAGGGTGCCACCTCTGTAGACTCTCTAACAGAATTAAATTGACAATCTTAAGATAACAGAAGTAAAAGGGCATGCCTTGAGGGAAGCATCAATACACTTTTGGAATCTGAGGCAAAAAGTGAAATGATTTACCTCTTGCCAAGTCTATTGTCATTGCCCCATGGGAGGTTCCCATTTCTTCTACTCTTGAATGCACAAGTAATATTCCTTGCCTAAGGATTAGCATGCTGTGATAATGGTGGTAATGACAGCTGCCTTAAATTAGTGGCAAATTCAGAATGAAACACTGACCACCAGGCTATGTTTCTGAATCCAGTCTATGCCCTCGAATGTATTCAATCTACTTTCTGTGGTATCCCCGAGAGCTGTGGCAAAAGAGTTGTATGGTAGGGGCAGGCTCCTTATGGGGGCATAAATGGCTTCAGAAAACAAGTATTCCATCTTCTCACCATGACTTTTTGGCTTTCTTTTTTTTTTCTCTTTTCTCCCAGACTACTAATTTCCAGTTTCTTCTCTACCAGTCTGGATGCCCATGGTGAACTTTAGAGATATCCATCAGCTCCATCAATTCCCTCAACTACATCTACCTAGCTTTTGAGCCCAGAAGAACCCAATCATGTGTGTTCTCCTCAGCTCCCAGGCTGCTGAGCAATGCTGGAGAAAAATCACAAAACTATACAGTTTGGTATCTCTCCAGAATTATGGTTTCCAGCTTGAGTTGGAAATTCAGAATTACTTCAAAATGTTTAAATTTGTTTCTGGTCAGTTTCCTCCTTCATTTCCCAGTTTCATTTATCACTCTATTTAACTTGTTACCCATCGCTGTCTGCTATTAACCTTGCCTCCTTTTACACGAGAAAACAGAGGCCATCAAATGGCATTTCCCATCACTCCATCACTCCACCTCTGTCAATGAATCCACCAGTAACATCTCAGAGATCCTTCTGTCTAGCACTGATGATCTTATTGTATCAGTTACTCCTTCTTCCTTTTGTATTTTCAATGCTCCTATTGGCCACCAACATGCTTTAGCTGTTCTCATCTAAAGAAACAATAACAACCACAATAAACTAACAAACAATAAACCATCTTTAACAGACCTTACCTTTTCCTCTTTTGCGCCACCTTCAAGCTTCCTAAACTCAGATTTATTCCTCAATCCATTACAATCTGGTTTCTAATTAAACAATTTTTTGCCAGCATCACCAAAAACTTCTGAATTGCTAGTCTCCAAGGTCCTTTCTTCAACCTCATTGTTTTCTTTCTTTTAAAAGTCAAGTTCACTGAAGTATAATTTACGTACAATAAAATTCGCCCTTTTAATACTCTTTTACCATCTAATAAGTTTTGCCTTGTATGTTGGTTCCCTGAGACCTGTAAAACAACTCCCAAATCCCAAACCCCTTTGCTTCATACACAAATCCCTTTGGAATGTCTCAGCAGATATAACACAGGTTCAAGTTCTTTCTTCAGTCATCAGAGTAACAGAGGTTGAAGATGCAATCAAATAAGTGCCAACTCTTGCTGCTCCTGTTTCAAACAAGGAAATTTAGATAATTGTTATACACATTTCTGCAAATAAAATATTCCAGTGCTTACATCAATCCTTAGTTGTTAGGATTAAATATTCACTACTTACAGTTTCCAACACAATTTTTTTTTAAAACATGGCCATTTCTTTTTTTTTTTCTTTTTTTATCTTTTTTTGAGACAGATTCTTGCTCTGTCGCCCAGGCTGGAGTGCAATGCCACGATCTTGGCTCACTGCAACCTCCGTCTCCCAGGTTCAAGCGATTCTCTGGCCTCAGCCTCCCGAGTAGCTGGGACTATAGGCATGCACCGTCATGTCCAACTAATTTTTGTATTTTTAGTAGAGACGGGGTTTCACCATGTTGGCCAGGATGGTCTCGATCTCTTGACCTTGTGATCTGCCCGCCTTGGCCTCCCAAAGTGTTGGGATTACAGGCTGAGCCACTGCACCCAGCCACTATTTATTTTTGAAGTTCACTTTGTTCATCAAAAAGAAGCCTTTCATAATTCTCCTCCAAGTTCTTGATACTCTAAAACAAAAAGTATAGTTCACAGATAAACCACCACTTTTCATCTCACGTTTCAAACACAGCAATTTAAATTTCAAAGGAAACAGCATTTAACTTGGTTATTTATTCCACATTTAAAATTGTAATAAATACATGGAGCTTGAAATACCCACTTATTTTTCTTTTCTTTTTTTTTTTTTTTTTTTTTTTTGAGACCGAGTCTCACTCTGTCACCAGGCTGGAGTGCAGTGGCGCAATCTTGGTTCACTGCAACCTTCACCTCCTGGATTCAAGCGATTCTCCTGCCTCAGCCTCCTGAGTAGCTGGGACTACAGGCGTGCAACACCACGCACATTTACATTTTTTAATGCCAGATTTGAGAGAAGTATTATTTAGCAGGTACAACAGTCATGTACTTTGCTTGAAAAAATGAGTTGAGGAACAGTTAAAGACAAGATGGAGCCATTACAAAAAAAGACTGGCAGCCCTATATCATGAAATATCATATTTTTTTCACCAAGTAGTGACCCATTTATTGTCACTCATAACTCAGGTAACATGATTTCCACTGATGGGATAAAATGGTCTCTGATATGAACTCATCAAGTTAGAGAAAACATAACTTACGTTTGAAATGTATACTATTCATTCAACAAATAGTTAAATAGTTCCCACTACCTAAAATGTTGTATGTTAAGTACTGAGAAAGAAGTAAAACATGAATACACAATCTCTTTCATATTCCTGTGACATGAGCAAAGGCAGGAATAAAATAATACAAAAATTTATAATTGGTATGGAAGTGCAACTCACTCGGGCATGTAGGCAAAAATGGAGATTGATGCTGGCATAGTTGGCAAAAGAATCATATTTCAATCAGTTCATAAAAAGATTTAAAAGCATTGTGAGGGAAGAGCATGAGCAAAACCTGGAGGTAATGATGAGTTCCTTCAGAGAAGGCTATCAACCAAGAGAGGTGGAAGGAAAGACAGAATGGAACGAAACAAGCCTAAAAGGGGGTCATGTAAAGGGGAGTGTCTCTAACTATCTAAGAATTTAGAAGTGGACACCACAGACAGGTTGGGAGGAGGGAAGGGCTAGGTTTTAAGAAGATAATATTGCCAATCTATAAAGGATGACTCAGAGGAGAAAAGAGAACTCAGCTAAGAGTTTAATAGTACAAGCAACGAAAGATGATGTGAACTAGGGCAGCAGCAGTGGGAATTTAAAGAAGGAAATTAAAGGACCACAGCAGAGGTAAAAATTGCAGGGCCTAATGATAACTGCATGGGAAGCATAATGGACTTGGAATAGTCAAAGATAATACCAAAGCTCCTACCCTGGTAACATGTAGCAATAACATTGAGAATAAAACTTTTCTATTCAAATGTTCACATCAATTAATAAATGTTTTGTGGGAACATTATAGCAACATATTCTGTACTTGTGAGTTCTATTGAAATAACTGTCTTATAAATATATATTTCTTAAGTGGCTTAAAAATTGTATGTTCAAACTCTTTTACCAGTTTATTTAAATCATCTAAGTTAGTTTGGAAGAGTGACACATAAACATGTATTTTCACAAGGCTATTAAAAAGAATACCTCCCCCCCAAAAAAAGAATTTCATTGGCTCCTAAATAGTATATATCTACATGAAGAAGAGGTCATTGTCAGAGGAAAAATCACTCATGTGAAATACAACAGCAGATAATTATCAATGCACAAAGTGTTAATAATCTGCTGGCTTTCTCATTCTGTTATACCTCTGAACCATCTCTTATGATTACAAATTGTTATCCAGATAATGAAATAATCTGCACAAGGAACCCCCATGATACAAGTTTAACTATGTCACAAAACTGCACTTGTACCCCTGAACTTAAACATTTAAAAAATTGTCATGTAAAACCATCACTAGTCACTCATAATTTTGAAAGCAAATTTGCCATGAAACACTCATATATTACAGCAGAAAATGAAAGAGATATTCAATAGTTACACTTGCCTACGTCCTATTGAGCCAAAACTGTTGAAACAAGACAAGGAAAAGACATCTAGAAAGGATTTAGGGACTTTCTGCTTTCCACTCTAGATTTATCGCTGATCTTTTAAAAGCTGATTGGTGAACGTAAAATGTTAATATGTGATCAATTTTACACACAACATGTCTATTTCTAGATGAAATATCCAATTTACATTTTCCTATTCTAAATAATTCCCACAAAACTGTTAATGAATCCTAAAAATACAAATACATTTACCAATTATGGTAAATCTGGAACAATAAATTCAAAATGGAAATGATAATTAAACCAAAATATTTTTTCCCATAAACTGGGAAGCAAGAAACCTGTCTTCTATTTTTATGTATGCATTGTATTTTATAAGAATGTATTATGTTACCAAATATAACAGACCTTTTCGAATTGCTCATGTAACAGTTGGATTTTTTCAGTTTCTCTCTCTGGACAAACCTAGCATGTAGATAAGCCTTTAGTTGCTCTTGAAGTATTTTCTAGAAATATAAAACAAAAAATGACAAAAATTGGATAAATTTTAATATTTACAAAACATAATTCTACACTTTTAAAGGAATCCTCTTCAAATCAATACTTCTTAATCTTTTCTGCTTAACAACATCTATGACCAATTTTAACTCATTATGTTCACTATTCATATGCCAAAACAATATAATTATCCTTTTCTTCAGTCACTAATAAAGAATTTTCTTTCTCATAAATATTCAACACATATGTCCTAATTCTTGATTTCAAACTTCCAGATGACCTTTCCTAATATTTGTTTACCACAGATAGGTAGTATCTATACAATAATCCTACCTAACAGAAATTAAGTGAGAAATATTCTTTCTTACTAATATTTTAAACATGTATTACATCTCGATCATTTCACTATGCACAGAAATTAATATTCCAATAATGCTGGCCTTTCTGCTCTTCTGCTCCTTGACCTAATACCCAACAACAGCATTCTCCCCTCCTCTGCTTGCCACTCACATAGTCATCCCCTAGATTTTCTCATTCCCAATAACTGCAACATCTACATAATATTATTGATAGCAATGATAAACGGGAACCATAGGTCAGATAGGATCATGAAAATTGTTAATAAACTCATTACATAAGAGCTCTTTAATCCTCGAAAAATCTCTGATGTAGGTATTCTTACTATGTCCCTTTTCAAAGATAAGAAAACTGGAGCACAGAGATAATTTGCCCATGGTTTCAGAGCTAGCCAGGGTCAAACTGGAGTTGTATCCCCAGCAGTGTGGTTCCAGAGTCCAGGTCCTTGACCACTGCACTTTGCTGTTTCTCCATCTTTCCAACATACAACCACTATCTCCCTACTCTTGTAGGAGACTCACTTTGGTATACAGCTCAGTGGTCTATAAAGACCTAACACCCATGAAATGGAACACTTTTTGTGGCTCAGCACCACACCCCTATGTGCTCACTTTCCTCAGTGCCAGCCTAAATTCCATAGCCAGTCATCATAACTCCATCCTTGGGTATATTCCCTCCCCACTGCTCCCTCGTCACAGTGCTCTGATACACCCCAGAGGAGGATATTCCAACTCTACTCTGCTCTTGCACAAATATGCCAACTGGGCTCACTTTAACTTCAAAATCGCCATAACACTAACCTCAGTGGGACCTCTAATGCTACTTGGCAATTATATTCCCCTAGTCCGTTAATGGGAACCCTCTCTGAGCTCATGTTCTCTACCTTCTTTGCTTTGAATTTCAGCATGAACTCTTACTACTTGAGGTATTGATACAATGGATTAATTATCAAGTTAATCCTGATACCAACAGCTAGTTTTTCTTCTTGTTTCTGAGTCTTCTTCTTCATGTCTGTGTTCCAGCCTTGAAACAACTTCCAAAACTGCTTAAAACATTTGTAATGAAGTTTCTGCCTGCAACACATAATAAGGAACATGGTCATACTTCATAAGGAGATGAAAACTTAATTGAAAGCAAGACAAAATTGATTTCATAGAATTCGTAGTACAAAATAAGGACATAATAGCAGCTGAAAACTTCTCATTGGAAAAGGATGAAGTTTCTCTCATTCTAAAAGCATTTCTTCTGACTACTAGAGAAGCTGTCTCACATTCTTTATCTCTTAAAACCAAAGGAAGATGGACTATGCTATAAATTTCCCAGAAACATTCATTTTCACTAAAAGCAGTTTACTTTTTATTTCCTCTTAGTAGATTCAATGAGGATATCATAGCCATTCATCCCATAAGATCTCCCAAAAGAAATATTTCACTTAACTATTTCTACACTTTGGCACAACAATGATTTTGTAAAAGGAATAGTGAAAAAATATTAAACTAAACTATATATCTTATTTACAACATAAGATTACCCCTTTCTACATCATTGAATACTGTTAAGGATCAGAAGACTAAACATCAAAGACATTTACCATGTATTCAGCTAGCATATTTCTAGAAATTAATATAAATTAATTTTACAGGAAGACTCTACTCTTATATGAATGGCAAAAAGACGTCATCTTCCTTGGCTTCTAGGTAATAGATTTCAATTCTGTCAAACTGAGGTTATAAAATTAAAGAAACTTATGTGCTTGGAGAAAAATCAAGTAAAATATATTCTTCACTGGAGACTCCAATAATTACAGGATAGTGGTTGTCTGAAATTATTTGCAGCAATGAATACAAAGCAATGATACAAATATCACGGTTCAAAAAAGCCAACAGCCATACTTTGCTCTCCGTGTGTTTTCCAAACATGTTTGATTTTTTTGATAGAAGCATTTGTATTCATTTCAAACTTTTTTCTCTTTGCAAGAAGAGCCTGTTTAATGTCAGTGAGATAGTAAACGAAAATTAATTAAAAGGTAATGTTGAAAAGTAGTTTCTTCACATATATTCAAAACAATATGGGATATGATGTTTCAGCAACTTTAGAAGAACATTAAAAATTTATAATGCAAGCATCATTTCAAAAAGCAAGATTTGCTCACTTAATTTCTGTGAAAACATTCAGATATTGGTACTCCTATTCTACACGATATAACTGAAGATCACTTTTAATTAATAGATGGAAACAAAGGCTAATAATGAAAATAGTTGCTATTTTTAAATGTGCATAAAGGGTTACAAACACAATCTTTTATTTTTAAATTTATAAATCGTCCTACAATTCAAATGACATGTTTATATGAAATATTGTCACAACCCATTGCATAAAACACACAAAAGTAATTTATTTAGGCTGGGTGTGGTGGCTCATGCCTGTAATGCCAGCACTTTGGGAGGCCGAGGCGGGCGGATCACGAGGTCAGGAGATCGAGACCATCCTGGATAACACGGTGAAACCCCGTCTCTACTAAAAATACAAAAAAATTAGCCAGGCGTGGTGGCGGGCGCCTGTAGTCCCAGCTACTCGGGAGGCTGAGGCAGGAGAATGGCGTGAACCCGGGAGGCGGAGCTTGCAGTGAGCAGCGATGGTGCCACTGCACTCCAGCCTGGGCAACAGAGCGAGACTCCGTCTCAAAAAAAAAAAAAAAAAGTAATTTATTTAATAAGACCATCAAAAGTGTAGAAATAATACAAAATAAGAAAATTATGTTTAAGCAATCCAATGACTGGTGCTTTTAACTATATTTTACTAAAAGTAGCAATGTCCGTGGGTTTAAACATTTAAGTAGATAAATAAATACAAGGACACTTTTGAAATATTTTCTTGGAGATTTTTATATGATATTTTTATCCATAGTGCTGTGTTTCAGAAAACTGTAATACTACAAATCCTTTCCTAAACATGGTTTCACATCAGACATCTACCATTAATTGCTAGTTTTCAGCAACCATAAAAGAACTGCATCATAATATGAATATTTTTACATACAGTATCCACCTATAATACTCAACTTTTTAGGCAGCTCACAACACCAGCACTTTGTCACCAACATGAACAGCAAAGCTTGTCACATATACTGCCTGTGTGAATTGTCTCTATAGAAGAGTCAAAAATTAAACTGGACTTTTTAAAAATAAGAGCATTGTCTCTACAGTCTTGACAGAAATTTACTCAGACTTGTTAAAGAATATGGTCCTATAACATAGTCAGTGCAAGGATTATTTCACATGGCAATATAAAATTTATGAGTTTCTAGATCCAATTACATGTTTCTCACTTTGTAGAAAAGTTGTCTTTACTTTTCTACTACACAGTTGATTAATGGAATAATAATGAAAAAGAACCATTTTAGAGAGTTCCATTTTGAGTGGTACTCCAAAGAAAACAAAATCAGAAAGCAATGAAAACAGAATTGCTAAATTAAGAACATGAAGAACTCTGATATTAAAAACTGATGTATCACTTCATCTGTGTATACAAAGAAGAATAGAGCTAATTCTCTGGGAAATAACTGAAATGGCACTAGGCTCATAGCTGTTGTTTGTGGCTTCTCAGGTCTATAACTTTTCTATTCTCTCAGAGCCTCTAAGTGATTGAAAGCAGTGAATGGAATAACTATAGGGTGCACATTATGATCTAACTGATTTAGTAGATGGAGCTCTTCTCTTTAAGTCTGTATTTAAATGAACATCCCAGAGAGAGTGGGGCTCTCTCTTTTAAGGTATGTCATACTACACACATAAAATTGAGGCCTGCATAGCTGGAGAAGAGATTTCCTGGTGCTTTTCAAAAGACATGAAGCATTTGTTCTGAAATGCAAAACCGTGCAGGGGAACACTAAGGATGGGGTGGGTTTGTTGATATTCTTAAGTATGAAGTTAAATCCAGCAGTTATTGTAGAATATACTTATTTATTAGCTGTTTTGTAAATGTAGAAAAATATACTGCACTTGCAAGATTTTGGCGATATTCATTGCAAATCTACCAAGCTATCCAAACTGTGGAGATCTCCTTTCATTTGATTCTTCAAAGGAATCTTAATACTGTGATGCACTTTTTTCATTTAATTAGTCTAGAGAACCTGACTAAAATGTCAGTGTGACAGCACAGTGGAGGGCAACGTAGGCATATTAGTAAAGTGCCTTTATGGAAGCCAAAATATTTTCAGCAATAACAGAAAATAGATTTTCAGTATCTGTTTTAATGAAGGAAGAACTGCTTGTTCATTTCTTTTTAAATTAATTAAAATGAATAACTGCCACAAAATTTTCGGTCAGTTTTATATTATATTCAGTACCAATAGAATAAATTTGATCATGTCTCTTCCTGGTACCAAGCGGGGAAATATATGTACACTGTATGTAATAAATTGTAGCTCTAGACAAGGCCCCAGGCAAAAACTGCAAAAGAGACTGAGTCCTTTTTAGTCCTGGTCACCTCTTTCGTCTTCTCCTCTGCCAGCAAAACCCAGGGTCCTTGTGTTAATCTGATTATTTCCTTCAACTTCCCCTATTCCAATATGATCCCCATCTCTTCCCGCAGCTCCAGTCCAAAACTGCTTTACACTAAGATAACTCTCTTGGAGTTTAAGTGATTACAGCATCAAAACATGAATGCTTTAAGCCCTCCATGGCATATTTGCATCTCAGAAGTCTTGGAAAACCTTACTAACAAGGAGACTTTTTACCCTCCTGCCTGCTCAGAATCAGCTATGTTCCCCATGTGGCTGTATCCACCCAACTCCCTCCCTCCCTCCCTCCCTCCCTCCCTCCCTCCCTTCCTTCCTTCCTTCCTTCCTTCCTTCCTTCCTTCCTTCCTTCCTTCCTTCTTCCTTTCTGCTTTCTTGCTTTCTTGCTTTCTCTTTCTTTTTTAAGAGTTGGGGCCTCGTTCTATCACCCAGGCTGGAGTACAATGTTGCAATCATAGCTCACTGCAGCCTCAAACTCCTGTCTTTCCTTTATCCTTGATCACACCTGTGATGTGAACTCAGAAAAGCAAACTTTTTTCTGGGGTAGAGAGAGAAGGGAATATAGCTTTACATAGTGAATAATACCCAGGCTGATAGCAAAGGGTCTCTCTTTCAAAAATACATCAAAATATTACTTTTTTGTATGAAAATAAGTTTCTATCTTGGATAGCCAAAACCCTAACAGGTAAGGTTACAAGAATACTGTAAACAACTTAAAACCCAAATGCTTTGTGATAAGTCAAGGCTTCTACCTCCTGTGAAATCTAGGCATTTTGCAAATTTGAATAATCAGTCATCTTGAGTCTCTTCTTTTGACAGATGAGAGTATTAAGGCTCAAACTGCACACAGTTTTTCTTCCAGGTCACCCAACTCAACAGCAGAGCCACCTCCTCAGATGCTTTTGATAGCAAAGTTGTGGAAAACTGGTAGAAGACAAGTTTGTACCCGAACCTCTGCTTTAGTCTGCAGTAACCTTGGCTGCAGTAACCTTCATGTTCTTAATTTAGCTATTAAAAACATTTTAGTGTTTATTAAAATGTTTATTTTAGCTATTCTGTTTTCATGGTATAACTTGGTATAACTTCATAGCTTTCTGATTTTGTTTTGTTTGGAGTACCACCAAAAAGTGAATCTCTAAGATGATTATTTCTTATTATTATTCCATTAATAAACTGTGTAGTGTAAAAGTAAAGACAACTTTTCTACCCAGCGAGAAACATAATTGGATCCAAAATCTCATACATTTTATATTTAAATTTTCTTTTTGTCCTTTGATGGATCTTGGCTCTCTTGCTTATCACCCAATGTAAATATTCCTTAAGGTTCTACTTTCCTTTTTTCTCTCAACAGTCTTCTTTGAAGTTTATTCCCATATTTATAGGTTGTAGTGTAGCCTCTTGGCCAATGTGTTTGCTAGTCGTAATTTCAAGTATTTCTGCTCCACTCCAGGACCCTGTTTGTAACTCAGTGTTAGTTGTCTCCACCAGGAACACCCCTGGTAGCTCATATTCAGCACTATACAAAATGGAACTCTATTCTATCCCTCTAAACACTTTCCATCACTTTTTGATATCTTGGAGTTATCTTTGATAATTGCCCTTCTTGTACCTAATATTCAGCTTCTGGGGCAGTCCACCCTCATCCACAAAATCTGTTGCACCAAGCTCCGCCATTCCTCCTATTACCAGCCCCCTTAGGGTACCAATAGTGTGAAATACTAACAATGCTGTCTGCGCCCTCTCCTTCCTCCAGTGGCTCCCTCCTACATCCATGCATCCTCCACACCCTTGCTGCAAAGTCTTGATCATGGCAGCCCCTACTTAAAACCCTTCCACAGCTTTACAACAGAGTGCAAAGCCCTCATTCCTTACCCTAATGCCTTACCTCCAGTCTTTCAGAAAAGCTCAAATGGAACCATTTCTGATAAGCCTAAGTAGATATCACTGTTGACTGGGTTAAAATGTACTTTACAAACTTTCTAAATTCTATCTAAGATAATGGTGATGTGAGGACATGTGCTGTTTTAAGATTCTTGATGGGCCAGACGCGGTGGCTCACGCCTGTAATCCCAGCACTTTGGGACGCCACAGAGGGCGGATCACAAGGTCAGGAGATTGAGACCATCCTGGCCAACATGGTGAAACCCTGTCTCTTCTAAAATACAAAAAGTTAGCCGGACTTGGTGGCACATGCCTGTAGTCACAGCTACTCGGGAGGCTGAGGCAGGAGAATCGCTTGAACCCGGGAGGCAGAGGTTGCAGTGAGCCGAGACTGCGCCACTGTACTCCAGCCTAGCAGCAGAGCAAGACTCCATCTCAACAAAAAAAAAACAAAAAAAAAATTCTTGGTGATGGGGTCTGTTTGTCTCTACCTTTGTGCCCTCATGTAACTCACTGTAGTGACAGGCACATAAGATATATTCTATACATACTTGCCAAGTGACTGAGTCAATGCTCTCGTGGATCTGTGTATGTGGGGACAGGACATATCTTTAACCCTTCTACAGGGAGGTTGTTTGTGAGTGTTATTTGATCTTCTCTACAAGACTCTAAGTCTCTGAGCCTAGGGCTCCTGTTTATAAAACTGCATCCTGCACAATACCTAGCCTGTAGTCCTCTACACTGAAAGTATCCACTATATTGATGGATGAGTAGTCCTGACTCCTTTCTGTTCAGAAAACATAAGTTCACTCAGAATCAGACTTGGATATAGGCAGCATACATGATGAGAGAAAGAGCAGGGTTCTGTTTCTGGCTCCGTCACTCTCTATGCTGGGAAACTTTTGCTAACACCACTTGTCTTATTTGGGCCTCAGTTTATTCATGTGTACAATAGTGGGTATACAGTAATGCTGAAAAATATTTGAACTGGCACACATTCCTCAGAGAGAACAAAAGATGTAGAGACAGAAGAAAAGCAAAAAAAGAAAGCAGAAAGTGCTCATTCTGCTGATGAGGTAATAAGGTATTTGACTGTCGTACTTACTGTGAGGTGACTGATGGAAGGATCTGGTTGAAATTTCCTTACAGCAAGGAAGTCCTGAAATAATCCTCACGCACGTTTCCAATCAATCCTAAATGATCCAACTCCAAGGGTGGTAGTGCATGTGGCCTTTTTTTAAAGTAAGGATGTGAGAAGTCTTGACAGATAGGGAGAAGCACTAATTTTATATAATGAAATTTGCCATGAGTAGAGAAGCACATGTGAAACTGCCACAAGCAGCTGCAGATAAGGATTAAATATGTACTCCTGCATAAGATGTGATGGCAAGATGAAGAATATAACCCTAGAATCGGCACTAGGTTCTAACAATTACATGTGGACAATCATAAGCATATCTATGCAATGTTTGGGATAACAATAGGGCATGGTATAACCTGAGACAATGGGCAATGAGACCAGACTTGCCAAGAAACCTGGGAGGATTTTATAAAAGGACAGATTGCTAGAAACTGGAAAGACCACAAGTCAATGACAAAGTTCCAGCGTAGCAACTATAGGTGACTGTGGCTCCAGGAATGGACTTTTCTCGTTAAGAAAAGTTATTTTGATATTTACTGATCAATAAATCATCACTAGGTCCCTCGGAATACTTTCTTACTTTTTCTGACTGTATGGACAGAAGGGCACTTTTGCCTATTAGAAAATAAGCGGGTGTCTTCCTTTACTATATATTGGGGAAAGCAAATGTCTTTAAAAGGGACATATGATTCAGCCCAGCTGAATTACAACAACAGGCAACGTTACCCAAATACAAATTGTCCCACGATTAAAATGAGGCAAAGTATAAGAAGGTTTCAGTGTCATAACTGAATTGTTCTGTTTTCTGAAAACACCATGCTCTTCTTATGCCTCTGTGATTTTGCTTCTGTTCCTTCTACCTGGAATGCCATTCCCTCTGTCTTCTACTTTATTAGTTTAATGTCATCTTTGGTGTAGAACTCTCCCCACTGTTACAGGTTCCTTCCTCAGGGGCTCTGTAGCATTTTGTGCATAGTAGAACACTTTAATTCTGCATTTGTATTTACCCCTTTACTGGCTTAATAAAGTGTTTAGTAAAGTATTTAGGAACATCCTGACTTCCTAAAGTGAGGGGATTCAGTCTTATTCCTATCTTCATCTCTAATCCTAGGTAAGGAATTACTGCATTACGTGATCATGAAAGAAACCCAAGTAAATTAGTATTGTGGGGAAATAACAAGTTTCATCAAAAGAGGGTGAATTTTATATACAGAGGTAGACTAAAATGCAAAATATCAAACCCTGTGCTTTTTAAAAATGAATGTGTCCCCAAATATACTAAATGGAAACTCTAGGAAATTAGGGCAAATTTTTTAAAAATGGCCTTCTAATGTATAAGTGCTGGACTAAGCACTAAAAACTCTAAAGAAAGGGTGTAAAAGGTAATAGAAATAATTCCAAAGAGATTATATATCAGTTAACTCAGAGGAACAAAGGTGACTTTTTTAAAAAGGGAAAGAATATCTTTAAAGACAAAATCCACAGTTCACAGATGAGGGGCTTACTTGGTTAATGAAATGCCAGAAAAACAATTTAAATGAACAAAACAAATATATAATTTCTCAAAGAACATAGAATAAAGTAGAATGTGAGACACTTTGGAGGCAACAACAGCACTTAGTTATATTAAAGATGCTCTATTTACTGCTTAACTGGTAGGAAAATTTATTAGAAAATAAATAACAAGCCATTGGAAAGTAACTCTCTGTGGCTGTTATTCCATCCCATTTTGGCTATATTTTCTCTGCAAATCAGTGTGACCTCAAAATGTTTTCAGGATTGTCCAACTTGTCCTAAATTCCATAAATAAACTCTTTCAGAGGATGCTGTTTTTTGCCATGTCTCTATTACAATTCTTCACAGATGGACCATTTTTGTCCTTCCAAAGTCTAAGAATAACTCTTTCATTTATCAAGACACACAAAAATCCAGTTCAGCTGCTTCTGTGGGATCCAGTTAGTTTAGACACATCTGCTAAAATACATGCATTTGAATCCAAATGAAGCTTTTGTTTGGTTATTATACATTTTGAACATTTATGGAGTTTTTTGGGGGCCAAAACATTTTTCATTTTTTGGCACACCAAACAGAGATCTTCAGTTATAAATACTACCTTCTGAGCACCTCCAACAGAAATCCAATATTTTCATGTGGGTGCCTCAAGAAGTTTTTGGAAGGTTTTATACTGAATCAACTTTCTGACCAGAAACTTTCTGAACATGCAATCAAATTTGCCAAAGAGACCTTCAAACTTGCTTGAGCAGTTTTCACTCACACAGACATACATTCACACATAGAGACAGCCCAAGTAAAAGTAAATCAGAATCCTGTAAAACTGAAATATCTGTCTTAAAGATTAAATACCATATGCAACCAGACTGAACAAAAAGAAATACATGACAGGAAACAGAATGAACAAGTAGCAAGAACCCTTAAATCCTTACCTAAGAGTTTAAGCTACACATCCTTTCAGTAAAATTTTTTTGTCTCATCAGGTTTCAAATATATACTCAAGCATTTGCATTTTTAAACACTGTATCAGAGTATTGCTACTAATTTCTTTCATTCACAAACCTGTTCAAACAGTTATTTTGAAATGCTTCCTTCTCTAACACAAATGGGTAAACCAGATTTAAATGTAAAGGAAGAAAAAACACTACTCTTTCACTCAGGGGTTCTTTGGCAAAGCCCTCATCTTGCTTGATTCCTCGTAAATTTTACTTGCCAGTTTGAATACAGCATAAAATTAAAAAGTTGTTATAGCGCAAAAATAACTTTTTAAGCCTTAAGCCTAAAAGTTATTACAGAGTAAAATCACTTTCCCAGTGGGCATGCCTCGAATTCAAGGGGAAATATGCTTTCAAGTTGTTCTTATGGCCATGAACCAGAGGCTCTATGGTGGCCAAAAACCTTTGTCTATACCCACTTAGCAGATTTCTGGCTCCTTATCAGAAACTAAAATGTTTATTTGCAGAAATGAATAATTTCCTTCAAAATATCCCTTACCCTATTTACATGCTTGCATATTCCTCCCATTTTGTTTTCCCCTTACAGCTTTATTAGGGGAATTAATTATATGGAAGAATAGGAACATAGAGTAAGTACATCTGAGATACAGGATGAGACACAGTATGTCATCTGTTAGGCCTGGTTAAAGACCAGCAGCTGATGTTAAACGGGAAGGAACATGCACCAAATGTTTTTTAATCACAAAGCTAGTAATTACTTTCTCTTTAAATTACATTTATGCTTCTCTCTGTCTGTGTATATGAAACGCACATTTATTACATGCCAAAAATTACACTATGGTTTAAATGTGACTGGCACGGAAGTCTGGAAATCAGAGTTAATGATGTTCCCACAGCAACTTTAATTCTGTCCATGTTCACATAGAGTATGCACGTAGAGCTATAATAATGCTATGTAATCAGGGAATGAAAGAATCTGCTGTGATGCCAACACTCAGGGGACAGTTTCCGTTGCTGTGGGAACATGAACTTTGCATTTCCTGACTTTGGAAATGCAGCTTTCATGCGGTATTTGTTTTGTTCCCTAAAACATTGCTTAAAAATTCAAAATGAGTAAAGTGTACTAAAAATTTTAATCACAGAAACTTGGACTGGTGAAGCAAATGGTTGGGAAGGGGAAGACCAAGGAAGGTGGATGGCAAGAAATGGAAAAGGAAGAGCTCACCGGTCTCCTCCACAGTGTTCAGCCCCAGGAAAGTCATGCTACCTACAGAGCTAAAGTTAAACGCACCCATACAACAGTTTGGTAATGTGTAGAGGTTCAATGAAAAATAAGTAAAAACTGTTCACGCATAAGTGCATCATGGCAAGGAGACAGAAAACGAGACAGTCTGATGAGGCCAGTGTAAAACATGGGATATCAGCTTCCAACAAAAGAATAGGTGAATCTACAGCCAAAAGTGGGGAGGACCACCAAAGGGAGGAAAATCACTTCCTTCAATGAGAGCCTTATTTGGGAGAAAACCAAATGGAAGAAATATGCAAGTAAAATTTCTGGTTGTGTCTATCAAATGTACATGACTGTGATGTGCTACAGCTTGATAGCTGTCAAGAAAGTTTTTTCATATGGAGAGCTTCACCTGCTCTACTGACTTGGTTTAGTCCTGCTTAAGCCGCTAAAGCATTTAAAGGCGGAGCTTGGCTGAGCTCATACTCAGCCTGTCTAGTGGGTAACTGCTCTGTCAAACACCTAGGCTTTTTTCACTTTTGGATTCCATAACTCATCTTAATACCTTCTATTATCACTATCTGAATTTGTTTACTATTAGAGTTTTAGAAATGGTGAAGGGGTGATAAGCTAGGAGGCAATGGGGGAATATTACTCATAGAAAATTGTGTCAGTGGGCGCACTGCAAAACAGCACACATTTTAGCAGCAATATTAACCTCACCATCTCACAAAGGAAAGCATATCTCAACTGTATTCATTCTTGTTTTGAATATTACTGGGATCTTTTGCCAAATTTGAAGTGGATCATCAGGTAAAATAGCCAACTGAGAATTTAGGGGGTCAGACTTGTCATCTTTTCTCTAAAACAAGACCTGTGTCATTCATATGCCAAAAGACTGTGGCTTACCCACCTTGCCAGTTCATATGCAGAGTTGACTTTTCTTCCTGTGGGTATGCTTTATCCATTATGTTTTACAACCCAATCACCAATATAAGTTGCTCATTTTCAAGATCCCTCTTCAGAGTCAGGAATGCCATCTTTGGTCTCGAAATTTCCTAAGAGAAATGCTCTCACAATGAAAGCAAACCCATAAACACCCCTCAGTATTCAAATGAGTTAACCACAACCATGTCATTCATCTAACTGGGTGTCCATTTCCTCAGTTTTCTCACCTGTAAATTGGGAAAGATCATACTGACTGACAGGAAATAGGCATTAAGGCATGATTAAGATCAATTTTGCTAAAAACACAACAAATAAAAAGGTGCTATAAAAATTCAGGCACTTGTGGAAGGTTGGACACCACAACTTAACGGAATTTTTCTGAAGTAAAAGAGACTAACAAATCAAGGGCATTATTTTTAGATGCCCCAAATCTGTTAGTTTTAAATAGGAACTGAATACTTTAAAGAAATTAGATGTTTAAATTAATCTATGGTAAGAATTACATTTGAAAGTAAAAACAAAAATCCTCTTGAATGCAAGAAGAGCATCCGAAAATTTTAACAGCTTAAAATACACGGTTTTCCTGTCTTCTCCCAAGCAATCTTTAAATGGACAGATTTCTGTGCATCTTTTCTAAAATCAATTTTCTTGTAAGTATAGGCTCAAGTCAAGACAAACTACAATCCAAATATATTTGAAGAAAGTATAATCAATTTAAACAAGTTGAAACAGGGAAGACTTACACATCTTAATGGTAGAATCAAAATGACTTTCTAAACACCTGGAGATTAGGGTTCTTCTCCCAGTTTGTTCTTCCAACTACATTCAGACAAACTACTGAGCTCAAATCCTCTGGCTTCTTCAGGGCCAACAAGGAGCTATATGGTGACACCATACTCGCACAATTCTTAAAACATATTTCATGCCAATGCCAAGGCCTGGACAGAGAATGCTTATGTTAAAGCACAATAAGTGCCCCAATGCCTTTTCTATTAAGTAAAACATTAATTTTTGCTGTAACATAAGATTTCTGGGCTAAGGCAATTGTATATAATCCACACCCAGAAGGTGTGGCAGAAAGCCAGGTAATGAAGGTCTGCATGTAGAAACCCCAGGCCCTTCACCATGTGAAGGGGCTACTTTCCTGGTGGGTAAGGACAGCATGCACCTGCCTATGGGCACTGTGCCATGCTCCTTTCCAATTCTTCCTGTAATTACTACTATGCTGGAGACTGCTAGGCAAGAAGGTCCAAGGAGGTGACTATTAGGATGGTCCAAAGAACACAATCCCTGCTTCTGCCCTCTATAGAAGCTACAAGTTTGATTGTAGCTTCTCAAACCACATGGGCCATAGAGATTTGGCTCACGTTATTTCTCTTTCCATTTTCTACTGACAGCTGGAGGGTGGTCTCAGCCCAACCATAAGTAGACCAAGCTGTCTTTACTCCAACCCTCCCCCCAGGTCGTTTCTCTCTATTTAAAGACTATCATGATGAAGTAAGTAGAGAATGGAATCTCCTGGACCCATTTACCTCTTGCCGTCTTTGCAGAATTTTACATTTTTTTTTCAGAAAAATAACAATAGGAGATTTAGATTCTCATTTCCTAATTAATAATTTTTGTCTTTGTGGACAGGATTTTATTTTTGAAATAAGACTTTGTTGGTCTTATATTGCTCATTTTAAAGAAAAAGTTTCCTAATTTTTGCATGTTACCAGATATCCTTTATGGAGATCAGTTCAGAAGAATTGTTGGGTATCTTAAGACTAAAAGGAATATTCTTTTGGATTCAACTGCAAATTTATTTCATGCCTTTCCATTGGCAACACATATGTTTCTTTCTCTCTGAAGTATTGGGTTACGTTTCAGAAAGAAAAGAAAATCTCCTAAACGTGATTTATCAACTTTCTTGAAATAGATTTTAAAGTGACTTCCAGATTAGTGTGAATATGGCAAAAATAAACATCACATAAGTGATTTCAATAGTGACAATCCCATTAGGCTGCACATTTCCAAATTTAGCACATAGGCAGTTTTTTCTTTTTCTTTTTCTTTTCTTTTCTTTCTTGCTTTTTTTTTTTTTTTTTTTTTTGAGACAAGGTCTGGCTTTGTCACCCAGGGTGGAGTGCAGCGGCGCCATCTCCGTTCACTGCAACCTCAGCCTCACAGGCTCAAGCCTTCTTCCTAACTCAACCTCCCGAGTAGCTGGGACTATAGGTGCATGCCACCATGCCCAGCTAATTTTTGTATTTTTTGTAGAGATGAGGTTTCACCATGTTGCCCAGGCGGGTCTCAAACTCTTAGGCTTAAGCCATCCACCTGTCTCAGCCTCCCAAAGTGCTGGGATTATAGGCGTGAGCCACATCACCTCGATTGTTTTTCTAATTAAAAAATATTTTAAACCTGAATTCTCATTGGCTATGTGAAGTCTGCATGACTTCTGAACTTTTGAAAGCCATTATCTTTTCTTATGTAAATTTTCATTATCCTTTAACCATTTCAAATAAATTAAAAACTGGAAAGACAGAAATTCAGCCAAGCTACATGAGACTCTAATAACTAGTGCAAATCTGGCTTGTGTTATGTAATTTCAAAATGGATGTTTCCTTGTGTCTAACTGACCTTCTGAGGTCCGTGTTTGGTTGTTCAATTTAATAATTGAGGAAGTGCCATTATTCAGATCAAGAATAATTAGACACTGGCAACAAAACTTCTTTTTCTGAGTTAGTGTTATGAAGAGAATGTGGTTTATGTAATTAATCAGCCTTTGAGGCCAAATGGCTTGTCATTTGGCTTTAAAATATATTCTAGCTTTGAAAATACACAGATGTTGGCTGAATGAAAATGGTGGCACATTACTTTTGACTGCTTTAGAAGACTGAAAGCAAACAGCTTGTTTGGAAAGTAAAAAAGCCAGAACCCAGGGAGAAGCACTACTCCAAGCACTGCCAAGACACCATCACCTTGGTGGTGTACTTACAATCAGATGACCCTGTGTGAGCGAGTTTGTCAGTGAATGTGTTGAGTGGATATGGGCTGGGTCTGGAGACTAAACAGCTTCAAAGTTCTGGCAGGGAAGGCCTAGCTTGGCGCTGGAGCCACCTGGCTGAGTAATCTCATTTTGCTCAGATGCCTTCTGCTTTTCAGGTGTCTCGGGCTTCTTCCTGCAATTAAACAAAGGGCCCTTTGAAGGAACTGACTGCATATTTGGGAAGAGGCGTTTTAGAATCTTTTAAAGATAACTTGATTTTTCTTTTTCTGAACGAGTATGGGAGGTAGTCTAATATGTCCCTTGTTTTGAAACAAGATGATTCTTGGATTTTGTTTTTTTTGTTTTTGTTTTTGTTTTTTTTTCCCCCTTCAGTAAAGGCCCAACTGGGAACACAGCACTACATTCGCACTCTGTTGGCTATATAAAAAGACCCTGTCCCAGAACTTTAGAGAGTGTGAGCTACGTATGGCTGACATTATCCAAGAAAGCATCCCTTCTTACCTCCTTAGCAGTTTTAACACGGTCTGGAAAAATACTAGTGGAGGTTTACTGTTCTAGAGTTTGTCAGGAAGCTTCAAAACAAGATTCATGGAGGAACGGGAGGAACACTGGACTGGGAGTCAGGATATTTAGCTATGGAACTCGCTGTGCCTCTCAGTTGCTGTCTGGCGTTGGGCACCTCACTTTACCTCTTTGTGCTTCAGTTTCTTCATCTGTCTAATAAAGGGCTTGTGTTAGAAGGCCTTCAAGTTTTCATCCAACTTTAAATTTCTACTTAATTAAGTCGAGCATTCAACTTTTGTGCTGTTATTTTATTTTAGATTTTATTTTAAATCGATACATAATTTCAAATTACAATTTCAATTTGCAGGCTATACAGATGAAGTGGTAGTGGTGGAGGTTTTTCTTAGAGTAGCAAGTGAAGCATGTAAAGAAGAGCTCAGACATTTATGCAGCCAAAAGACACATGAAAAAATGCTCACCATCACTGGTCATCAGAGAAATGCAAATCAAAACCACAGTGAGATACCATTTTAATAAACATTAAAATGTTTTCAATAGCTAAAATAAACATTAAAATGTTTTTTAAAAAACATTTTAATATTTCAAATAATGCTTTGCTAACTATATGGTTGATTCTAAGTTATGGGCCTACCATCAATGCATATTTTCCAGTATTCATAAGGGAGATGTATTATTTTACAAATATTTTACAAATCAAGCTTACTATCTATAGTAACCAATTAATAAGACAGCTCATGCATCAAGCACACTTTCATCACAAAATAGAGCAAAGCTTTCAACACATATCTGCTTGTATGTATGATCCATAGAGAGGAGACAAAACTGAAGTATGACACGGTTAAGAGTTTGTCCTTTTACATAGTTAATTTAACTGATAGCTGAGGTATCCATTTAAAACTTAGATGCTTGATAGCTGAGGTACCCATTTAAAACTTAGATGTTTTTGGTTGTGATCACACGTCTCTCACATGCCAGCAAAGTTGTCTGAGTTCTCCACTACAGAGGTTATTAATGTAAACATAACAATAAGAGGCTATTTTAGAGGCCTCAGTTTGCACTGCCCACCCCAAGAAAGAAATGGGAAAGTCTTATAAAATAACTAGAATAAGAAAACAGCAATGGATATGAAAAACAGATATATCACTTACTATCTGACACAATGTGGAATATATATTATTTGTAAATTATTTTCTCATATTCCACAGTGAATAAAGTAAAAGCATTACTCTGCCTAACCACTGTGTGTACCATCCACTTCACTCAACAGCTTAAAAGGGTAAGGAAGGAAATCGATGGAGCTGAATCACACTCAATCCTTATGTGGCATCCTGGATAGGAGAACAAAGCATTAAATAACACTAATGCAGCCCCCTCATTAGCATTTCTTGCTATAAAAGATATATGGCTGACAACAATGTTCTTGAATTACAAGTATCTCCCAGACACCTACAAAGCTTTCCCACATATTTTGAAATTCATTCCTGGAAGAAATTACTTTTTTTTTTTTCACTAGGTGTGAATAAGATACCACGCTTGTGTTGTAGGGCATGCCTGATGCCCAGTGTTTTAAACACAAAATGTGCCACGAGTCAAAGTTGATTTTTCTGAACTTACTTTACTAGGAGGCACAATTACATTAAACACATTACCACATGTCTTCCTCATCTGTTTCTGCAAAATGACTACTTTCGGGATGGCTGTGCATTCCTGAATTCCGTGCTGCACTGAAAATTTGAAAAGGCAAACGTTTTTAGAGGAAGGATGCTATTGTGGACATTTTTTCACATGGAAATGTACTATTTGTGGGTTTGTATGGCTGTTTGCCAATTAAAGCTTTAAAGCAGACCTATATACATGGAGTCCCTTGAGCCCTGACCATTTTACAGAGACATTTTTGCAAGCCCTCCAGGACTGAAGTCATAGATAACCATGCACTGCGGATCAGACTCCTTGGACGTCACGGACTGCACACATCCAGAAGAGCAGCTCTAAGGGCATCTGTAACTCTGCCGTGGGGCAGGAGCTTCCCATGGGAAACCTAAAGCCCTTGAAACTGCTTTAGAAACCTAGGGCTTCTTAGCATATGCAAGGTGGGCACCAAAGTAACGAGGGTGCCACGGGCTGCCCATGTGCTCCCCACGACCCGGTGCAAGGAGATAAGACAGACCGTCCCCTTGGGCGGGCACCTGTTTCCTTGACCCTTCATTCCAGTTTTACGTCCATGCCCCGTTTCCTGGGCTACCATAAACTGAGTTTACAGCAGGGCCTTGTCAGCCTCCCTGACGCACTTCCCGTCCATACGCACCATGGCTGGCCGTCCTGGGAGGCTAGAGACGACTCCTGAACCTTGTGAGTGCAAAGACACACTAAGGAACCCAGGTGTGTTAAATGAGAGCCAACGGGGAGGTCCCCAGGTTGAAGAAGAGTGGGGCTGGCATGCTCCGTGTCTACTGCTGAAGGAGCAAAGGACAAGGGAGAAGAGGCCAGCGTCCCCACCTGTCCCGTTGTGTCCCATCCAGCCCTTCCCTGGGGCTGCCTGCAGAGCTCACACCTGCTCCGCACACCTGAACTCCAGGTCCTCTGCTGAATTCTTGCCGTGCCCTTGGGACAGAGATTGCCCCTGCCCCGGGTCCCCAAGTGACCCCGTGTTGGTCGGGAGAGCTGTAGGGTGACACAGGACCTCCCCAGCCATCTGCATGGGAATGAACCTCTGTGTACCCGTCCTCGACAGTCAGGTGCTGGCATCTGCCCTCTCACCTGCCTGGACGCCCAGCAGACCCCCGGTGACCAAGGGTCCCATCCAGATGGGTGGCCGAGCAAGAGGGACACACGCGGACTCTCCCCCAGCCTCCAGCACATGCACAGAACCCAGTGATGCTCCCGGGCACTGGGGACCACCTGGACCCCTCGATCTCCCTTCCCTGGCCCACGCCAGCCTGCCCCTAGGGGACTCTCCCTGACCCAGGCCCCAGGTGACGCTGGGGAGATTTCCTCACAGGTCAGCCTGAGCTGCCCCAAGATCCACACTCTCGTCCTCTGAGGACCTCGGACTACACGGTCCCAGTCTCCCCTCCGGCCAGGTCCTCTCCTGAGGTACCCTCGACCTCTCCTCCTCACAGGACCTCCAGGACCTGGCACCTTGATGCTCCTCTGAGGGCCTGGGTCCTTGGTCCTCGCGAGAGCAGCTGGCCTGACTGTGGGTGCCCTTTCCTGATTGGCTGGCTCAGTGCATGTGGGAGGTGGGGCTATGTGGAGCCACGCCCCCCCCCCACTGGGCACGCCTTCCCCTGAGGGATGGCCCATGGCTGCTGTGGACTGGACTTCCACCCCTACGGTCCTCCAGCTCCTCATCCTGGGGAAGGACAGAAGGACCTGGGAGTGGAGTGGGGAGCAGCTACTGACCCTGCCCTGAGAGGTGGAGGCCATGTGGCTGTGGCCTAGGACCTTGTACCTGGACTCCTTCCAGCCACCCTTCTCCTTTGGGAGAAATGGCCATCACCCTGGAAGTGGGGCCCAGGCTCCCTCCCATGCCCTGTGTGCTTCCAACACGCCCAGCTGCATCCCAGGCATTCCTGCTGTGCGTCCCGTGCACCCACCACATCACAAGACCTGCTTCCTTATCTCTGTGGGATTCTGCCCCTTCCTCCTTAGCTCACCGTTGAGTCACTTAGGGTGCCTATGGGGTGGCAGGTGCCGTCCTGCCCTCATCTCCCCTGTTGCATCAGGTACCCGTGTGGGGCCACTCCACCCCGCATGCGTCCATTTCCTGTCCATTCACCTCTGGGCAGGGCTGTTGTGAAAGAGGGCTGCTCTATTGTTGTGGCTAGGGCTGTTGTGAAAGAGGGCCGCTCTGACTTTGATTAAATGTTGTGGTTACCTGTAGACATGCTGCTTTCATTTCCCCTATTCCATCACCTACCTCTGTGGGGCTAATCTACAAAAAATCCACTTAGTTCTCTGTCTATGGACATGTCAGTTCTTTCCAGTGTCAGTCCCTTCTAAGCAAGGATGCTATGAAGAGTGAGATGTCTGGCATACGTGCCAAAGGTTTACACGGTTATCAGAGAGTGGAATTCCTGGATCATAGACTCAGGGAATATTCCCCAGTGCTCAATTGTTTCCAAGAGGCATCCCCCACCAGAAGAGTGTGTTCCCACTGTTACACAGACTCGCTGGTGGAATAGGCCTTTTGCTTAATGCTGTCATTCTAGTGGGTGTGAAATGGCATGGATTTGGGATCTTGCATTTCTCCAGTTACTAATAAGACTGGGTTCTTTTTCTCGGCTGTTTGCATATCCTTTTACAGTACAATATCCATGTTGGTGAATTAACCATTTTTCACTTTAATAAGATGTTTTTCTTCCATTTCTTATATATTGTGAGGCTAAGCTTTATAACTGTGTTTACCTGTGCCTTTTGTAATAAATTTATCTTTTCTCTGAAGTCATAAAAATTTCCCCTCTATTTTCTAATAAAGATTGTGAGATTTAATTTTTCATGTTCTTTTTAACCTTTAAGTTCAGAGGTATATGTGCAGGTTTGTTATAGGGTAAACTTGTGTCATGGGGCTTTGTTGTACAGATTATTTCATCACCCACTTATTAAGCTTAGTACCCATTAGTTATTTTTCCTGACTTACCTACAATTGATTTTTGTGCCTGATGTCAGGTGGAGAACCAATTCCTTTTTTTCCTTCCCGTGCAGAAATTCGGTTTTCTTGTCCTCATTAGTTGAAGAGCATACACTTTCCCCATTATCAGCTTATTTACTGCAAAGTCCCTCTTTGTTCCTGCTGATTTGAAATGCTACCTTTATCATACTCCCAATTTGCAAATATTACTGGGTCGTCTTATCACTTTCTAGAATGTTGCCTTGGTCTGTCTCTCTATTCCCATGCCAGTGAATACCACAGTGTTTTAATTATGGAGGCTGGGTGTATACTGTAATGTGTTTGGGGCCAGTTTTCCCATATAGCTCTTCCTTTCCCGTGACTTTGTAGCTATTCTTGCCTTTTGAAATGGGCATTATGATACCATCTTCTTCTCTCCAGGAAAAAGGGAATGGTGTTGGTATTTTTATGGAATTGTATTAAACTTATAAACTCACTTAGGGAGAACCAACATCTTGATGATGCCGTAATGTCCTAACACTGAACAAACGATTTCTACCCACTTGCCCAAGTCTGCTTTTGTGTCTTTTTAAAAGGCACCGTATAGTGCTTTCAATATGTCTTAATTTTATGCCTAAATATTTTCATCATTTTTGTTGCTTTTGTAAATGATTGTTTTATTTGTAATTGTATCCCCTACCTGGTTATGTTTTGGTGGGCGTGGAGCCTTTTGATCTGAGCAGTAGCTCTCAAGAGTAGGCTTTGGTTTGGAGAAAGTGCCTATGAAACAGTCTGTGCCTGGTGGTCTCATATGGGAGATTTCCTTCGTAAGGCTATTTCCTCTGTACAAATGTTCTTTTATCCTTTTGGGCGCTATTGGGGTCAATTATATAGTGAGTGTATTTTCACAAGAAATTACATAGTTCATATAGTTTTACAAGGTTATCGGCATAGAGATGTGTAAAGAGGCCCCTCTGATTTTTAAAAATTTCCTCTTTATTGTTATTTACAGGCATACCTCAAAGATATTGTGGGTTTAGTTCCAGACCATCACAATAAAGCAAGTGACATGAATTTTTTGGTGTTTCTTGCATGTAAAAGTTAAGTTTACAGTATATTATAGTCTATTAGATGTGCAATAGCACTATGGCAAAAATATATACATACCTTAACTTAAAAAGAGTTTATTATAACAAATGCTCAATATCACCTGAGCCGTCAGTGAGTCATACACTCTTAGCTGGTGTGAAGTGTTGCCTCAATGTTCATGGCTGCTGAGTGATCGGTGGGGTGGTTGGTGAAAGTTGGGGTGGCTGTGGCAATTTCTTAAAATTAGACATCAATGAAGTTTGACACATAGATTGACTCTTCTTTTCATGAAACCTGTCTCCATAGCATACGATGCTGTTTATAGCATTTTACTCACCCATAGTTGAATATCCTTCAAAGTTGTAACGAACCCTCTTAAACCCTGCCACTGCTGTATCAACTAAGTTTATGCAATACTCTAAATCCCGTACTGTCATTTCAACTACTACTACGTTCACAGCATCTTCTCCAGGAATGGATTCCATTCCATTTCAAGAAATCACTTTCTTTGTTCTTCCGTAAGAAGCAACTCCTTGTCCCTTCCAGTTTGATCATGAGATTGCAGTGATTCAGTTTCTTCTTCAGGCTCCACTACTCTTTCTGGTTCTCTTGCTATTTCCATCACATCTGCAGGTACTTCCCCCACTGACATTGTGAACCCCTCAAAGTGATTTGTGAGGGTTGGAATCAACTTCATCCTTTAATGTTGATATTTTGACTTCCTCCCATGAATCACGAATGTTCTTAGTGGCATGCAGAAAGGGGAATCATTTCCAGAAGGTTTTCAATTTCCTTTTTTCAGATCCTTCAGAGGAATCACTATCTATAGCAGCTACAGCCTTATGGAATCTGTTTGCTAAACAGGAAGACTTGAAAGTTAAAATCATTTCTTGATCCATGGGCTGCAGAGTGAATGTTTCATGCATGCTAGCAGGCATAAAATTAAAAAAAAAAAAAACCTCCTTGTACATCTTCATGACAGCTCTTGAGTGACCAGACACACTGTGAATGAGTGGTAATATTTGGAAGGGAATCTTTTTATTTCTGAGCAGTAGGTCTCAAGAGTGGGCTTAAAATCTTCAGTAAGTCACGATGTAAACAGATGTGCTGTCGTCCAGGCTTTGTTGTTTCATTTCTAGAGCACAGGCAGAGTAGCTTTAGCATCATTCTTAAAGGCCCTAGGATTTTCAAAGCGATAAATTAGCATCGGCTTCAACTTACAGTCACCAGCTGCATTAGCCCCCTAACAAGAGAGTCAGCCTGTCCTTTGAAAGTTTGGAGCCAGGCATTGACTTCTCCTCTCTACCTACAAAAGTCCTAGATGGTATCTTCTTCCAGTAGAAGGCCGTTTCATCTAGAAGGAAAACCTGTCGTGAGCACAGCCACCTTCACCCATGATCTCAGCTAGATCTTCTGGAGAACTTCCTGCAGTGCCTCCATCAGCACTTGATGATCCATCTTGCACTTTTATGTGATGGAGATGGCCTCTCTCCTTACACTCCATGAACCAGTATCTGCTAGCTTCTCCTTTTTTTTGTTTTTGTTTTTTGTCTTGTTTTGTTTTGTTTTTTGTTTTTTGTCTTTTTTCTGCAGCTTCCTCATCTCTCTCGGCCTCAGAGAAGTGAGGAAAGATAGGGCTGTGCTCTGGATTAGGCCTTGGCTTAAGGGCATCTGGTGGCTGGTTTGATGATATGTCCACTAAAACTCTCTGCATATCAGCACGAAATCTGTTTCGCTTCCTTATCATTCATGTGTTCGCCGGAGTGGCACTTTTCATTTCTTTCACCACCTGGCTAAGACTTTGGCACAGGTGGTCTAGTTTGGGGCCTATCTCAGCTTGCAACGTGCCCTCCTCACTGAGCTTAATAATTTCTCCCTTTTGATTTAAAGTGAGAGATCTGCAATTCCTCCTTTCACTTGAACCTTTAGAGGCCATCGTAGGGTTATTATTTGGCCTAATTTCAATTCTGTCGTGTCACAGGGAGTAGAGAGACCAGAGCAGAGTGAGAGAGATGGGGAGAGGCCAGTCAGTGGAGCAGTCAAAACACACACAACATTGATTGATTAAGCTTGCTTCTTCTAGGGTGCATTTTGTGGCTTCCCAATGTGATTACAATAGCAAAATCAAAGAGCACTGATCACGGATCACCAAAACAGATATAGTCCTACTGAAAATTTGAGATGTTGTAAGAATTACCAAAATGTGACACAGAGACACGAGGTGAGCACATGCTGTGAAAAATGGTGCCCACGGATTATTCAAATCAGGGTCATTAGGAACCTTCCAAAACAAGCTGCATCTGCAAAGTGCAATAAAGCACAATCAAACAAAGTATGCTGGTAGTTGTGTGTCTCCTGTGCAAACATCTATCTATCATCTATCTATCTATCTATCTATCTATCTATCTATCTATCTATCTCTATGCCTATCTATCTAGCTATCTATCTACCTGCCTACCTATCTACCTGTCTGTGTACCTATTATATATATACAGAAACACTATCTCTGCATCTTTGATTCAGTTAGCTACTGCTTCATCTGCCTCATTGATTTAAAAAGACACTCTTCAATATTTGTGTCTCCTATTTCTGTTTCTCCCTCATTAATGTCTGCTTTATATATTAACATTATTACTTGTTCGTGCTTTCTTTTAACTTTGTTTTATGTCTAGCCCTTGAGCTAGAAATGTCACTGATTCATTTTTATACTCCCATTGTCATGGTTATGAGTATTCAAAGCGGTCTACTTTTCTCTGATCACCTCTTTAAATATATGTCATAGATTCAAATCTATAGGGTTTATTATAATTTATCAGAAAGTAGATAATTCCTCCTCATATCTAGGCCGGCACCCAGTAGTTCTTTAACAGTTGATTTTTATGAGTTCTGGGGCACGTGAGCTTATTTACAGCTTTTAGTTGTATTGTACTACGACCACAGCAGTAGTTTGTGATATCTCTATATGTGGAGCTTACTAATGTTTTCTTCGTGACCTCACATATGATCAATTTCTGTAAATGTTCTTTGTAAACCTGAGAAGGTATATTTTCCAGTATCATGTTGTAGTTTCAATACATGTACATTAGTTCTACCTTTTCAAATATGTTTAAAGTGTTACAGTGGGCTGTGTGCAGTGGCTCACCCTTGTAGTCCCAGCACTTTGCGGGGCTGAGATGGGAGGATCACTTAAGCCCAGGAGCTCAAGACCAGACTTAGTACCACAGAGAGATCCTGTTTCTACCAAAAATAAGAAGATTAGCTAGGCATGACGGCATGTCCTGGTAGTCCCAGTGACTCAGGAGGCTGAGACAGGAGGATCATGTGAGTCTGGGAAATCAAGGCTTCTGTGAGTCATGAACCCACAGTGGCAGTGACACTGGGAAATCAGAGCCAGACTCTGTCTCAAACAGAAACAAACAAATCTCATGTACCCCATAAATATATACACCTACTATGTATACATAAAAATTTTAAAGCTAAAATTAAAAAAATTTTTTATGTTACACTGTTATTCCTTTTTAACCATTTAACTGGTTGTGGCAAATTGCATTTTCTGAAGATGGTCACAGTACCACCTTCTTTCCCACAAGCTCTTCTTTCCATGTGACCTGGGGCCCTGCTCCTATCAAGGAGTGCAGCCTATATGTCCTTCTCTTGGACTCAGGCAGTGTATGAAGCTGCTGAGTGTGAGAGAGGACCACACAAGTGAGGATTTCTGTCTGTGGAGACTAGGACACAAAAATGCCATGAAATCCCACCTTGCTCCTTCAGGACACTTGATCTGGGAACCCACCCATTATGCTTTGAGGAAGCTCAAGCAGCCCGTGGAGAAACCCGTGGAGAGCATCAGAGGCTCCCAGCCTCAGCTAAGTTTCCAGCTAATAACCAGCTGCAGCTTGCCAGCCATGAGAGCAAGCCATCTTTGAACGTGGATCCTCCAGTCTCCACTTGAGCAACACTAAGTCGCATCCTTGGGTCACAGATGACTCACCTCCATTAAGCCCCCAAAAAACTACATGATGATTTTTATTTTCAGCCACAGAGGAAATCCTCCCCTTTAACCAGAGCTCTATTTCCCCCCAAGTCCCCTTAGGAGAGCTTCATGACAGCTGCCAGCTTTCTCCCAGTATCTCTCTTACTTGCTCACTCCCCATTCCATCTCTCTACATTTCCTCCTTCCGTTACCTGACTCTTCTGTTTTGGGTTCCCTATCTCTGTCTTATAGGAGCATCACTTTCTCTCTCTTCTCTGCTCTACTCACCCTTCAGGTTTGCTCCTTCCACTCCCAACTCCCTGTCACACGCACCATTTGTCTCCCTTGCTGGTTTTGTGACAGAACAATTCAGACGAAATCCCCCAAAACTTCTGCCATCAAACCTACAAGCTACCTGCATCTGTGCCCTGTCTCTCCCTCTGTTAGAGGAGGAAAGACGTCCCTGCCCCTGTGTTCTAGGTTCCATGGCCTCCTGTCTTCCAGAAACCTCGTGTTATCCATTAGTTTATCCATTATCTTTCTCCTCCCTCTATCTTCTGCATGTCTTTCTCTTGCCATCCTTCTTATTCCCATTTGCGCATACTCGAATCTCCTTCAACTTGAAAATCCCTGGGCCTTATTCACCACCAATGTAATTCCCACCACTCTCTTACTCTTTGTGTCAAAGTTTCCAAAGGATTATCTCTGCTTGGTGCCTCTATTGCCTCATCTCTCACATTTTCTGTAATCCACTAGAAACCAACGTGGGCCCGCACATCTCTTCTAAAAGGATTCTCCCTCAAAAGTCACTGGTGACCTCCATGTGACTAGATCTAATGCACATTCTCTGGCACTCATCTCAGTTGATTCTCAGCTGCGGTCAACACTGTTGAGCACTCTCCTCTTTTTCTCAGTGCCCTCCTTTTGTCTTCCTTTGTCTTCCATAACAACACATTCTCCTGTTATTCTCTTCATCTTGGCCACGTCTCAATATCTTTTCTAGCAGCACCTTCTCCACGGGGCCCTTTCAAGATGGAATTTCCAGGGATTTGGGTCTTGCTCAATTCTCTTCCAGCTGTATACTCTTTCTCTATTTATTTTCATATATGGCCATAACTACCATTACCATTGAAATCAAAGTTTCTCAAAGTGTGACTTGTGGACCAGCCTGTATCAGGGTCACAGTGAAAGGGATTTGGGAAAGTTTGGATTTCATGGCCCTCTTCAGGCCTACCAAATGAACTCTCTCTGTGGGAGGGAATGTGAAATCTGCATTGGAAATAAGTTATCCAGGTTGTTCTCATACCCACACACTATGCGTCAGGGACTGCCTGGCTGACATTAACAATGGCAGCTCAACGCCTCCATCTGGTGGCTTTTGGACACCATCGTCTTCTTTTTGCAAATACAGTCCATGGAGATTACGAAACTATTGAAAATGTGAAAAATGAGAAAGAAGTAAAAAAACAGGATATGAATGGAGTCTCTACTCCACAAATAATCAAGACTGAATTACATCATTTTATGGCATGTCTAGCACAAAGTAGAACTTGTCTATATTACAGTTTTGAGAGTAAATCCAATGGACACATTTCCATTTTCATCTAAGGGCAGGAAAACACAGGTATTGGATGACTCCCCCTCTACAGATCATTACACCAAGTTTCTAACTCCTAAGAATGCTGCATTTAATGAATTTGTAAACTTAGTCTTCCAGAAGTTAGCTAATAAAGAACCCTCTGCTTTCCACTAATAAATTAATATGGGTTTTGATTCCCATTTCTCCGATGATTAGTGATGTGAATCACTTTTTTCATACACCTGTGGGACATTGGTATGTCTTCTTTTGGGAAATGTCAATTCAGTTCCTTGGCCCACTTTTTAAGGGGCTCCTTTTTCTCCTGTCGAGTCGTTTGAGTTCCTCGTATGTTCTGGATATCAGTCACCTGTCGGGTGATTAGTTTGCAAATATCTTCTCCCATTCAATAGGTTATTTCTTTACTCTGCTGATTGTGCCTTTTGTTGTGCAGAAGCTTTTCAGCTGTATGCACTGTATTTGTCTATTTTTGGTCGTTTTTGCTGCCTGTGCTTTCAAAGTCTTAGGAATTCTTTGCCTAGACCGGTGTCAAAGAGAGTTTTCACTAGGTTTTCTCCTAGCATTTATATAGCTTCAGGTTGTTTTTTGTGTTTTCTTTTATTTTACTTTGTTTTGTTTTGCTTTGCTTTGTTTTGTTTTGTTTTGTTTTGTTTTTGAGACGGAGTCTCGCTCTGTCTCCCAGGCTGGAGTGCAGTGGCGCCATCTCGGCTCACTGCAAGCTCCACCTCCTGGGTTCAAGCGATTCTCCTGCCTCAGCCTCCCGAGTAGCTGGGACTACAGGCACGTGCCACCACGCCCGGTTAATTTTCTGTAATTTTAGTAGAGACGGGGTTTCACCGTGTTAGCCAGGATGGCCTCGATCGCCTGACCTCATGATCCGCCCGCCTCGGCCTCCCAAAGTGCTGGGATTACAGGCGTGAGCCACCACACCCGGCCTCAGCTCTTTTATGTAACTCCTTAATCTATTTGCGTTCATTTTTGTATACGGTGAGAGACACAGGCCTAATTTCACTAACCACCACAGAAATGCAAACCAAAACCGCAATGACATATCATCTTTCCTCAGTCAGAATGGCCACTATTTAAAAAGACACAAAATAACAGAGGTTGGCAAGAATAAGAAGCAAAGGCAAATCTTACAGCCTGTTGGTGAGAGTGTAAACTACTACAGCCACCGTGGAAAAGAGTATGGCGACTTCTCAACAAAACTGAAAACAGAACTACCATTCGATGCAGCAATCCCATGACTGGGTATCTACCAAAAGGAAAAGAAATCAATATATTAAAAAAATACCTGCTCTTGCATGTTTACTATATAGCACTATTCACAATAGCAAAGACGTGGAATCAACTTCAGTGTGCATCAACAGATGAATGGTTTTTTAACAAGATGGTGTATATATGTATACATATATCTAGGTGTATTTGTGTGTGTGTGTGTGTGTGTGGAACACAAATTATTCCTTTAAAAAGAAGAATGAAATCATGTTATTTGCAGCCGCATGGACGGAACTAGAGGCCATTATCGTCAGTGAAATAAAGTAGGCATAAAAAGACAAATATCACATGTCCTCTATTATATGTGGGAGCTAAAACATCTGATCGCGTGGAGCTAGAGAATGGAGAGGTAGAGAATGGAGACTGGGAAGAGTGAGTCAGCAGGAGAAGGATGCAGAGAAGTGCGTTGAAGGGAACAAACCTACAGTGAGATAGAAGCAATCAATTCCGTGTTTGAGAGCAGAGTAGGGTGACGGTCCTTCACAAAAATGTATTGTACTCAGGCGACGGACACCCTAAATATCCTGACTTAATCACTACACATTGTATACATGTAACAAAATTTCACATGTACCCATAAATTTATATACAAAATACAAAAATTAAAATTAATAACAAATAAAGAAATACTATAATATGAGGCTCTCTAAGGTAACTTAAATTCTACTTTCAAGTCTGTGTTCTAGTTAAAAATGTAATACATCTTCACTGTAAAATGTTATGAAAATATAATTTATAAAGGAAATGAAATTCACACATAATTCCACCAAGCAGATATAATATTCCATTTAAAATCCCGGGTATTATTTCCTTTCATCCTTTTCTCTCTCTAGATAGATAGAGGCGTGGGTATACATAAAGACATAGCTATGGACTCAAATAGATACAGCTATAGATTGTCTTTACGTCTTCTAAAATTATCTTTAACTTTCGTACCTGTCTTTGTTTGCTACCAGCTCTGCAAGTTTCTTTCTGTTTGTAATCATGCATTTTCCTTCTTTCATCTACATTTAGCAAAGTCTTCAAGACTGTATTCACTCTCATCGTGCTTTCCCACTGCCTGTGCGAGTAACAGGTTAAAGGTAAGGCTACTGTATCCTATTCCCTTTGAATTCACTTGCTTGTGACCATCAGCATTTCACTGGCTCATAGCAAGCCACCAACGTGTTGGGTGAGGAACAATGGGCAAAGGCTGCCAGAGCCCTTGCTGTACTACAGACTCTTTGTGAGATCATATAATTGAATGTGGTTTCCTACAGTAACTTTACTGAAAATTATCTCTC